>NC_000011.10:100505757-100808788 GCF_000001405.40 Homo sapiens | reverse complement strand
TTTTATGAGGTATTACATTGGGAGAAATTGTCAGTAAAGAATACACCCGATTTCTAGTTATTTTTTATAGTTAAGAGTGAATTTGGCCGGGCGCGGTGGCTCACGCCTGTAATCCCAGCACTTTGGGAGGCCGAGGCGGGTGGATCATGAGGTCAGGAGATCGAGACCATCCTGGCTAACAAGGTGAAACCCCGTCTCTACTAAAAATACAAAAAATTAGCCGGGCGCGGTGGCGGGCGCCTGTAGTCCCAGCTACTCGGGAGGCTGAGGCAGGAGAATGGCGTGAACCCGGGAAGCGGAGCTTGCAGTGAGCCGAGATTGCGCCACTGCAGTCCGCAGTCCGGCCTGGGCGACAGAGCGAGACTCCGTCTCAAAAAAAAAAAAAAAAAAAAAGAGTGAATTTATAATTATCCCAAAAAAAGTTTAATTTTAAAAAGCTTTTGTTGCCCTTTCTCTTGAAATTACATGTATCAAATTATCAAGTTAAATTTGCATTTTCTTCTGTAGTGCATAAATATACTCTATGGTTTAATCAGAAGCAAAGACAAAAAGCATTGTGCTAACCAAAAAATGTTCCCTTATTTCTGAATATCTGGTTGGTCTGTCAGCTGATATTTCCCATTCATCCATAGCTTTGTTACCATTATTTAAAATTTCCCTTCAGGATATCTTTTATAGGTATTTTGCTAGTCTACCTCATGCCTATTTAGGTTTATTTTTCTGTCCTTTAAAATTGAGTGCCTCACCCAGATGTTAAACTTTTAAGGGACAGTTACACACTAACTTTATATACATTTACCTTTTATATTATCAAAGTATCTTTGTGCTTCCCAAGTATCAAAGAAGAACATCAAAACATGGTTTATGAATGGAATAAAGACTAGCACTTCCCCAACTGTACCAATGGAAAGTGATGGCCAACAGCAGAGAGTAAATGTATTTCCAAAAGTGCAAAGATAAAAATGGAAAGATTTCAATATGATGTGCAATTACAAGACTCCAAAGTAAAACGTATAAAACTAGGATAAATGCCAAAGGCAGGAAAATGAAAGAACTAGAGATGCGAGGAAAGAGATCAGAAGTGCAGGTGTTGTGTGGCAGCTCATATCCCATGTCTTCCCAGAGAAGACATGGGATAGAACAGAACAATGAGCTGCAAGCCCCAACTCCTGGAACTGGGTCCTATATGTAAAGTGTGGTCACTTACTGGAGGTCGACATCACACTGAGTAACTCATTTACAGGCTGTGCTGTTTCAGATTGTTGTAAGGATCAAATAACATGTATATAAAAAGGCCGGACCCGGTGGCTCACGCCTGTAATCCTAGCACTTTGGGAGACCGAGGCGGGTGGATTTCCTGAGGTCAGGAGTTCGAGACCAACCTTGCCAACGTGGTGAAAGCCTATCTCTACTAAAAATACAAAAATTGGCCAGACATGTTGATGCATGCCTGTAATCTCAGCTACTCAGGAGGCTGAGGCAGGAGAATCTCTTGAACCTGGGGGGCGGAAGTTGCAGTGAGCCGAGATCGTGCCATTGCACTCCAGCCTGGGCAACAAGAGCAAAAGTCTGTCTCAAAAGAAAAAAAAAAAAGAAAATGTATATAAAAGCTCTTTGCACAATTAAAAAATACAAATGAGGGGCCAGGAATGGTGCCTCATGCCTGTAATCCCCAGACTTTGAGAGGCCAAGGCAGGTCAATCACCTGAGGTCAGGAGTTCGAGACCAGCCTGGCCAACACGGTGAAACCCCGTCTCTATTAAAAATACAAAAATTAGCCAGGCGTGGTGGCGGGCAGCTATAATGGCAGCTACTTGGGAGGTCAAGGCACAAGAATCACTTGAGCTCGGAAGGCAGAGGTTGCAGTGAGCCAAGACGGTGCCAACGCACTCCAGCCTGGGCAACAAAGTGAGACTTGTCCCAAAAATAAATAAATAAATAAATAAATAAACAAACAAACAAACAAATAAAAAATTTAAAAATGAATTTTATGATTATTAGCACTAAAATATAAAAGCCACTATTATTGCAGTTATGATAAACTGTATATGATCTACCACCTCTCACTCTTACCTTAATATTTCACCAGAAAACTGGAAATCAGGAGATGGAAAGCATCCACAATTCAGTAAATGTGAAAATCAGAACTTTATGCATGTAGGACACTGAGATGATTTATTATTATTTTTTTTAATTTCAGGTGAAATCACTGTAGAAGAATGTTGCTATGGAGGCCAACATACCTAAAATTTGTTTCTAATTAAAGTTAACCTAAGACATACCAGAAACATAATCCGTTTTCATACATGTGGAATTTTGGCATACTGTGCCTCATTTATCTGAGACAATAAAAGAAACTGTATTACTTCACAGATAATCGCACTTAAGCATATAACAGCACCAAAGCCAGAAACTTAAGATTAATCAGTATCACCTATCGAGGGCATATCCGCAAAGCAAAGATGTACGGCAAAAATAATAAATAAAGGGAAATCTTTCATCAAGAGAAATGGGGATACGTAATTCTTTCGATATTTAAAATATTCTACTACTTCATAAATTCTGGGTTCAAGAATGGGGGAAAGACTTAAATAGGTTTATCAGATTCACTGAACATTTTTAGATCTTACATGTCAAAAATTTAATGTGGGAACTGTCAAAGGATTGATGGATAAAGTTTTCATAGAAATATATGACTAAGTATTATCAGAGGCATTTGAACCACAGCAAGTCCATCTTGAATAGGGGTGGAGTAAAATAAGGCTGAGACTTAACTGGGCTACTTTCCCAGGAGGTTGGGGATTCTTAGTCACAGGATGAGGAGTGAAGGTTGGCACAAGATGCTGGTCATAAAGACCTTGCTGATAAAACAGGATGCAGTAAAGAAACCAGCCAAAACCCACCAATACCAAGATGGCATCAAAAGGGACCTCTGGTCATCCTCATTGTTCATTATACATTAATTATAATGCATTAGCATGCTAAAAGGCACTCCCACCAGCACCATGACAGTTTATAAATGCTATGGCAATGTCAGGAAGTTACCCTACATGGTCTAAAAAGGGAAGGGACCTTCAGTTCCAGGAACTGTCCACCCCTTTCCCAGAAAACTCCTGAATACTCCACCCCTTGTTTAGCATATAATCAAGAAGTAACTATAAGTATAGTCAGTTGAACAGCCCATGCCACTGCTCTGCCTATGAAGTAGCCATTCTTTTGTTTCTTTACACCTATAATAACTTTCATTTTACAGACTCGCCCCAAATTCTGTCTTGCACAAGGTCCAAGAACCCTCTCTTGGGATTTGGATCGGGATCCCTTTTCAGTAACAATATGATGAACTTATTGAAAATTAAGATAATTTCAAAACTTATGACTATCTTCTTCCCTTCTTCCCTAATTTTTGTAAGATATTGAAGTAATACATCTAAAGTACTTATTAGCACATCTTACATATGATATCAACAATATATGTTAGTTATTGTTATTAATGGAATCTGTAATTGAAATAGAGTCTTAATTTGTGACACTGTGATTTATATGAAGGCTCCAGATCCCCACAGCATGGGTTCAAACCCTTGCGGTACCACGTATTAGTTATGTGCCTTTGAGTTTCCTCTTCTTTGAAATGGCTATATTAATAGCATACACTTTGAAATGGGTATATTAATAGCATACACTTCTGAAGACTGCTGTTCATATTAAATTAGTTGAAACACATGAAGCAACTGCAGCAGTGCCTTGCACCTTGGAATGCTCAGTGTCAGTTGCTATCATCATCTAAAGCAGTGCTGCCCCATAGAAATATAATGCAAGGCACATAACAACAAACACATTTCAGGTGTTCAACAGACACATATTCCTGATGTCTAATGTACTGACCACCACTAATAGATTCTTCACATCTTTTGAGGCTCACACGAAAGCTCAAAATCAAATGACGTTACCGACACACTTTTTTCTTTCTTAAATATCTAGGCCAGGTACGGTGGCTCACGCCTGTAATCCCAGCACTTTTGGAGGCCAAGGCGGGTGGATCACGAGGTCAGGAGTTTGAGACCAGCCTGGCCAACATAGTGAAACCCCATCTCTAATAAAAATACAAAAAATTAGCTGGGCATGGTGACAGGCGCCTGTAATCCCAGCTACTCGGGAGGCTGAGGTTGCATTGAGCCTAGATCCTGCCATTGCACTCCAGCCCAGGTGGCAGTGCGAGACTCTGACTAAAAAAAAAAAAAAAATTTAAAAATTAAAAAATATACATCTAAAACTATTCTGATTTTACTCCCATTAATCTTTATTAACTTTATGTTTTAAAACAAAAGTGAAAGAAAAACAGAGGCCTTAATAGTCTTATAAAGAAAATATTATTTAAATTTTAATGAAGGTTATAAATTTTTCTTCTAAGTCCTCCTATAATTTTTTTTTGTCCCAAAATAATACCCAGACAGCTAGTTCATTTCAGGGAAGTACTTTTATTACTCAAGGATAAAAAGACAGGCTGGGCACAGTGGCTCATGCCTGCAATCCTAGTACTTTGAGAGGCCGAGGTGAAATCATTACTTGAGGTCAGGTGTTCAATACCAGCCTATGCAATATGGTGAGACCCACAATCTCTGAAAAATAAAAATAAAAAGATAAAAACTTGAGAATTAGCTGCCCATGGTGGCATGTGCCTATAGTCCTAGCTACCCAGGAGGCTGAGGCAGGAGGATCACTTGAGCCTAAGAATCCAAGGCTACAGTGACGAGCCCAGGTGACAGAGTGAGATTCTGTCTCTAAAAAAATATACAGTTCTGGAAAACCTAAAGCAAAATTTGTAACTTACACAGGTCAAAGGCAAATGTGAAATGTTGTGGGCAATGATAGTTCTCATGTTCATCAAAATGAAAAATAAAAGAAATAAGTTCACTGGTATAAATTCTTTAAGATAAACCCTAGATAAAATATTTTGAAGTTGAAGCTTCCCCCACTGGTGACAAAGATATAGCCAAGAAAAAAAATCTACATTGCTAAACACATAAGAAATCATTTGTCAAGGTCAGGGACTATACTAGAAAGTGAGGGGCCCAGGGGTCAGACAATGATTGGAGGGTAAAGGAGGAGCATAAAGTGGACCAGATAATTTGGACCTTCTGTCCTAAGGAATGCTGCAGCCACTGGGTCCACCACCTATGTCTGTTATGGTCCCACATCTCTACTACATGCAAGTGAAGAAACGGGGCTTTGACCAAGCCATCCAAAAAGCTTCCTCTCAGTTCTCCTATTGATCTAATGTCTCCCTAGGAGGACATTAGACTCTACCTTGATTCTACCACATCTGATCAAACTGTGGACTCGATGAACCTCAGAGCTCTATCCTCCCACCCTTTCTCTTCTGTCTCATACTCTTAGCCTGGGTGATCTCACCCATTCCTATAGCTTTAAATGCCTCACACATGTTGACAACTCCTAAATTTATATCTCCAGCCCCAGCTCCTCCCCTGAATGCTAGACCCATATATCTAGTTACTCCCCAAACAAGCCTACTTAGATATACAGTACGCATCTAAATCTATCCAATTTTTTTTTTTTTAGTAGAGATTGGATCTCACTATGTTGCCCATGCTGGTCTCTAACTCCTGGCCTCAAAGCCATCCTCCTGCCTTGGCCTCCCAAAGTGCTGAGATTACAGGCATCTTCATAAACAGCAACATCCCCCACCAGCTCCATTATTTTTCTTTTTAGCATTTATCACCACCAGACATAATTTGTTTAATGTTTGTTTCTTCCCCTTAGAATGCAAGCTTCATGAGCGCAGGTATTTCTGTTATAATGTTAGAACTCAAGGGGACTAAACTAAGGCTATATGGAAAGGGCAGGAGGCCAGGGGAGATATGTGGGATGAAGCCTGTGTGACAAGAGGGAGCCAATCATGACAGGATATGGATGAGGATGTTCAAGGCAGAGGAAAGGACAAAGCTGTAAGTTCAAAAGAAGCCTGTAGTGACACACAAAGAGGAATAGAAAGAAACCCATAGGGCTGGAGAACAGGCAAGAGGGAGTGTATTAAGAAGGGCCAGGCCAGGCTCAGTGGCTCACGCCTGTAATCCCGGCACTTTGGGAGACCGAGGCGGGTGGATCACTTGAGGCCAAGAGTTTGAGACTCGCCAACAGGGTGAAACCTCATCTCTACTAAAAAAACAAAAATACAAAAATTAGCCAGGTGTAGTGGCGTGCGCCTGTAGTCCTAGCTACTCAGGAGGCTGAGGCACGAAAATCACTTTAACCTGGGAGGTGGAGGCTGCAGTGAGTCAAGATCGCACCACTGCACTCCAGCCTGGGAGACAGAGTGAGACTCTGCCTCAAAAAAAAAAAAAAAAAAGAAAGAAAGGAGAAATGGAGGTGGATGAAGTTCCAGGGATTTAAGGGGAGGCACTATCACCTCCAGTGGCATGGAGGCGAGAGTCAACTTCACTATTTCAATACAAACAACAAAGAAGAGGTTACCTAGATCTCTTCTAGAAGGCCAAAACTTAGCATTTCATCCTTTTCCAGGGAGTTCTCTTGTTATGTTAACATTGGTTCAAATTAATTTTGAACAGCCTAAGACGAAATGGTGGCATTTAAAGCCAAGTTAGCTGTGATCTAAAGAAAAAGACTGGTTTCTATGGTGGTACAGAAACTGAGAAGACGTTACCACAAAGTTTACATGGTTTAGAAGCCCCTCTCTGTATTAGAGGTAGTCTGAGTCTGACCACAAAGACACCTAATCAATGACACCTTCTAACCCAAATCATTTAAGTGCTGCATTTTATGTGGAAAAATTCTAGCATTTCCAATAAAGACGCACTTTTTAAAAAGCATATATCAATAATCGATACCAGATCCTCACCTTTTAAGTAATAAACATTTTATTAAGGTCAGTACAAAGAGCTTTTAGATTATTTCTTATATTTGTGCCATTAAAATGCTGATCTCTGCCTAGCCACATGATGGCAGGTGTCAATCCACACTGTGGAAAATCCTGCATTATGGAAGGTGTGTGAGATGTATGAGACAGAATAAACTATACCCTCCTCAAAAGGTTCTGAAACATACTTTCCATTATTTTCTCAGGTGCTTTTTTGTTGCATTAAAACTATGCATTTTAGTTGGCTTTAGCAGAAATGTAAAAAAACAAACAAACAAAAACAACAAAACAAAACAAAAAAAATCCTCAATATTTAAAGTTAGAAGGAGACAAGAGGAAGTTCCATTTCTAAAACCCATGTTTCTTTGGGCTCTTTTCTGCAAATAGTCATTAAACTACCAAGATGACATATTCATCTTCCTAAATATGGTAAATCTTCCTCATGCTGAGATTACAGGTATGAGCAACTGCATCCAGTCGATATTTTTGTTTACTCACTGTTTCAACATACTGAAGACTTTGGTCAAACCTAACAAATATATATATAATACTCATGATTTATCAATAAAAAAATCTGAACTAGTGGTTTTATAATTAATTATATAGTCCCTTTACAATTTCCTGGTACACTAAAAATATTCTTCTCCCCAAATAAAGCACTAATTTTTTAAATACAAGTTCTTTGACACATCTTTGTACAAAATCTCTCACCATCTATACATACAGGTTGAGCATCCCAAATCTGAAAATCTAAAATCCGGAATGTCCCAAAATCCAAAACTTTTTGAGTACAGACATAATGTTCAAAGGAAATGCTCTCTGGAGCACTTCCAATATGAAATTTTCAAATTTGGGATGCTTAGCCAGTAAGTATAATGCAAATATTCCAAATTTTTTAAAATCTGAAATCTAAAACATTTTTGGTCCCAAGCATTTTGGATAAGGGATATTAAACCTATACTATCATTGTTTTAATAACATCATATGACTGAAGTGTTAACTTATGTGACTGAAGTGTTAACTTATCACTGCAATGTTTAGATTTGTGTGATCAGCGCTTATTTTGTATATAATCTGTGGAAATGCATTCCATTAGACTTGTATCTATAGTTTTTTTCATTACATTGCACATTCTTTATTTCAGACCCTTTCTGAAACAACAGGTAAAGCAATCAAAACCCACAGTATGATTTCACGAAAGCAGAATTTCTTCCCTGCCCCAAAAACAGAAACATGGCCAAAAGAAGAAATGAAATGAAGATCTTTGAAACACTAAGAAATGGGTGGTCGGATCTTCCTTCATCTCCATGGCTTATAAGATACTCTAACACATTCTTGAGCCATTTCCTCTCCTTGGTCGCTGTCCTTGACTCTGTCATCATATTGGATGATGTCAAGATCCTGTCCATAAAACATCCAAATCTCTGAGCTCAGCTTTCTGGATTCCTAAGGCCTGTCTCCCAGCTCAGCTACATCCTAATCTCATCACTATCCAGACCAGCTCCAAAACCAAGCTCAGCACATTTCACAACTTCCCTGTCTTCCAACTCCCCTCTGTTCCCAGTGAACCTTCAACATCACTAAGTAGTTATGCTTGCCATCTCTGCTTTCTAAGGCTATCAATAACCTCCTGCCTCGATTATTGCTACACTTAACCAATACCCATTTTCATATTATACAAATCCATGTCTCCTTAATCCAGCACCATTGTCTTCTGAGCCAACCATCAACTTGAATCTGATCCCCCAACTGTGCTTACTGTTTACAGTTCAGTATTGGGTATTCCTAGAAAAATCCACAAAAACATAGTAACTAGTCTATCCTTAACAGACTTATGATGGCTAACTTCAATTTCTCTTCATTGCTGACCATAGTCCCCTTACTTCTCTTTTGAATAACTTACCCCCTTGGCTGTTCTAAACCATTTCTACAAACTCCTGGGCACATTAAATAACCACTCCTTCATAACACTATTCTCCACTTGTCCAATCAACCATTTTACCATTTCACATTTCTACTACGTTTTTATCAACCCTCTTTCTTTTCTTCCACCTTAAAGGAAGAGCTTTTCCTCTGATGCCTACAAAGTCTCTTCAGTGCTATGAGAACATTCCTTTGGATCTCTTTCCTCCCAAAAACTACAACACATTTTCTTCTATTCTTTAAACCGTCATATTTTCTAGAATTATAACTATGGTACTTAGTTTATTGCTTTCCTGAACTATTTACACAAGATCTGAATCACAGCCTCGCCAACCCAGAACTATTTCTCTTGGCTCCATTACTCTTCTAATTCTTAATTTTCACATCTCTCTAACCTCTCTTTCCCATTTCTGTCATCAGAGGCTCTTGTTGAACACAAGTGCACATACTACCCAATTCTCCCTGTGGAAGTTAGACTTCTTTGATACAGTTCACATAGGTAGAGTAAGGATCACATATAAAGCACGTAAAACAGCATACTATTTAGGCTTCAAAACTCAGATCAAAGTCACCTTCACAGAAAACCTTTCTTTGCCCCACCAGAAAACGTCAGTCTCCCATAAAAGTATACACATTTCTAGTAGTACAGGTCACACTGCATGGCTGTCTCTCTGGCACTGGGACTAGACCCATGTAGGCTAATGTTTCCTAAATGAATGTGGTCATCCCACCACCAGCCAGAACATTTCTTCCCCACCTCATCTCTTTCTCACATGGCTACCAAAGTAATATCACCTGAATCGTACTTTAATTCTCTCATTCTTCTCTCCAAAAACTTCTGGGAATTCTCCCATTGCCTATAACAAACACAAAAACTTCTAGGTGTAGCCCTGTAACCCTGCATATGACCACAACTATTAATTAACCTTCTACTAATCCCTTCTAAGAACTATCTGCCTTATTCCACAACTTATACAGAACTGTCTCCCACTTTGGGGCCTCTGTCCAAGTTCATTTCTACAACTGCCACGACCTACTTGTGTGATCCTTCCCCAGCTCAGGAAATGTACCCTCTGAGTCAAGGGCACCTTAATAACACCCACCTTCCTCAAATGGCTTTCTCTTATCAGTTCAGAAAAATAATACCATACTGTGTCACAGTCCCAGAGGATTCAGTCCACACCTGAGTATTATATCAACCAGGCATACCTCAGAGATATTGTGGGTTCAGTTCCAAGTTACTGCAATAAAGTGAATATCACATTAAATATAAATAAAATATATAAAGTACATAAGTTCAATATATGAATATGTGTAAATATAAATAAAGCAAGTCACATGAATTTTTGATGCCAGTGCAAATAAGTTATATTTATGTAATATTGTAGTCTACTGAGTGTGCAATAGTGTTTTGTCTAAAAAAATGGTGTACATACCTTAATTTAAAAGTATTTCCTGCCTGAAAAATGCTAACAATCGTCTGAGCCTTCAGCAAGTCATAATCTTTTTGATGGTGGAGGCTCCTGTCTTGATGCTGATGACTGTTAACTGATCAGGGTGGTGGTTGCTGAAGGCCGGAGTGGCTGTGGTAATTTCTTAAGACAACAATGAAGTCTGTAGCATTGATTGAATCTTCCTTTCACAGAAAATTTCTCTGTAGCATGAATTACAGTTTGATAGCATTTTACCCATGGTAGAACTTCTTTCAAAATTGAAGTCTATCTTGTCAACCCTGCTACTGCATTCTCAACTAAGTTTATGTAGTCTTCTAAATCCTTTGTTGTTATTTCAACAATATTCACAGTATCTTCACCAAGAGTAGATCTGATCTCAAGAAACCATGTATTTTGCTTATCCATAGGAAGCAATTCCTTATCTATTTAAGTCTCATCATGAGATTGCAGCAATTCAGTCACATCTTCAGGCTCCACTTCTAATTCTAGTTCTCTTAAATCTTCCATCACATCTATAGTTATTTACTCCACTGAGTCTTGAACCTCTCCAAGTCATCCATGAGGGCTGGAATCAACTTCTTCCAAACTTCAGTTGATATTTTAACCTCTTTGTGAGCAGGAATCACTAGAATCAACTTCTAGTGATAAATCCTTTCCAGAAAGTTTTCAATTGACTTTGATGAGCTCCATCAGAGGAATCAAAATCTATGGCAGCTATAGCCTTGAAAAAATGTATTTCTTAAATCATAAGACTTGAAAGTCAAAATTACTCCTTGATCCATGGGCTGCAGAATGAATGTTGTGTTAACAGACATGAAAACACTAATTTCCTTGCACATCTCCATCATAGCTCTTGGGTGACCAGGTATATTGTCAATGAGCAGTAATATTTTTAATGCTATCTTTTTTTTTTTTTCCTGAACATTAGGTCTCAACAGTGGACTTAAAATACTCAGTAAACCATGCTGTAAACTGATGTGCTCTCATCCAGGCTCCATGTTCTATAACTAGAGCCCAGACAGGGTAGATTTAGCATAATTCTTAAGGGCCCTAGGATTTCTGGAATGGTAAATGAGCACTGGCTTCAACTTAAAATCACCAGCTACATTAGTACCTAACATGAGAGTCAGCCCATCCTTTGAAGCCAGACACTGACTACTTTTCTTTTATTGCTGTGAAAGTCCTAGATGGCAACTTCTTCCAAGGGAAGGCTGTTTTGTCTACATTGAAATTCTGTTGTTTAGTATAGCCACCTTCATCTACGATCTCAGCCAGATCTTTTGGATAACTTGCTGCAGCTTCTATATCAGCACTTGGCTGCTTCATCTTGCATTTTTATGTTATAGTGATGGCTTCTTTCCTTAAACCTTATGAACCAACCACTACTAGCTCCAAACTCTTCTTCTGCAGCTTTCCTCACCTCTTTCAGCATTCATAGAATTGAAAAGAGTTGGGCTGGATGCAGTGGCTCACGCCTGTAATCCCAGCATTTTGGGAGGCCAAGGCAGGCTGATCACGAGGTCAGGAGTTCAAGACCAGCCTGACCAACATGGTGAAATCCCATCTCTACTAAAAATACAATAATTAGCCAGGTGGGTGGGGTGCACCTACAATCCCAGCTACTCAGGAGGCTGAGGCAGGAGAATCGCTTGAACCCAGGAGGCAGAGGTTGCAGTGAGCAAAGATCGCGCCACTGCACTCCAGCCTGGACGACAGAGTGAGACTCTGTCTGAAAAAAAAAAAAAAAAAAAGAATTAAAAAGAGTTAGGGACTTGTTCTCAATGGGCTTGGCTTAAGGAAATGTGGCTAGTTTGATCTTCTATCCAGACCACTAAAATTTTCTCCATATTAGTAATAGTGCTGTTTTGTTTTCTTATCATTTGTGGGTTTAATAGACTAGTACTTTTAATTTCCTCCAAGAACTTTCCTTTGCACTCACCACTTTGCTAACTATTTGTTTCAAGAGGCCTAGCTTTAAGCCTGCATCAGGTTTTGACATGCCTTCTTCACTAAACTTAAATCAGTTCTACCTTTTGGCTTAAAAAAGTGAGAGACACATGACACTTCCTTTCACTTGAACACTTAGAGGCCACTGTAAGGTTTTTAGTTGGCCTAATTTCAATATATTCATGTTTCAGGCAATAGAGAGATCTGAGGACAGGAAGAGAGATGGGTGAATGGCTGGCTGGTACAGCAGTCAGAACACACTCACCATTTATTATGTTCACAGTCTTATTTGGGTAGGGTCTGTGGAGTCCCAAAAAAGTCCTAATAGTAACCCTAACATTCACGCATCACAGGTCACCACAACAGATATAACACTAATGAAAAAATTTGAAACATTGAGAGAATTACCAAAACGTGACACAGAGACAGAAAGTACACACATGCTGTTAGAAAAATGGTGCCAACAGACTTGCTCAATGCAGGTTACCAAAACCCTTAATTTGAAAACAAAAACAAAACAAACGAAAAACAAAAACCACACATTATCTGCAAAATGTGGTATAGTAAAGCACAAAGAAATGAAGTATGGCTGTATATGTGTATATAATCCCCCAAGTGGACAGTGAGGTCAGTTAAATCAGAGATAATGTCTTAGATAAGTCTGTAACCCTCACTGTAACTGACTATCAGCATCGTTATCACCATCAAAATGTATTTACTATGTGCCAGGTGCTGCTACAGATGCTTTCCAACAATCCTGTGGGATATATACTACTATTTTTCCCATATTACAGATGAGGACATTGCATCATAAACAGAGAACATCACAGATATTTGAAAACATTGGGCATAAAATCATATTTTTGAATGGATAAGTGTTTCACCAATAACTATGCTCTAATACCTTTGCATATATTCATCCATCAATCTAGAATGTTTTCCCTGTCCTTCCCAGCCTAGCAAAATTCTCCCAACCTTCAGGGTTCAACTCAAGCGTTACCTTTTAACACTACCCTGGCAAGTTCCTCCTTCCATGAATTGTCTCAAACATTTGAAACATGTTTGTATTATAACACTGAGGTTGTTATAACCTCTAAATGTTTGCTGAATTAGAATGGGTTTCTTAATGGCAGTCTGATCAATATTTTTAATCCTTAGAACAGTAAATGGCAAGCAAAATAAAGCTAACCTACATATGCCAAGCATATAATTAGAAAAAAATGGTATATCTTATCAGCAATATATGATAATTATAGTCACAAATCTTTTCAAAAATACATGTAAAAATTAGTAGACGTGTCAAATCATAAGGCCTTGTATAAAGTTCTCTAGTTCAGGAAGTCCATTCTTTCTCTTTAATATGTTGAAACAAAGCAATATTCTTAAGAAATACAGAACAGACTTACCAGTCTTCGCCTTTCTTCTTCTACTGCAATGAGTAGTCTTGCAAATTCTTTTAGTGACTGAGCTGTTTGGAAAGATAAAAAAATGCAAAGAATTAATATTTTCATAGCTAATATCTAATTACTCAAGAAGAAACATTACAAGAAAGCTGGTTATTAATTTGTATATAGTATATTCTGTATACTATTAATTTGAATATACTATATTCTGTGATTTTATGTTTGTATAACCATAAAACAATATACAATAGGATCCTAATCACTAACAGCTATGGATCAGAGAGGTATGTACAAATTAAAGCTTAGCAAGTACCAACAATATCTTTTCTTCAAAGACATTGGAAGAAATATAGCTTATATATTTAATATGTAAAATGTACACATATATTGATAAACATAGCATTGAAATCATTTGTAAGCAGTGACCTACAAATAACCAAACATTTTTAAGTCTGTAAGGAGCAACAAATCTACTATTTCGTGTACTTAGTAGCAGCCAGTAATGCAAAATTTTCCACTGACTTCTAGAAGCTGAAGGGTCACAGATAATTGAAAACAGCTTCCATATACTGAAGGGATCAACTTTACTTCTACATCCAAGGTATGTTAGATCTTTGCTGTTCAATTCAGCGTTAACATCAGCATCTTGGGAGTTTGTTAGAAATGCAGACTCTCAGGCCCCACCCCAGAATCTGCATTTTAACAAGATCCTCTGGTAATCTGTTTCTGTATTAAAGTTGAGAGGCCTGCTTTAGAAAACTATCTGTACCTATATTGCTTTACTTTTAGTAGGAATTGAACAAGAAGAACAATTTAAATTGAAATGGGAAAGATCAAGTACTCAGAAACATTGTGGGAGCAAATAAAAACTAAGCAAATAAATTAAAGGGATGTTATAGTAGCATATTCTTTAAAAATGCATAGGTCCAAATGGCAATTATGGAAGAGTAATTCACCCATATCAATTTTTCAAACCTAATGCTTAAAATGAATAATTAACCAAAGTTAGAATGTTTGGGTCACAAAAATGGTAACACAAATAAACCTCTTCTATGTCTTTTTTTTTTTTTTTTTTTTTTTTTTTTTTTTTTTTTGAGACAGGGTCTAGCTCTGTTGTTCGGATTGGAGAGCAGTGGTGAAATCACTGCAGCCTCGATCTCCCAGGCTCAAGCAATCTTCCCACCTCAGCCTCCCAAGTACCTAAGACTACAGGCGTGTACCACACCTGGCTAATTTTGTTTATTTATTTACTTATTTATTTTGTAGAGACAGGGTCTCACTATGTTGCCCAGATGGTCTCAAACTCTTGGACTCAAGTGATCCTCCTGCCTCAGCCTCCCAAAGTGCTGGGATTACAGGCATGAGCCATTGCACCGGGCCATACAGCCTTATTTGTTAGATTCCTACTCACTTCCTTTCCCCATCTTAATACCGGAAACATCCTGTGAGACCAGAAGTTTAGTAATTCTGGCATAAAGCCAACAACAAAGACAAGTAAGTGAGAAAAACAAATCAAAAGAACTCATCAAAAGAACTCATTAAGGAAGATAAAAAATATTTTCCATTTAAGAATTAAAAATTCCAACTTAAAATATTTTCTCTTTTCAGAATTACTAGGCTTATACTAGCCAAACTGGTGTGAAATATTAAACCCTATGATTATTTCATATTGGATTTTATTCAGAGTTACCAAAACAGAAATCAATGGATTACCTGGGAGACTCAGGATAATCTAATAAACACATTAATGGTCTTTTCTTTAAAGTTTGGATAAAAGAGATCTCTTCAGAAATATTGGTATTAATGTTATAATACATTCCCATTTTGACAACAGTTAGTTGAACAAAAAATTATTATATAAATAGAAAGAATATTTTAACTGGAGTGTATAACAGCATATTATATTTTTGTGCTTTCTTTTGGTTAAAGTATTCCATCATTCTGGTAGGTATCTACTGCCACTGAAGCTGTTGGTTGGTGAGTTTGAAGAAGTCAACAAAACTCTGGATGCTGGAAGGCAATGATAACAGGTCTACAGAGAAAGAAGTCAAGAGGTAGGTCAGTTTGGGTTGCCTGAGTGTAACAATAAGTATGTTTTTTAAAAAAAGAAAATTCTGGCTGGGCGCGGTGGCTCACGCCTGTAATCCCAGCACTTTGGGAGGCTGAGGAGTGCAGGTCACGAGGTCAGGAGATGGAGACCATCCTGGCTAACACGATGAAACCCCACCTCTACTAAAAATACAAAAAAAATTAGCAGGGCGTGGTGGCGGGCACCTGTAGTCCCAGCTACTCAGGAGGCTGAGGCAGGAGAACGGCGTGAACCCGGAAGGCAGAGCTTGCAGTAAGCCGAGATCGTGCCACTGCACTCCAGCCTAGGTGACAGAGAGAGACTCGGTCTCAAAAAAAAAAAAAAAAAAGAAAATTCCAAGTCAATTGTTAATTCCTGGGAAAACAACATTATACAAATAACACAATCACAATAAACTAAGTAGCTGACTTGTAACTAATATGTACAAAGTCACTACAATATAACATGAAAAACTTATTTTGCCAAAGTTGTTTTAACTATCGAGAGAACAGGAGAAAGGCATGTGTAAAACAGTATGAAGTAAAGACATGTATGAAAACAGTATGAAGCCAAATGATAAATATCTAAAACTGAAAAACAAATTCTAAAAATAGCAGGACAATCACGGTCTTGAAAAAATTACAAGAAATGACTAAAAGTTCAACATAGTCTTTCTGAGAAATTAAAGTAAGTAGTGGGGACTGGCAAGATAGGAGATTGCTAGTTTTCATTAATCCTAACAAAATCTATAACTTTTTCAACATATAATGAAGAATAAAACATGCTACAAATGCTTTATTTTCATACTAGTCTAAATGCTAGGAGGACATAGATCCTTTATTTATTAAATTTCCCAAAGGGCTAAATAAATACCTAGTACATAGAAGCCTGTCAACAGCTATTTTGGAATAAATGAAAATATAACAATATTAGATTGGCAGGAGCACACTAGAACTTCCCATTTGGTCAAGCCAGGAAATGATCACTGGCTCATACAGCCTCAGGGTGTATTTCACTGGCTCCTGGGTATTGCCTCTGAGAACAGCTGAAGTCCACAGGCTTCCCCTAAGGTACCTCCTACCTCAAGAGCAAATCGTGAAGTTGTCTTAAATCAGATTTTGGTTACAAGTAAGAAAACAAGCTCTCATTTTGCTATTCTACTTTTTTGTTTAAAAATTTATGATACTGTTTTCTATTTTACTTGAATGGTTTTCTGGTCTGTTTCCCATATGAACACTATTTATAGATTTAGTAAGATAATAGTTGATTATAATGGCAATGTCTGAGAAGAAAAATTTTAACATGCAAAAGCAATTGCATGTCTGGTTCTCCACAACAAAAACTCCTCTCCCTCCAGGAGTTTTCTGAGACTGGCCCCAATCTGACAACAAATTTTCTTCCCTCTTTTTTTTTTTGTTGATTTTTCAGGGAAAGGACTTCAAAAAATTACGACTGGGTGTCTTTAAATTTTGTAGTCTCAGTTCCAGAAAAGGACATATTTCTTGGTACAATGAAGACACTCATGTTTGTCATTTGTTCTATTAAAAAAAAAAGTTGAGGACATTAAATATTCATTTTATGAGTTAGTAACAGTGGCCTAACTTTTTAAGCCCATATCTGAAATTTTCCTCTAAATCCTTTCATTTATAATAATATCAAAGTATTGTGTTAATAGTTTTCTAGGCTTAACATAACACAGATCTTTCTGTGCTTTCTTAAACAGGAATTTACAATACCATAGAGCAGGTACAAGAATGTAAGGTATTATCATGTAAATTGCATTTTAAGAGAACAGGCTGATGGGGATCTCCAGTCACTTCCCTGCCTGGCCCATCCACAAAGTCTAACAGAAACCTCTGACACAAGCCAGGCAGATCCAAACTGCCTAGTGTGCCCCAGCAGCTCCCTAGACATGAGAGGCCAGGGTTAGAACTTCTGGTACACAGGACCCAAAAATGCCCTAAGAGACCATGAAAACTGTGGAGTCTATTCTACACCAGACTTTGGACAAAAAGCATACACAAAATAACTACCCCCAGCACCCATCACTGTGCTTTATACAGAATAGTTATTGAGTTTGTGTGAATGTTTGAGCCACTTATTCTCAGACTTTCCTTAAGCAAAATCTGGAAGTTACATGCACATTTCTAATACTCAATTATCAGCAATAATTTGTAATACCTCGTATTTTATTTATCAATATTATTATTTACATGAATAACAACTACTTTATTATCTGGTTTTGGGGATCCAGACTAACATGTAACACAACAGCTGGTCCTAAAATTACAGATTTTAACCATAACAATATTTTTTATGACAAGAACTTGGTTTAGTCAGAGATATATTCCAAAACCAATACTTAATACACAGTAGACTGAAAATAGATGACCATTGAATGCATTTGGGAGTTTAACAATACATTTCCACAATCTATTTGCTCTACAAGGAGAAACATACCAACTCTTATTCTAGGATTCATGAAATATTATGAAAAGATAGGCCGGACACTTTGGGAAATTATGTTAGCTATCTAAATTCCTGCCACCTGCATGAAACTTTCCTGACTATATTCAGTAGTAATCTCTCTCCCTTCCTGTCCAACTGGAGCATGAGATTACTAAAGAACAATCAAAATATAGTTTCATATATAAATTTTAACTTTCTAACAAATTATTGAGTTTAAGAACATTACCATTGGTTTCCTTTTATCTCTACAACATAATATTGGAAAAACACTTTCAGAACAAAAAAAAAAACTATTACTGAAGTCTATTTATGACAGGTGCTGAGAGTATAAACGTTCACAAACATAATAGTTGAATCATACCTAGACAGTGAGGAAGTATGATGACAGCTTCTATATTTGCCAATATCATAAATTCTGAAACATTCCTAAACTGTCTAAAATACCTATTTTGTAGATTAATCTTTTTAGCACGCTTAAATTCACACTACTATTTTTGCCTGGAAGACCTGTTTAATGTCTAAAAGTAGAATGAGAGAAAATGTTAAAAATTGCTGTGTTCATTGTTGACATAACTCCACTATCTTAAATACTAGGTAATATACCATCAAATGTTTCAACAATTGATCAGTTTGGGCTTTACATATTTTAAAACTACGATGAGAATTGGGAAAGCATGTCTCTCTTGCATCCAATTAACATTTATATCATAATCAGACAATGCTGTGTTAAAAATTTCTTCCAGAAGTCTTTCCTTAAACTTAAATAACGTAAAACACACACCCCAAAAAAAGTACAGATCATAAATTCAGTGACATATACAATAATGTCAACAGCATGCTATATCACTTTATTAGACTGCCCAAATCCCTTATGACCTTCTGTAAGGGAGATGGCTGCACTTTAGTCAGGAATAGGCCAAGGCGGCCTTCCAGTGCAGCATGACTCAGCAGATTTGGAGCACAGGCACACAACTCTGTACGTTATGTAACCATGCAAGACGCATTAGGTGATCACTCACGTGAGCACATGCTTGGTTTGGAGCCACTACTGTCTGTAAAAGGTATAATTACCCTGCTAATGCTCACGCCAAGACTCATGCCCATGGCTTGACTGCACCCATGGCTTGCTTGCACCCACAGCTCACTCATGCCCAGAGAGAGAGTAAAGCCATATCAAAACTGTCTACGATCTTGCAAGCATTTTTTCCAGCTACCTGCCACTCATCCACCCACTCCCCTCGGTCCTCAGCTTAGGCTGGAACCTGACACTTGGCATAACACCCTCAGATATGCTACAATGGAGAACTGCGTCAGCAGTAAGAATTTAGATGTTGTTATATCTCTAGGAAAACTTAAAAATCTATAGAAGTCTATAAAAGCCAGATTGAACCAATGCAATTACATTTTATAAGTCCAGATGATGCCCCAACAATAACCTTACTTTTCCATTTGGATGACAGTGTAGGCTCTGTAAAGCCCTTTCTTAGTATCCTTCTTAACTGACATTTCATACAGAGTAGGAAACAAGTAGTAAAACATTACCACTTAAATCGGATATAAGCCAGAGCAGATGACTTGGTCATATGCTTCTAGACCTGGCCACACCAAGAAAAATAAGAGCAGGATAAACATACATAGCCAAGTGATACCCAGCATTATACTACAAAAGCATGCAATAATCTAAGGACCATCACATCAGTAGTTTATGCTTGGAACTTCCACTGAGAGAGTCTTAATTTTTTGAACACTTAAAAAATCAAAGGTAGCATACTGACTGCTGTATCCAATGGTAAATTTTAAGAACAATTTAATCCATAACCAAAATAAGAAGCACAATCAGTTTGTGGTATACCTAAACAATAAATACCATGTCAGCAAAACAGGGTGAGTTTTATTAAAAGTGACACCAACTCTCCCACCAGATACTTGGTGTCTTTGGTAGCAATTAATACCCTCACTGATAGGCCATCCACTCTGCAATATTGGTTTTATCTGCAACCACAAATTCTAGTTATTATTTTCTAGGAGCCACAACATCAAATAAGATTTTTCCACTCCATTTCTGGCTTCAAGCTCCACGGATGCTCACTTGCAAAGTCAATAAATTGCTTCCTATTAAATAAATCAACAGAAAAAAAAGTCACAGCCCTACTGACGAATACTGGCATGTCACTGTAAATACGACCTAGTACTTGGAGGCATACATCCTTCTGATACTTCACAGCCCCTTGTAATCTAAAGGCTCACATGAAAAACACATGGAAATTTAGTTATCATTGAGGTATCTAAGTCTGGTTCTCCACAATGTCCTCCTTGTGGTCAGATTTTGCTTTTTAATTGCCAAACACAAATCAAAAACAGAGTCATCTTGAGAACACGCTCTGAAATCTTGCATTTAAATTATTTAATTATATCCTATCGCCAAGGAATCCCAATGAAGCCATGCAATCAGATGAGTTAAGTTTAGGCAAATATGAGACATACCAAGTTGGAGGAGCTTACTAGACATTATTTGAGTAATTACAAAGTTGTTTAATATCATAGCATAGTTCCTAATTAAGTATTAGGAAATAAGAAATGCACAGTCCACAAAAGAAAATGATAATAAAACTAGACTTTTATCAAGTTGAGAAGATACTCTGCATAGGGTTAGGGGCATCTCTGCCTCAGCACTTATCTATCTTGTCTATATTACAAGCACCTATGATGAATTTGGTCCTTCCAGCAATCAAACACCAATCCAGACTCTTCACAAGGCACATGTAAAGAATTCCTACTTTGGAATCCATTGGCTTACCATTGAGGGATTTCTTTATGCTTTCCCTTGTTCCTGTTTATCCTTTAACCATACTACCCAGACTCTTGGCAGGGGTTATGACCCATAGTCTAGCCTCCTTTTAAATTCTCACTCAGCCCCTGTTCCCAGTGCCTCCCTCCACGCCTGGGTTCTTGATATTGCACAGGTACCCAGGCACCAATCTGTGCTATACTTTAATCTTGTCTATCAATGTGGATCCCAACATTGCCTGCCAAACCACATTTGGGCTGAGATTCAGAACTTGTGACCAAGTCTTTAATCTTTCGCTCTCTTCTGGTCTCACTGAATACTCTCATTTCTCTTATCCTCACCAGCATAACAACTTATGTTAGTCTGTTTTCACACTGCTATAAAGAACTACATGAGACTGGGTAATTTATAAACAAAAGAGGTTTAACTGATTCACACTCCTACATGGCTGGGGAGGACTCAGGAAACTTACAATCGTGGCGAAAGATAAATGGGAAGTAGGCATGTCTTACATGGTGGCAGGAGATAGAGTGCACATAGGGGAAACTGCCACTTTTTTTTTTTTTTGAGACGGAGTCTCACTCTGTTCCCCAGGCTGGAGTACAGTGGTGCGATCTCGGCTCACTGCAAGCTCTGCCTCCCAGGTTCATGCCATTCTCTTGCCTCAGCCTCCTGAGTAGCTGGGACTACAGGCGCCCACCACCATGCCCGCCTAATTTTTTTGTATTTTTAGTAGAGACAGGGTTTCACGGTGTTAGTCAGGATGGTCTCGATCTCCTGACCTCGTGATCCACCCGCCTCGGCCTCCCAAAATGCTGGGATTACGGGTGTGAGCCACCACACCCAGCGAAACTGCCACTTTTAAACCAACAGACTTCATGAGAACTCCCTCACCAACACAAGAACAGCATGAGGAAAACTGCCCCCATGATCCAATCACCTTTCTTGACACAGGGGAATTATAATTCCAGATGAGATTTGGGTGAGGACACAGAGCCAAACCATATCACAGCTAGACTCAAAACAAAGAAACCTTCTGTAAGCCAGGGACTTGCCCCATAAGAGAAAGTGGCTGCTACTACTGCTCCAGATTGTTAGCATTAACTATGAAAATTAGTCATAATTATGATGACTCCAGGGTGAAAGTCACAGTAGATTACGGAAATAATTCTAAACTATATATCTAATAGTTTTTCCTTAGGATACTCTCCCAGAACTAGCTTAAAACAACTTAGTAATACCTACTCTGCAGCTGCCAAACTATAAGGTAGTTTGAGAGTTCAGGTATATATACTCATATATGTATACTAGGCTTATATATATATGGTAAGTGTATATATTTCACAAAAGGCCAAATTTTGGCAAATAGATACATGCAAATGCAAAAAGGACAACATTTCATTTTCACACAATTTCAAAACTTAATTTCTGCTGCCTTTTCCCTAGACTTCTTCCCACTATCTTATTACTTCAAATGAATTTTATCTGAATTCTTCAGAAAACTTTACTGAGATTTTTGTCAATGCAATAAGTGTTGTGCCTAATGAAGTCATCAAGTCACATATTTTGTTTTCTTTGCAAGCACATTTAGTGTGCTCATGAAAATGAGGACCTGTGCAATTCTGATGTTCCCTTGTTTTGTTTTGTTTTAATGTTTATTCTGTTTCCCAAAGTCAAAACCACCCCCAATTCAGAAACCATTTTCCCAAATTTGAGTATTCTCACATTTGGGAGCTCCTCTACCAAGAGGCAGTGACATTACATATACTATCTCATTTAATGTCCACATCATAATATGAGGTGCTGAAGTAGGTGTTATCCTGATTTCACAGAGGGAAAAAAGGACAATCCATCAGCTAGAACTTGCCCTACAATCCCAGAGCTAGTAGGTAGAGAAGCAGGTATTTGATTTTGATTGTTTGATTCCAAAGTCTGTTCTCTCCCAACAAACCATTATTGTCAAAGGGAAAAAATTAAAAAGTAGTGCCAGCCTGTATCCTGCTACATTACAGGAGGAAAAGAACAGGCTTATCATCTTTAAAGGCAAACAGTTCCAGAGCTGTTTATGCTCAAAGAGTAATCGAGTGCCAAGTATCCTGACTGAAGGGGAATAATCAGTAATTTGCTGCTGACAAGCAACCACTTACACCTCGCACTGCCCCCATGTTTCCTGCCATCAGGAACTGACCTCCCAGCACTCCTTCACATTCCACAGGCTGAAGCATCCCATTCATGCTCTTCTGCACCCAAGCTCCTGCCACCACCCACCCTAGTGAAGCCTCAACATCCACTTCCTTGCCCAGTGCTCTTTTCCACAACCTCTTAACCTCCAGTGACCTCTTCTCTGTAATTCACACACCCACAAGGACACTAAAAGTTCAAGCTATCTAACCCCTTTGCTTTTGCTTTTTGGCAATCCTTTTATTCAACTCTAGTTCACTCCTAATCTTATTTCCCACAGTGGTTATCTAAAAAGAATTCTCGTCTTTCTACCAAGAACCCAGCCCCAGGCTTCCCCTCACTCTTACCAGATGGCCCGGCCTCCTGATTCTGTGAGAGAAGTTCAAGACTCTCTGATCAGCACTGTCTTTATTCATTCTCTTCAACTTGTCTCCTGTCTCAGAAAAGGGGCCCTCGTCCTCTCAAAAGCTAACAACTCCACAGTAAGCCTCTAATCTCATTTCTCTCTCTTCTCCCTCTCTCTCTTTCCCTCTCTGTTATTTTCATCATCACTCCTCCCTCTTCACAATGCTGTTTTCTCCTTCCTCTTGGTCTGCAAACTAGCTCCAAGCAAGGGCCCTACTATCCTAATGAGGTCCAAGGAACAGAAAAACATGGGCTGTGGAAAGGAGGAGGAGATTTACCTGATACGGTGCTAGCACTGTGCAAAGCTCTTCAATGCTCACAACATCCCATCAGAAAGTCACATGTAAAATCCTCAAATCTACTGCCATTCTCTGCATTTTTCAGATAGGAAAACTGAAGTATACAGATTAAATAACATGCAAGGTCATAGAACTAATGACTTGTAGCACTAAATTTTGAATCCAAATTAGCTGATCTGAAATTTATACACTTTTTCACTACTGTAGGTATAACCCCACAGCACCATCCATTCATCCTAAATTTAACACATCAAATTACCTACAGGAAATTTAATACTAAGGATTTTTTTTTTTTGAATCTCAAGTTTAACACATGTCAAAACTAAGTTCATAATTCTCTTCCATCCCAGATGCCCTGGCACATAAGAATACATAAATGTGCTGGTAACACCATTCTCCTAGTAGCATGAGTGAGGAATAATCTTCAGTCCTTCCTTCCATATATCCAATCACCAAATGCTGCTGATTCCTCTCCTCTACCCTTCTTACATACCCATATAAGGATCTTACTTCATCTCTGCTGTCATATTACATTAGTTTCCCAGCTTCTGTGGCTCTAACTCATTTTATGTAGGGACACTAGAATAAAACTCCTAGAGGGCACCTTTGATCATGTCATTATCCAATTCAAAATCCTTAAATGGATTTTTAAAAGGGTCCAAACTCCAAACTGCAAATAATTTGAGGCCCCCATGATGTGGCCATAAGGTACGTGCCTATGTAACTTAGTCCAAGATGCTACTATTTCTAATCTCAAACTTTGCACTTAGAAACTACTATACATTCCTGTAGTTTTCCCATTTCTGTGTTTTTCTTTTACCTATATTTTCTGTCTGCATCATACCTAACCATTAGGACCCAGTTCAAATAACCTCCTCTATTTAGGCATCTTCTGATGTCCCCAGCTGGAAATCCCTTCTCTGGCTCTGATACTCTCACAGCATTTTGTCCTTACTGTACCTAAAGCACTGGGCACATTCTCCTTAGCATTATACTGATTAGATCATAAGTTATTTTTTGACCCCCCTTCTATTTTGTAAGTATAACAAGAATACAAGATGATTTGATTCATGTTTGCATGAACCAGGAGGTTCTTTGCACTCAGAAGACACTCATTATTGGTAGAGAAGTTTAGGGAATCCAAAGTCCACATCAGCATGAACTAAGTAAGTCACACCTTGTATATCATTTTGATTTGAAAGCTGTTTTCTTTTTCATCCCTGGGAAATTTGCACAGCATTGGCACTGGCTCATGAAAATCATCTCTTATTCTAAAGACAGACACTTAAAACAAAATTTATTATCAGGCTGTGAAGGACAAAGTGGCAAGAAATGACCAGGTTTCCCTACAAACAAGTGGCCCTTACAGCTTTCGTGGCTGTACTGGCATGACACTGGGAATCAGGGATCTGGCCATTCAAAAGGCACACTGCAGGAATAGACTAAAACAGTACCACCCTCCCACTGTGCCTTCTTCTGCATATACCACAAGTCTACTGTTGATTTTTTGTTTTGTTTTGTTTTGAGACAGAGTCTCACTCTGTTGCCCAGGCTAGAGTGCAGTGGTGTGATCTCAGCTCACTGCAGCCTCCGCCTTCTGGGCTAAGGTGATCCTCCCACCTCAGCCTCTCAAGTAGCTGGGACTACAGGTGCACACCAACATGCCCAAATAATTTTTGTATTTTTAGTAGAGATGGAGTTTCCCCATATTCCCCAGGCTGGTCTCGAACTCCTGGGCTCAAGCAATCCACCCGCCTCAGCCTCCCAAAGGGCTGGGATTACAGGCGTGAGCCACCATGACCAGCCAAGACTAGTGTTCAAAGCAGTGATTTTCCACAGGCTGCATGAGACACCAAGGATCTCCATAAAATTAAAGGATCTTACGGTCATCACCCTGGGGAGTTTGCCTTAGTTCAGGCCTATGGTAGAGCCCAGAAATCAAATTTCTAAGGCTCCCCACAGTTGATTGTGATGCTAGGCAGTCTGGCAGCTCCTGATTTTGGGAAATAAAATGCATGCTTTGTGTGAGGAATTAAAGATTTAAACTATTTAAGTAGGAAAGTGTATATTTCAATTAGATCTGTAAGGATCATCTTTACTTCCTTACTTGAAGTTCATGTGTATTTCAATGGCAGAAATAGTACCCTCAGCACTGAGATGTTATTTCCGAGTCCCAAAAATCAAGCATGACACCAAAGCTCTTCTCTCCACTGCCCCCTGAATCACGACTCACCAACTATCCTGAATTCTATCCTTGACAAAGAAATTACTCCAAATTCACCTCTTTTTTTTTAAGCCTCCTATTCCTAGATAACTATCCAAGGCAAACATTTCTTTTACGTCTTAGGCCTGTGATTCAACTCTATTCTTGTTTTCAAATTTCTCTCTCTATATACTCTGCTTCCTTTTCATCCCCAAATGTCTTCTTCCTTGCTCATATGTTTGTCCTTACTTTTTTGCCAATTAGTTCCATTAATTTCTGATTGTCTATATTCTGCCTCCTAACTCACTTCTAACAGATACAATTTCCAAGGCTATTGCCTTTCTGGTCCAAACATTTTATGTCAAAATTGAAATTATATTTTTATTATTTCATTCACATTTTAAAAAGTGTTCTCTTGATGCATAAAGGATTTTGTGATGCATGTAATCTCTGACTCACTGTGAACTAGCAAAGACTTCCATGTTATAATGAATCACATATATGGATGCTAGAAGAAACCTCCTAAAGCGCAACTGCAATTAAAGGCCTTGAGTGTTTTTTGAGAACCTGCAAGTTAAACTCCAGACTACATAGCAAAGTCTTCTATAATATTCTCTGGTTCTCAATCCTCACACTCCAGCTAAGAGGATATCACATCCTGGTTTTCTTCAATATCACATATATCAAGGTAATGAAAACTCAAGTGTACAATCAGACTAAGTATGCCTAAGCAGGAAAAGAAGTCCAATGATCCAGGGTGGGAGGACAAATAGAGAATTGGGAAAATTGTCCAATGCTCTAAATGCACAAAAAAAAAAAAAAATCTCGTGGTGGTGCAGCCAGTGTGCCTCAGAGGTCAGTTACTCCTTTTGCACCAAATGGTTTCAAATCCAGAATTAGGTCAATATCTGTGGGATCATATAAATTTGATTAATGGAAAATAAACCAAGCTTCACTTCACAGGCAGTTTGTTGTAACATCAACATCTTAAAATTACAGATATCTGTATATTAAAACTATTACAGAAAAAAATCTGAATAATTGTGACTCTTTGTAGCACTTCTCATAGTTTAATATATAGTGAACTTAACTGTTTTATCATTTAATTCCTCTGACAAGAATACAAACCCCCTTGGGGTGAGGATTTATTTCTGTTTTGCACAATGATGTATCTTCAGCACCTAACATGGTACCTGACAAATTCTCGGTGCTTGGTAAGTATTTATTGAGTGAATGAACAAGTAACCTCAAAGTCAAAGTTGACAACCTAAGAGCCAGTTATCAAGGTTCTAGTACCCATGTGACTTCAGAAAATCATTTCACCTCTGGGTCTGAAGGAAAACATCAGCATTATCTCCCATGCTCACCAAAGTCTCCTTCTACTCCACTATACTAAAGTTGTGATTTGGGAAACCAAGCCAACATTTCTAAGTCAGAAGTAGCATTTTCCGATCATTCAGAAAAAAAAAAACAGTTCATGTTGTTCCTCCCCACCCTCACATGTACATAAAGAAAGTAAGAGAAAGATCCTAGAACTATAGAAATGCAGCTCCCAGAGAGAAAGAGGTAAACTACTCCACACCAAGAAAACACCTATTGTACAATACCATCCTCAAAGGCTATTTTAAAGCTGATTAATTTATATTACAGTATATTTAACATAAGTTAGAGAAACTCCACAAAGAAAACTAGGAAAACACCAAAAAAACAGGGCCAGTGGGCTGAACTTTGAGAAATGATCTATTACTATTGAACTCTTTCCAATTAACAAAAGTGCAAGCTGTGCCCATAACACCCACAAGGGCCATCACTTATTTTTCTAGGCTCTGATGTTAACCAATAGGCACCCAACAATGCCTAGTCTATCTTGACTATGTTCTCTTAGCATAATTAGCTTTGTTTTTACACGATTCAAAACAATTGTGACTTCACGTCTTTGGTTGTTTAATGTTGGTGTCCTCCAAAAAAAATTTAAACTACTTATGCCACCCATTGTGGCTTAGATCTGGTTGATACTTAAGTATTTACTGAATAAATGAGTTGTATAACCAGGAAATGCAGGCACAGACAAGTTCAAAAGAGAGGCAAGAGAAAGCTACAAAGCCGGTTTCTGACTCTAATCCCCATCGGCCTTCGGCTTTAACAATGTCGCTCTTACAGAAGAGCAAAAAACCTATCGTATTATTAGTCTTCAATAACGCTCCACCATGCTTCATAGAGTGGATCCTGGGTGGGTCAGGTGGACCAACTTCATCACTGTTCTGCCCATATCCACAAATGCACCAGCAATATTGCTTTTGGGGTTACCAATACATTTTAGAATATGTTAATTCACAAATATAAAACTTGCAAATAATTAGGATCAAGTATATATTTCTGCATCCCAAATTAGCATAGGTCATAGCATTTATTACACTAATTATTTTGTTGAGATTATTTTTTACTAACCATAGATAAAAGTTCTCCTTGACTCTCTATCCACCTCCCTGAAATAAGCCTTTTTTAAAGTCATGTTATTTTAAAAAAGGGGTTTACCACCTTATCCTTTAGTTTGTACACTCCATGAGAGCAAAATTTGGACCACCTTTTTCACAAGCACAGTTCTTGTCACATAACAGGTAGTCAATAAATATTGAATAAATGCAAAAAGAGAATAAATTTTTAACTCTGGTTTAAAATTTATTTTAATATTTATAAATATTTTTAAAACTTGTTTTTTTTTTTAGTTTTTGAGATGGAGTCTCACTCTGTCCCCCAGGCTAGAGTGCAGTGGCGCAATCTTGGATCACTGCAACCTCTGACTCCCAGGTTCAAGCAATTCTCCCGCCTCAGCCTCCCGAGTAGCTGAGACAACAGGCACGCGCCACCATGCCTGGCCAAATTTTCTATTTTTAGTAGAGACAGGGTTTCACCATGTTGGCCAGGCAGGTCTCGAACTCCTGACTTCAGGTAATACACCTGCCTCAGCCTCCCAAAGTGCTGGGATTACAGATGTGAGTCACCGCACCCAGCCAAAAACTTGTTCTAAATGATTCTAAAGTACATGTAAAAATTACATATGTGTGTGCATGTGTGTTAATTTATGACCTATTACCCTCTGAAAATTTAGATTAGCATACTGAAAAGAACCATAGTAGATATATTCAAGTAAGTACATATATATACACGTATATATGTATATATACGTATATATACGTATGTATATGTATATATATACGTATATATACGCATGTATACGTATATATATACGTGTATATATGTGTGTGTGTGTATATATATATATATATATTTTTTTTTTTTTTTTTTTTTTTGAGACGCAGTCTCGCTCTTGTTGCCCAGGCTAGAGTGCAACGGTGCAATCTTGGCTCACCGCAAAGTCTGCCTCCCAGGTTCAAGCAATTCTCCTCCCTCAGCCTCTCGAGTAGCTGGGATTACAGGCATGTGCCACAAGCCCAGCTAATTTTGTATTTTTAGTAGAGATGGGGTTTCTCCATGTTGGTCAGGCTGGTCTCGAACTCCTGACCTCAGGTGATCCACCCACCTTGGCCTCCCAAAGTGCTGGGATTACAGGCGTGAGCCACTGCACCCAGCCAGTATATATATTATTGTTAATATAAGGCTCTAAAATTCTATTTACCCTAAAGTGATTCATTTCTGTAAAAGTTTAATAGCTTTTACAGCTGTGGTTGTTCACTCTACAAATATTAAATCTTTGCTACAAATAAAGCTCTAAAGTACTACGAAGGAATAGGAATATGAGTAAAACTTTCAGACCTCAAAGAGCATATAATTTGCTACAAGTGATAAGCAAGTGAGCCCTCTGTACAAAAGACTGGGCTATTTTTTGTTGGGCAGAACAAAGTCACAAAAAAAGAATGAGGTTTTAGGGGATTAATGTCTATCCATCAGTTAAAAAATAAATTTCTTTCCAGGCTTGTGACATGACAAGTTTTCAGGTTGTTTTTTAACTCGAAGCCTGAAATATGAAACACCTAAGCTTTTGAATTTCAAATTAAGTCAAATAAAGTGCTTCAAAATACACAGCTAATATGATAAAAGCATCTCTCTCAAGCAGCGTGTTTTTTTTAAGAGAGGAACACCACCTGAAATGTGCAACTTTCCCAGCTGCTTCCATCATTAATTGTGGGTGGTTTCTGTGTGGGTACAAAAATAAGGGTGGTTTAAAAAAAAAACAGGAAAACAATAATTCAATTGTCCAACTGAGAGCTATTAAAAAGTAAAATATGCTTCCTCTGCAGAGTTAAAAAGAAAATGTTATTTGTATAAACAATTTAGGCATTTAGAAATGTTCCACTTTAATACACGACTTCCTGATTTATATAACCACATTTAAGTGGTTGTAATGAGGGTCTGTAAAGAATGATGGATATTTTTTTTTTGATTCAGCAAATGAGAAGGTAGTTTACTTCCTCAAATTTAATAAAATATCACAGGTCTCTTTTAGAAGAGTTCAGCTGTGGTTGATAATGGCATTGCCTTTGGTTTAGAAATTTTTCCTAAAAATGCCCAAGAAGAATCTCATGGCTACAAACAACTTCACCGTTTCTTTTTTTTTTTTCTTAAGAGACAGGGTCTCAACATGTTACCCAGGCTGCAGTACAGTGGTGTGATCATAGTTTAATGTAACCTCAGCTTCTGGGCTCAAGGGATCCTGCAGCCTCAGCCTCCTGAGTAGCTAGGTCTATAGGTGCATGCCACCATGCCTGGCTAAATTTTTACTTTTTATAGAACTGGGGCCTCATCCAGGATGGTCTGGGACTCCTGGTCTCAAGCATTCCTCCCGCCATGGCTTCTGCAAGCACTAGGATTATAGGTGTGAACTATCACACCCCGCCCAGTTCTACCTTTTGTATCACAATACCACTAGACAAATATTGAGTAAACTGTAAAAATGCATATTTGTACTCATGACCAAATTCTGAAGAAAATTTTCACAGAAGCATTTTCAATAATTTAATCATTGAATTTGTTTAAGTCAAAAAAGAAAATAGGTCTTTTTTTTAAGAAAAATTATTAATGATCTTTTGAATGCATTTTCTGCATTTATTATGGCAGTTATGATTTTTAACCTGAAACAAAAGCTATTATCTCTCAAAGTGTTTCTACACTATAGAGGAATCCTTTCCAAATACAAAAAGTAAATTGTTTCCCATACTTTCCACCCTAGACTATATTCCTATTTCTCATTTGGGAAACAGAATCAAATATTACCTTTCCATTTGACCTAACAGACGCATCTTCAAAGTAAGTAAAAATTTTATGCCTTTTTACACAGTCACTCTTCTAACAAAGAAACTGAATGAGATTTTCCAACCACTCCCTTGAAAAAATTCTTCTTGACACCCTCAGATCAGGTATCCAAGATCACTCTCAGGCTTCTATCTACAGATCAATGTGAGTCACCTCACCACAGTAACCCACTGATGCACACCCAGCCTCAGAGAGGTAATCAAACAATAAATATTTGCACCTTGGCAAAGCACTGCCAGCACAGGAAGACATAGTAAAGCCCCTGTGACTTGAATTGCCACTATTTTAACCTGCTATACCTTCACCTTTCAACACATTCTCCTAAAGACAGAACAAGAAGTAAAAATGTCAGGGCACCTCAGCCAATGCTGTACACAAAACTTGGTTCATGTTCGAGCTCTCATCCATCAATCAGTACATGTACGATTCGTACAAGCATTTCCATAAAACAGCTTCTTTTTTAAAATGCGACATGCTCTTCGTGTTTTTTTTTTTTTTTTTTTTGAGACAGTGTTCACTTTGTTGCCCAGGCTGGAGTGCAGTGGTGCAATCTGAGTTCACTGCAACCTCCACCTCCCGGGTTCAAGTGGTTCTCCTGCCTCAGCTTCCCGAGTAGCTGGGATTACAGGCACGTGCCATCATGCCCAGCTCATTTTTGTATTTTTAGAAGAGATGGGGTTTCACCATGTTGACCAGGCTGGTCTTGAACTCCTGACCTGAGGTGATCTGCCTGCCTAGGCCTCCTAAAGTGCTAGTGCTGGGATTACAGGAGTGAGCCACTGTGCCCGGCCGATGCTAACTATTAGGCACTATCCTTGTTGCTATGTCTGCATATCTGCATTTAAAATGGAGTAAACAAGGGACCAGCAATACACTAGTTATGTCAGAAATAGCTGGGGGATTGTTAAAAAATATAGTTTGATCCAAACTACCTAACTGACTGACTCATTTCTCCACTCCTAATTTGGAGCTATTACCTTAGTTGACAAATGGTAGTGTATTGCCTGTCACTACCACAGGAATTTTCTGTTTAGGTGTGTCTAAAGGAATGAAGTCTCCACCAAAAATATTTACTAGCAAAGTGACTCTCCTTCTTGGTAAATGTTTAATCTCTTGAGTCCAAAGCTCATACTGTTCAAGACTTTCCTGAGAGTCTAGGTCATCACACAACATCACTAACCAAGCTGTTTACGCACAATCGCAACTGGACTTTCCAATGGTTTCCAAGATTACATAGAATGAATAAACTTTGCCTCATATTAATGACTAACATTTTTATTGGCACTAGTTCAGTTTGACTAACAATATCTAACTTTTTTTTTTTTTGAAATGGAGTTTTGCTCTTGTTGCCCAGGCTGGAGTGCAATGGCACGATCTCAGCTCACCGCAACAACCCCCTCCCAGGTTCAAGCTATTCTCCTGCCTCAGATTCCCAAGTAGCTGGGATTACAGGCATTCACCACCACTCCTGGCTAATTTTGTATTTTGAGTAGAGATGGGGTTTCACCATGTTGGTCAGGCTGGTCTCGAACTCCCAACCTCAGGTGATCCGCCCGCCTCAGCCTCCCAAAGTGCTGGGATTACAAGCGTGAGCCACCGTACCCGGCCACAATATCTAAATTTTTTTAAAACCTAGAGGTCTTCTCATTTTTAATCTTTGATTTAAAATGATTTCAAATTATAAGTACTTAATACAAAAACAAAATAGAGTAACTTGCATACTCCAGCTTTGGTGTGGTTAAAAATTCTCAAGTGATGTGCTCAGACTTAAAGTCTTTTATTATCCTATACACTAATGTGCTAAATCAATGCAGCTAAACAACCCGTCTCATAGGCAGATTCACAGTAGTATCTTTGGACATCCAGCCGTTTGAACTAACCCACCATAAACAGTGTTTTCAAAAGAATATGATTTTAGTTTCTGCACAAATAACCTTTTATTTCCTATCAGTAAGGTTTTAAGGCTGGGCAAATAACTCATGTTGGAACGTTATCAATTCCCATGCAAGAGTGTGCTCCAGGACTGATGCAATGGGTATTGTTTTTGTATTTACATACATATTACTTGTGTAATTATAGTTAAATGATGGTACCTTTTTGTATTTGGTCTACCCCTATAAATATATATGAGAGGAAGCTTGAATCTATCTTATACCGGTTTATAGTCACTCTTCTCCCCTCCATCACCAATTTCTGAGCCCCGCGTGTCTAGCACTGTACTCCTAACTCAATGTCTTCCTTACTCAGTTCAAAACACCAAAGCCAAATAAAAAGTGGGCAGTTAGTGCAGCTGTGGGAAGTTATGTGGATGGACTCAATAGGCCACTTCCCACTCACCCAGCACTGCAGTGAGCAGATGAAAGGGAACAGGCCAAAGCTCACCTGCAGCTCATTTATCCTTAGAGAAGGGAGGGCAATGGCCTCTTGATGCTCTTCAATGAAAAGGGAGGTGCTAAAAAAAAAAAGTGCAGGACACTGCCCTGCTTGGAACTTCAGTCCTGACCTGCTCTCTGAGCCACAGGAATTCCCCACTGGGTCTCGAACAACGAATCCCATTTTGCCTCCTTCCAAGCCAGCAGTGTGTCACTGGCGCAAAACAAAACAAAACAAAAAACCCAGCAAGCACAGGCCAAAAGGGTGGAGGCAGAGGGAACCAGTGAAGCGTTGGGACAGATGTACAGGCCAGACATGGGCCTACACATCAAACACCCTCCCAGAACAACTTTCATAATTAGGCAATTATACTGATAGAATAACACCACCTTCTCTTCCTTACTTTGCCCAAAACCTTTTTTTATCCTCTTCCACTGTAAGCGCAATGAAAGCAGACATCTTTATTCATCTTCCTCTTCCCTTCCTACCCATTCCCACCACCAACTTACACACAGAAAGCCTGCCGATGTCTTACTTTTCAAGTCATTTTGCACTGACATGACCCACATACAAAAGATGAGCTTCTTTGTAAGTCACAGTATTTTGTGGCTATGTCATCAGTAGGTCTCAAGCCTACTCCAGCTGAGAGTGTTGTGGGGCTATTGCTCGCTGCTCAGAGTCACAGCTGTCCCTACCTCATTCCTCTTTCATTAAATCAGAGCAATAAAGAAGTCGTTGGAACTCAGGCTTCAACAAGGTAAAGACAGTGAAAACGCTGTACCGTCCCACGTAGAACTGAAGCCAATGAAGGTGGACAAGCGTGATCCTTATGCTCCACCCACTCCAGACACACACGTTAGTCCCAGGGATACATTTTCCAGTTTATTGTCCTTTGTAGAACAGCTTGGTGTAATCTCATAATCTTCCAGGTCAGCAATGATTCTTCAGAGCCTCCTCCTACTACTTCTTTATTATCTACATAATTTATTTTTAACTGTTTAGAGTATATGTGGGAGCTCAGGTAAAGGGTAAAAAGTGTTGAATAGGATATTGAAACATATCTATATTTTTACAGGAGTTGTTCCAGAAATATTTTATACTTGTAAGTCATTTTGCTCTAAGTTTTCCTAATAGCATTGCTATTTAAATCAGATTCCGAGTGCAAAGGGTTTAAATAAGTCTCCTGATTTAAAATTAGCAAGCAACATTACATCTGCTTGTGTAGATTCTTCATCTCCTGATCTCCAACCTGAGATTTAACTTCACAAAGCCCACATAGCATTAAAATTTAATGTAATAATCATTGCTTGTAAGCCTTCACCTACTGATCAATTCACACCTCTCGAATCTAATCTGCAACAGCTGCACAACAATGTTCAATTAGCCAAAGTGGAAAGAGTCAAACAAACCACTGTTGAGATATCAAGTTCACTACAACTTGGGGAAATTACCTAACATCTGCCTAGAAGGCTGCGTAGCATAGTGATTAAAAACCCTACGTCTGCAGTTACTACATGTATGTGTGACTTCAAGATGTCTTTTAAGTAAGAAGCTTAATGGAAATGGAAACATACAGAAAGATGTTTTCTGTACTCTTAACAATAACAGGTAAAGGGTCAACCAGAAGTAACCTGAACATACTATAGGGACTATTTCATAAATTCATGTATATGAACCTGATGAAATAAACTCATGAAGCCATTAAAATTATATCATCTGTGGAAACCCAGGAGTATTTGCTATAATCCTCTTTCCAAAGAAAAAAATACCAAATTATATATATCATTGTATTAGAAAAATATGTACATAAGTGAAAAATATTAAAGTTTATAAGGAAAATTATGTCATTTAGTGAACAATTTATCTGAGGGTCTACTATTAGGATCTGGGTCAAGCGCTAAGGCTAAAAGGGTTGAAAAAGAAAAAAATCTGGCTTCTGCCTTCATGGAATTTATAGCTTAATATAACTAAGTGAAGGCTGGGCATGGTGATTCACACCTGTAATCCCAGCACTTTGGGAGGCTGAGGCAGGTGGATCACCTGAGGTCAGGAGTTTGAGACCAACTTGGCCAACATGGGGAAACCCCATCTCTACTAAAAATACAAAAATTAGCTGGGCATGGTGGCATACGCCTATAATCCCAGTTACTCAGGAGGCTGAGGCATGAGAATCACTCAAACCCAGGAGGCGGAGGTTGCAGTGAGCCGAGATCATGCCACTGCACTCCAGCCTAGGTGACAGAGCAAGACTCTGTCTCAAAATAAATAAACAACTAAGTGAAAATAACTGTTACGTAAATATGTGGGTATAGCTTTTCTAAGTAATAATGCTAATATATTTGTATTTTAGTAATATAATCTAGGCTTTTACCTGGCTAAGTGTATACTACAAAGCCTATGTTGAGGACCAGACGTTTATATCACCAATGTCAAGAAATGACAAGCAAAATGACCACTATTGTTCCAAATGTTGGCAGTGCATGATCCCTAATGCTGCCCTTCCCCAGCTCTGCTGTGAGGAGGAAGAAGTCATGCATGTGGGAGGGCTCTCCCTTATTCCTGGAGGCACTTTAACTATACCTCAGGCAAGTGACAGGCATGGCTGGACCATCTTTGATCACAAAACTGAGGGCCAAAGAAGACCAGCCACTACACCCTCCCCTCAAATTAACTAACACTTCTAAAAAGGCAAGCAAAGAGAGTGACCACTTGGCATATATCTGCTCAGAAAGACTGCGAATATGATCACAATGATGTATGCATCATGTAAATTCCACATGCAGAGAAAGCTTGTATAAGGACTCTGTACCCTGCCCAGAGATTTCTCCAAAAGGAGCTCTTGTGAATGCAGGCAAGCTAAAGCCACACAATGAAGCTGAAATTCATTCAGCTTAGCTTCTCCTGAGAGCCTTCTTTTTGTGGGGGTAACATTGCCCTTTTGTTTCACAGCGAGGTCTGTGCTAAGACTTGCTACTTAGGGAGTCAAAGCTAATAAAACATACCGTCTAGAAATACAGACATAACTGGTAGAACTATACAAGAAAAAGAAAGGGCAGAGGAAGAAGAGGAATGTGATTGTGGAGAGGTATGAAGGGGATTACAAATCCCTGCTTCTCAGAGCGTGGTCCATGGACTAGCAGTGTGGACATTACTTTCAAATCTATTAGAAATGTGAATCTTACACGCAACCCAAGACCTGCAATTAAGATTTCCAGCCGGGCGCAGTGGCTCACGTCTGTAATCCTAGCACTTTGGGAGGCCAAGGCGGGTGGATCACAAGGTCAGGAGTTCAAGACCACCTGGCCAACATAGTGAAACCCCGTCTCTACTAAAAGTACAAAAAAAAATTAGCCAGGCATGGTGGCGGGTGCCTGTAGTCCCATCTACTTGGGAGGCTGAGGCAGGAGAATTGCTTGAACATGGGAAGCGGAGGGTGCAGTGAGCCGAGATCGTGCCACTGCACTCCAGCCTGGGCGACAGAGCAAGACTCTGTCTCAAAAAAAAAAAAATTCCAGATGTTTCCTACAGACATTAAAGTTGGGCAATCACTGGTCACTGTTCTTAAGTGTTTGTAGTATTGTATTTTTACACCCAGAAGTAGGGTACACTTAGTAATATCCTCTAAAATATACATAAATATTTTATATACTCTTTTCATTATATGACATATCTCTAATCCAGCCTACAAAGGGACCACACATCTATAAGCTGGAAAATGTAGAGGTCTTTAAAAGGTGGGGGTGGAGGGAGTTATAAGAATCAGACCTTCAAACAATAAAAAGTCAGATATAGATAAAACTTCAGAGTTCATATAACACGACCTCTTCATTTTATGGGAGATGAATCCTTCTGTTTCAGAAAGGAGCATGGTTTCCCCAGGGACACATTGCCAAATTACTGAGGCAACGTCAGATTAGGGTTCAAGTCTCCTGATCCGCAGTAATGTTCTGCATCTGCAACAACACTGGTTTAGGGAATCATAGCTGATTTGTTTTCTTTAAAAACAAATATTCACATTAAAAAAGAAACCAGTATTAAGAAAAAAAAGGAAGATAATTTTTTAAACCAGTGCCTGGTATATTTAATAGTAGATACCTAATATATATTTGTTTGAACGAATAATTCAAAGCTCGGCTGACCTGAGTTATAGAATGATTAAGTCATTTCCTTATGGAAACAACAAACAAACAAACACAGAGCTTCGATTTAAAAACAATTTATAATATTTTCTTTAGGCCAAGCGCAGTGGCTCACGCCAGTAATCCCAACACTTTGGGAGGTCGAGGCGGGTGGATCACCTGAGGTCAAGAGTTCGAGACCAGGCTGACCAAAATGGTGAAATCCTGTGTCTACTAAAAATACAAAAAATTAGCTGGGCATGGTGGCAGATGCCTGTAATCCCAGCTACTCAGGAGGCTGAGACAGGAGAACCACTTGAACCCGGGAGGCAGAGGTTGCAGTGAGTCAAGATTACGCCACTGCACTCCAGCCTGGGTGACAGAGAGAGACTCTGTCTCCAAAAAGAAAAAATTTCTTCCATAGAAACCTAAAATCACTCTTATAGTATTGTCAAAGTCAGAAAATATTTTACATGTTTATTATTTAGGTGTGTGTCTATTTGATTTCAGTAAAATAAATATTAGTAATAGAACTTTCTAAAACAGTAGTACTTACCAATACTAATTTCATCATCTGTTTCAGCATCACCAATACATTCAAACTGGAAATCTTGCAATGACTGGGAAAATTTCTGCACTGCCATAGACAGATCTGCAAGTAAAAGTTAAGCAAAAAATCCATAAGGTGAGGTTCCACTGAATCCGAATGAGTTTCCAAATGTAAAATTATATAACTTTGATTTTGTATTATATGAACCAGAATCCTTTAATACCAGTTTGACTAATTTAACCAGAATCCTTTAAAATACCAGTTTGACTAATTTAACCAAAATTTAAAGACACTATAAATACTGAAAATGGATCTGGTCTGATCTACACAGTGGAGATTTACTGCTTTAAGAGAGTTTTGGTGGCAGATGTGTATTATCTGGAAGTCAGTTTACCAAAGCCTTTATCAAGGAACTACCACTCACTCACCATAAATGGAGCATTTTTATTTTATTTTATTTCAAGTTCCAGGATACACAGCCAGGATGTGCAGTTTTGTTACATAGGTAAACGTGTGTTATAGTGGTTTGCTGCACCTATCAACCCATCACCTAGGTATTAACCTCAGCATGCATTGAGCTATTTTTCCCGATGCTCTCCATCCCCCTACACCTCCCCCTGGCCAAACAGGCCCCAGTGTATGTTGTTCCCCTCCCTGTGGCCATATGTTCTCATTGTTCAGCTACTGGAGCATTTTTTCTTAAAAAAAAAAAAAAAAAAAAAAAAAAAAAAAGAAGGAATGCTACTGAGCTTGCTGGTGACGGGAAAAAAGCCAACAGTTGATTAGAAAAAGTCACCAATAATATTCTGCATAAACTGTGGAAAAAGTAGAAAATGTGTTTTTACCAATAAACTACTGATTTTCTTCAAGAAGGTAAAAGATGACCTGAAAGGCTGTTTACAAATAACTTTGAGACTCAAGTTAAACATACTCTGCAATCCTGACTTCAGTCTGAACAAGGCCCAGAGTCTGACTAAACCCAGAAAAAGAATTCTTTATTTATGGGCTGAAAAAGAAAAGCCCAGAATAATAAGAAGTAAATCCCTGGGAGTCAACAGCCCAGGATGCAACCTAACCGAGTGATTAAGAATGCAGACTCTGGAGCCAGGCTGCCTGGGTGGAAATCCAAGCCCCACCACTTACTTGCTATGTGACCTTGGACAAATTATTTAACTCCTCTGGGCCTTTGTTTCCTCACACAGTCAAGCACCACATAAAAACATACACCACAGTAGTTACATTAGACTATACTGTAGCTGCCCTACACAGGTGCATCTTTTTAAAAATCTTTTATACTGTATCTTTACTGTACCTCTTCTATGTGTGTATATATTTAGATATACATACTTACCACTGTGTTACAACTGCCTACAGTACTCAGTACAGTAACATGCTGTAAAGGTTTGTAGCCTAGGTGGGATAGCCTACTTGACCATACAGACAAGGTGTGTAGTAGGCTATACCATCTAGGCTTGTGTAAGTATACTCTATTATGTTTGTACAATGACAAAACAGCCTAAGGACGTTTTTCTCAAAATGTGTTCTTGTTGTTAAACAATGCATAATTATATATAAAATGGGAAGATGGTATAACCACCTTATAGAATTGTTTTGAGGATTATATGAGTTAATATTTGCAAAGGGTTTAGAACTGTGCCTGGCACTTAATAAACCCTATTTAAGTCTAATAAATAAAAGTAAATCAACTCCACAGTGCAGCATCAGGAAAATTTTAAAGATCCCATCTCTCAGAGCTACTCTGATCATTTATGTCAACCCAGCCACAGATGTCTACATCAATAAGAAAATAGAATTTTCTGGAATTCACTCTACACTTCATTTAACAGTCTCTTGCATGGGTTCAAGTCTAATAGCTGAGTCCTTACATTTAATCAAGCAATAGGAACTGATAAATTCTCCCTCCTTGGCCAAATTTTAGTCAGGCTCCTTTAAGCCCTCTTCTTGACTAGGCCTCCACCTTGTCCCTGACCCTTGCTGGGCCTGCAGAGCCTAGTTTTAGCAAGGATTCTACTAAGTCAGTCTAGAAAGAATCCCCTACCCTCAATATCTGTTCAAATTCCTCATCCCCCACCTTTCTTCAGCAAGAATCCTACTACCGTCGATGTCTCCTTAGTCATTTTCCATCCACCCAATGCCCCACATCCTGCTCCTTGGCAATAAATTCCCACTTGTTATTGTTGTATTTAGAGTTGAGCCAGATCTCTCTCATCTACTGACATAGTCTTTACACCTGTTGTGATAGTCCTGAATAAAGTCTTCCTTACCTTTTTTACAAATGTCAAAATATTTTTTATTTAACAGAATAATTGTGGTCCTATGCCTAGACATAACGCCAGGACTTACTGTGGCAGCCCCGACATTCATGAAACCCCAAGTCCAAGTACCTATCAACGTGGGCACTCAAGATTGAATAGGTCTCCAAACACGAAGGTCACATTTTGTACCACTGTCAGCCAAGGACCTACCAACACACTCACCAAGGACAATTCTGTAGACCACTGACTTCAAATTTCAGACAGGCTTTTCTTTTTAAACATATATTAGACAGTTTCGTTTTTAATTCTGGGTGCTCTCCCTGAGACTTAGGAAAACCATTCCATTGAACACCCCTTTATTTGTATATGTAGTGTAAAATAAAGGCCTTATGTTCTGCTGGATTTGAAGCCCTAAATGTAATTCCTACAGCAGAGTTGAGACTGGGGATACAAGGGCAGATCAAGATGCTTGGGAACCCTTCGATGGATATCCTTCTTTCTCTCCCCTCCTCGCCACCACCAAGCGTTCTTCTGAACTTCCCTCAAACCTAGATGAGCCTATTTGGAAGCTCTGTCCTAGGGAACTCATGACACAACCTCCCATTTCTTCCCAGACCGTTCTTGACTTCCTATGGCCTCGTACCCTGACTGAAAAAGGTAATCTGTTTTGTCCCTGCACAGAGATCACTGTGAATGCATGACAGTAATCCCCATCCCCAAACAAGAACACAGTGGCCCACTTATAAGCTACTCTGTCAAGTTACTGAGTATGAGTGCTGAAGGCAGATTAACTGGGTTAGAATTCTGCTTCTACCAATAATTAAGTGTCATGACTGTGGGTAAGTTTCATAGCCTCTCTGTACCTCAGTATCCCGTCTGTCAAGTGGAACCACTTCTCAGGGTTATAGTAAGGAGAAAATGAGTTAATATAGATAAAGAACTTAGAACAGCATCAAACACATAGAAAGCACTCAGAACATGTTGACGATGTCCATGTTCAATATCTAAGAAAGGAAAAAGAAAAATTTCAGTTTCAGTTATGAAGATGGCAACTCTTGGAGCTTACATAACCTTGGAAAGTGCTCAGGACAATCTGTTGATAGCAGTTTCAACTTTTCTTGCTACACTGCAAAGCCATCAAGCCGTGACAGTATTATTGTTCAGCATTTCTGGGTAAGAGATGGGTGTCTATTTCAACTCTTGATGGAATTAAGAATGCATGAATGATCCTTTCACAGTCCTTCTGGAAGCATAATGAGAGACAGGATTATACAAGAAAATATGGCTCTCAACTAGTTCAAATGATAATTCCAAGAATGAAGGGGATGTCTGAAATATGACACATTTTCAACTTCAAGTGTGTTCGGGTTCTTGATCTTCTTCCTATTTATTCTCATTTTCCTAATGCCGAAGTAATGATGAGGTCAAAAAAACCATCAAGGTAAAGAAGTTATGATATTTTCTGGCAGTAATAATGATCAACCTCTAAAATGAGGAATCCAGCTCATGCTTTTAATCTTGGCTCCATCTCCTACTGACTGTGCAATTCTGAATTAGAAAGCCCAATATCTTCCATTAATTTAAAATCACATGAAACAATATTTTTCTAATTGTCTAACTAAAGTTTCTAAACCATGACCCAGCACAAAAAACAGAAGAGCTGTTTCTAAAACCTTTTAAATAAAGTTCATCCATATCATAATAGAAAGGCCTTGATTTTAAAACCTAATAAATTTTAAAATTTGTTGTTGAGTGTTAAAATATCATACTAAAGAGTCAACTTTTTCTCTTAAATATAAAATGAAAGATCCCATGCCATCTAAGAATCTAGTTTAGACAGGGGTGTCTCTCCCTATTACTACCCAATATTCACTTATTGGTGAGCAAGTTGTGCAAGGTAAAGATACTTCACATGCCCCCCACACCACACACACACACACACACACCCCACATCCTTCCCATTTGCCTAACTTGAAAGTTAAGCATCAAGTGTCTTCACATGCATTCACATCATAACTCAAAAGAAGTTACACTGGGCTTTAATTAGTCAACAGTGTTTTCATATGGAAGAGTTAACCTCCAGCTTCCATGATTAGATGATGCTAATGAAACACTAAAACTTCATTTCATTAGAGGAATACAAAATACCTATAATTAAATAAATATTTACTTAAAACTTTTCTTGCACATAGACTTAAGAACTGAGGTCTCCCTTTTATTTTGGAAGTGTTAATGGAATTGCTTTTACAATGTTAGTTATGGAAGTGGGCTATATATATTTATGTCAGAACAAGTACAACCAGTCAGTCCATTAGTTTAAGTTAGTTCTTCCTAAAATCCAGCTTCTCTAGGATTGGATCTAAGGAAGACTCACAGGAGCAATCTGTCTCGATATATGTGTTGCAGAATTATCATCTTTTCACAACCATGCAGAAGGCAGACATAATAAAGCAATGAGAATACAAAGGTTAAAATAGAATGTATCCTTCCCTCCTGAAGGGCACAGTCCAGTAGGGGTGTGAGGCATGTAATTAATCATAACAGAGGGCAATCGATAAATTCTCTGACAGAGATTAATAACAACAATACCTACTACCTGATACTTCTGTAAGCATTTAATATAAATTAACCCATTAGTCCTCACAATAGCCGCAAGAACTAGATGCCATCACACCCATTTTACAGATTAAGAAACTGAGGCACAGATAAGTTAAGTGACTTCCCCAAGGTCACACAAGCTAGGAAAAGCAGAACCAAAATTCCAACCCAGGGCGCCAGCTCCAGAATCCCCAGTTCACCACATTGCCACACTGCTTTGCCCATAGACCTTAAATAAAGGTGGCAAATAAAAAGGCACATCAGTTTGGATTGAGTGTGTAGGGGTAGAGTTGTTAGAAGACTCCCTAAGAACAGGGACTTGAAAGATGTAACAATGCATCAGCAAGGCTAAAACAATATGTCTAGAATCTTCCAAAGGGTAGCTTCCACGTACATACTCAACCATATCTATAAAAACTCCTACCAAGCTAAGGTACTGGTTATTGTCTGAAACAAGCCTGCTATTCTTTTGTATCTATGTTTTTATTGTTACTCTACCTACTTAGAACATACTTTTCTCTCATTCTCCGTTGCCAAAAAAAAGGCCTTTTTTCAAGATTTCTCTCAAGTCCTCCTCAAGTCCTCATTTTTTCCAAAAAGCTCTTTCTGACCCCTTTCAACATGACACTATCTCTGCCTTTAACTGCCCATTATGTTGGGATTCTCTGGTGATGCTTTCACCTTTATCTCACTGATTTGTAAACCTAACCTACCCACTTTATATTAAGTAGTATATTAACGGTAGGAAACTTTACCATCTATGAACACTAACCAAGTATCCAAGACCCTACCTTGTAAACAACAGCTCTTTTGTTGAAACCATCAATTTCTGCAAATTGGGTAAATACTCCAAGCCCCTGGATGTCTTTTACCCTCCCTTCTTTCCTTTCACATTCTTACAAGCCCCTAATGTGGCTTTTACAGTCACTTGTAAAACATAAGTTATTCACTTTCAGAAATAATGATGATGACAACAATGTTTTACTACTTACAAGCAGCTTTAATGTACACTTTCAATAACAACAGCAATAGTCTTGGCAAGATGTCTTACTTTTTCAAAGTTCTTACATACTTAAATCTTACACAAAGCTATGAGGGCCAGTGCTCTGAAAAGTTAAGTAATAACTTGCCTGGAGTCTAAGAGCTGGACTCCAACTGGAATAGGTTTTCTGCTTCCCAAACTGGATGCTCTTTCATGGCATATCATAGTTAATCCCCAAAGAATGATGGGCATTAAAACTGGGAGGGGCTAGGCATATTGGCTCATGCCTGTAATCTCAACGCTTTGGGAGGCTGAGGCAGGAGGATCACTTGGAGCCAAGAGTTGAAATTGAACCTGGGCAACATAGCAAGGCCTTAACTTTACAAAAAATGATTTAAAATCAGCTGGGTGCAGTGGCTTGTGCCAGTGGTCTTAGCTACTCAGGAGGCTAAGGTGGGAAGATCACTGAGCAAAGGAGTTCAAGGTTGCAGTGTGCTGTGATCATACCATTATACTGTAGCCTGGGTAACAGAGTGAGACTTGTCTCAAAAAAAAAAAAAAAAGAAGAAGAAGAAGAAGAAGAGGGGGAGGAGGAGGAGAAGGAAGAGGAAGAAGAACTGGGAAGGCTATGAGCCTTACAACATTTAACGAATCCTTTACCTGCTATATAAATTTTAAAATAGCAAGACTTCATGTGTTGGACTCTATGAGAGCTAGCTAGCTATGCTGAACATGGAATAATCTACCAGCAAATGCACATAAAATGGTCATTATAAAACACCATGTTAAAAGACAAAGGAGCCGGGCACGGTGGCTCACGCCTGTAATCCCAGCACTTTGGGAGGCTGAGGCAGGTGGATCACCTGAAATCAGAAGTTCGAGACCAGCCTGGCCAACATGGGGAAACCCCATCTCTACTGAAAATACAAAAATTAGCTGGGTGCAGTAGTGCATGCACCTGTAATCCCAGCTACTTGGGAGGCTGAGGCAGGAGAATTGCTTGAACCCGGGGGGCGGAGGTTGCAGCCAGTCAAGATCATGCCACTGCACTCCAGCCTAGGAGACACAGCAAGACTCTGTCTCAAATAAATAAATTTTTAAAAAGACAAAGGAAATGTATGCTCATTCCTCTACTTTCTAATGCCACACTGAATAACATCTTAGGTTTTAGGCTTCTTGAAGGTAGGTATATATTCATCTGTTTTTGCCCTTAGTGCCTAATAGAAAGCAGATACCTGAAAAAGAGTGAAAGAAAGAAATGTAAACTAACTGGCAAAACATTCTTAACATTAAGAATTCACTATAAACAGCTGGGCATAGTGGCTCACGTCCATAATCCCAGCACTTTGGGAGGCCGAGGTGGTTGGATCACCTGAGGTCGGAAATTCAAGACCAGCCTGACCAACATGGTGAAACCTCATCTCTACTAAAAATACAAAAAAATTAGCTGGGCATGGTAGCGCATGCCTGTATCCCAGATACTCGGGAGGCTGAGGCATGAGAATTGCTTGAACCTGGGAGGAGGAGGTTGTGGTGAGCCGAGATCATGCCATTGCACTCTAGCCTGGGCAACAACAGCAAAACTCCATCTCAAAAAAAAAAAAAAAAAAAAAAAAAATCACTATAAACTACTGAAAAGCTCGTGGTACTAAAAATGCACACAAATATCACAGAAAGCCTTAATAAAAAACACATACATTACACAGCAGAGTAATGTACTGAGTAATGTACGTAGCAGAATATGTCAAGGAAACATCAACTACGCCTTGCTTTTTTAATAACTACAGTTACGTTTTTAGTGTGCTCTCAGGGAACTATGAGGGCCAGATTGTTAAATGGAGAAAAGTCAGAAGAGAAGAATACTGGGTGTGGCAAAGTATAAGAAAAACACAATGAAAATTTGCCAGTAAAAAACATTCCTAACATTTACTTGAACAAAGTTTTAAAACACAATCTTTGCTATTTTCTGTTTTATATACATGCCTAAAAAATAGCAGTCATCTGATATTAAAAATCGGTCTTCATTAAGAGGGCCCAGAACAAAGTTTGGCATGTAGTAGTCACTCAATAAACGAGAGTTGAGCTGAAGGAAGTTTGAGTAACTAACAGAAATGGAAATCAAGTAATTCTCTTTCCTTGAAGGCCTTGAGAAACACTGCCATGAAGCAAGGGGCATGTCCACGGGAGATCACTGAAGACAGAATTACCAGAGAACAGTGGAGCCCTGATGCTGTTCTTCATTCCCCTGAAAATGCAAAAAAAAGCACAGGCTACCCTGCGTCACTACAGTAATGTGCTGTATTCCAAGCTAGAACAACATGGTTGTTTGGGCACTTTAAAGTTGGTAAATCAAGTTAGCCTAGCTTTAGGCAGTCTCATTCATTTTTACAGCAGAAGTATATTCAGAGTCTGCATCCCGCTTTGCAGTGGATACATCCACCCTTCTGGCAGGCATATTAAGTTAAGCATCTGTTTTCGATGTCTTATGTGATGAAGGTGCTCAGATCCGGAAAGAAGTCCTTTGATTAGAAACAATCATTCTTTTATGTCACAGACTACGTCTGCACAAGCGTCAGAGAGACATGGATGCCAATCCAGGGATCACCACTTACTGCCATGTGTTTCAGAGCAAGTACTTAGCCCCTCTGAATCGTAAGCTCCTCATGTGCAAAAGGAAGATATTAATCCTCTGCAAGACTGTCATGAATATTACATAAAACTGGCTTAGCACAGTGTCTGGTATAGAACAGAAACTTGAAATACTGATTCTCAACAAATGTTAACTATTAAACCATTATTTATTATGATGGCAAATACAGAATATGAAATATTTTCATTGTAAGCATAACATATTTAATCTGGGTATTAAATTACTATCTTCAAGAGAGCTTCAGTGAAAATAAATAGTGGCACTGGCCTCTAATGAAGACCAAACAGTTTGTAATCCCATAAATGATATGTGTCTGGCAAGCAGTTCCAGAAGATTTCAGCCTAAAAATAACAAATAGGAACCAACACTTGGCCAGATTTTATCCGGATTCTATAAACCTACAAATTCCATAAAAATTAAAAATGAAAAACCACAAAGACTTCACTTTGCTACAACCCAAGTTAAAAACAGAAAGTTCAAAGGATAAAATGAACCACCCATCTTCCTACCCTGGGGAAAAAACTTGAAAAGAGTGGGTAAAGAACAGTGGCACAATGTCGTTCTCTAGAGTCTCCTTCTGCCTCAACAACAATTCCTCTGCCACCTCTCTTGAGATTTCTCTTCCTCAGACTCTTGACTTCAGAGGACTTTCTCTTTAGCCACCATGTTTTACCTCAATACTGTTTCTCTTTGTAAAGTACTGTCTGTGTTATCTCTACGCAAACCACTCCTAAGTGGTCATTTAAGTTTAGATGCTGGCAGCCCAAGCAACATTTTCTGAAGTATCTCCTTTACCTTTTTTTTTTCTTTAACTACAAATACTAAGTTACCCAATATAGAGGAGTTTCATTTTCCTAAGCTTCCCAGTAACTCAGGGGTGGCCTGGCCTGCTTTGCCTGGGCTTCCTGGTCTGCCTACCCACCCATACCACTGCCCCAGTACAACCACTCACTTCCCACTGTTTGCCAAGCATTTACAACTTACTCTCTTATCAACAGTAAGGGAAAGCCTCAGTATGTTAGCCTCAGTTACAGCCCATTTCTCCTTTTATTACCTAACATATCCATCCACCCAAGATAATGACTTTGGAAGGACATTTGGTGTTACCTTATCTTTCATGTCACATATCATCCTATTGCCAGCTCTTACAACTTCCTTTCTCCATCCTGTCCTTCTTGGTGTCATATACATTTGTGGTTAGATCATTACTAGTTTAATTTCCTTTTTTTTTTCTTTTTGAGACAGAGTCTTGCTCTGTCACCTGGGCTGGGGTGCAGTGGCGCAATCTCGGCTCACTGCAACCTCCGCCTCCTGGGTTCACACGATTCTCTTGCCTCAGTCTCCCAAGTAGCTGGGATTACAGGAGCCCGCCACCACACCCGGCTAATTTTTTTGTATTTTTAGTAGAGATGGGGTTTCACCATGTTGGCTAGGCTAGTCTCAAACTCCTGACCTCAAGTGATCCTCCCACCTTGGCCTCCCAAAGTGCTGGGATTACAAGTGTAAGCCACTGCACCTAGCCTTTAATTTCATTTTAAAGGACATACTAAGCTATTACCTTCTAGGCTAGTGAAAGATGTCATCTTTCCTCTATGTTTTTTGACTAATCCTTTCTCTCAAACTATTCTTTGCATACTCAAAATGCCAGCCAAACAAACCGATCTAAACTTAACTCTCTCAACATCCACAAAGTCATTGTGCACGTCAGAAACAGCCCTTTGTCTCTGCTGTGACCTTCAAACGTCTTCAAATAGAGAGGTATGCACAGCTGCAGGACTGCAAATCTGCATCATACCATCCAGGGGCTACAATAACATTAAGATACCAAGATCTGGTCTGCAAGAGCTTCCTGGCTATACTTAATTAAGGATGGTGCATGTGGTTAATTTCAGTCCTATTAACGTACCTTTAAAACTTGCCAGTTTCTAGATTAAGTAATCCTAAAATTACCCTGGGTAATCCAATCAGTGCAATGTATCTGCTGATTTACAGATACCATATGTTGGGTGCCTTATGGTATGCAGTCAGAGGTTCAGAAAGCTATGGACCCTCTTATTGTGTCTTCCTGGGGCTACAGCTTTTATTTGAAAATTGGGGAGAAGGAAGCCAAGTAATTTTACACAGTTTTGCATTTTTTAAATGCATATATTGAGGTAAAGCCTATTTCATATGAATTAGCTTGTACCTGATATTTCCTCTGAGGCAGCCAGTTTGGGCTATGTCCCCAGACTACCGAGAGGGTACTTTTCCCCTCCTCTCGTATTAGATGTACTTCAGGAGAAATCTTTGAGAAATATTGCATTATTGTACTCTACCTCCTTTTTTGTATGTCTACTGAAATACCCTAGACAATGATCCCTTTTATTATTATACTTCTTTGTGTCTAAATCTTATAACTCTCCCTGAACAGCAAGGTGTGGAGGGCAGAGAACCCCTCCAGCCTTTACTGCACCCAACACAGGACCTTGAAAATAGGAAGCTGTCAATAAACAGAACTGAATGTGGGAATTCAGAGTATTTAGGAGAGGTAAATTAAGGCCTTTTTAAGATTGGCAGAGAGCAATTAGAGATAAGAAGCCAGGTGCCTAGACACAGGCTTGCCCCTAGCTATAAAAGGTGCTATGAGGAAGAGAGGAAAACCAGAGCCCCAGCAAACACACAGACTTAAGATATGGACATCAAATCAAGCCGATGAGATGTGAGGAGCCAGAGAGAATGGCCAGAAGGTTCTTTCATTTAAGATCTGTTAGCAAGCTGCAGGGTGATGGGGGTGAGTGGGGGACACCTGGCTGCTGACAAAAGCAGTCCGGACATTTTTACCTGCTAACCTACAATCTCAACATTGCCTTATAAAACATCCACTATAAAAATGATCCTGGTGGTCTATTCAAGCTTGATGGAGTGAGCATTCAGTTAAAAAACAAACAAACAAACAAAAAAACACTAAAATTTTTCACAAATATAAATCATTAAAGAAAAGGCTGTCATGGGCTTCTATTTCTTTGCATAACCTTCTAACACAAATAGATCTAATTAAAAAAATATTAAGAGTGAGGATATTGGTGTCAGACTCACTACTAGTTAAATTCTGTTTTGCTAGGTGGCCAAGTTAGGTTACTTAAGCTCTGCAAGTTTCAATTTACCTATCTATAAAATGGGAATAATATTAATATACTTATTTCATAAGATCATTGTGCTGAGCAAATGAAATCATGCATGTAGAGTTCATCACAGCACATAGTAAGAGCTTGATAAACTATCATAATTATAATTACTATTAATTTTTAAAGAGGTAAACAATGACTGGAAAGACATGTTACTTATTTGCTCTCAGTTACTAAACCTACATATCAGCCTATTTCTCTGGACCTAAAAAGATAACTCATCATTTTATGATGCAGCCACAGTGCCTGCCAGTCAAGGAAAAAACTACAGTGACAACAAAAATCATCACAGTCAAACTGTCCGTATTCCAAAAGGTAAATTGATCATTTACTTAAGTGCATTTTCATCTCAGCTGTTTAGCATCATGCATCATTAATAACAGTTATGCAATACATATATTGCCTCCAAAGACTAGGTTTATTACTACAACTTCAAAAAAGTATCATCTCAGTAGTTAATAGATATCTGCATTCCAGCATGCCTTAACAAAAACATTCCCGGATCCAATAATAAAATCTGTTTACCCAAGCAAAGAAACAAGTTAACACATTCACACAAACCTCCAAAAATTTTCCCAAGTACAATTTAAATGGAGTGACAAACTTAGAATGTGATTATAGCTTAAGTGGCTATGTTTAAGTTGCTACATTTATTGTTACAGCATATTTGGGTCTTCACTATTATATTTTTATTGATTTTTCTTTGATCAAATGAAAGTGTTTAATATTAGATAATATCATGGCTATACATGAACAGTATGGTTATGTCAAAAAGAATCTTTTCACATAGCAATATGACTAAGGTTCTCTTAAAGATTGGAAATATTTTATAACGGATGGTAACTGAAAGAATACATAAACCACTCTCTTGGATAAGATGTGGATGAATGCTGGCATCATGCCTCATCCTTCCAAAAAGAAACAAAAAAGCACACTGTCAAACAGGGTTGAGCCTGGGCTGCCAGGGAAGTAAAGGCACAAAGATCATTATTCTCCATTTACACAGTGTTTTTTTGTGAGTCAATTTCAAGAAACTCATTATCCTACATGTTTACAGACTTCATTTTTCTGCTATCCTACCCCATTTTGACATACTAAAGCAATTTTTGAAACTATTTTGGCAAAAATGGCATTTTTAAATTGCAGATTTCATTATGTACCCTTAGAGCCACCCCATTTTTAAGGTATCACAATAGAGATGATGATTTTTGGTGAACTATACTATTTTATGAATTTTTCTGTTCTAATTTAACTTCCAAGTGTTCCACTTTTAATAGATTGACTTACTACAGCCATCTCACCACCTTACATGCACATGATGGGATTTTTCAAATCATATTAATATTTATAGCCCTTATCTCATTGGAACCCTACTGAGGAAAGAAGCTGTGTAGGTAATTATCTCCATTTTACAGATGAGGAAACTAAGGCTCAAGGTTAAGTGACTTACCCAAACAACAGAATCAGGACAGGAATCTCAATCTGCCATGTCAAAATCAACCCTCTTTCTATACCACCTTAAATAACTATGGATGTTCCTTTTAAGCCTATAATTCTACCATACTGGATTTAGCTAAGTAGCAAATACAAATTTCATTTTCATATCATTTATAATTTTCATGTCTTATTTACCATTTTCTCACTTTAAAAAGTCTCATTCTTATTGATCTTCCTATATTCTCACCACGTAACTATTTTAACTGCCAATGTATTATATATTTACATGGAATGATTATTATAAAAATCCATAAATGTCTTTAAAGAAGATATGCATCTTATGTTTAAAGTATTATTTTTATTATTACGGGGTGATTCATGATACTGATCAGAAAGCATAAAAATAAATCTCAATCTTTTATTCTAAAAACTAAGCACAAAGTAAAACTCATTCACCTAAAATGCTATGCTGTTTATTTGAGCCATTAACATGTATGCACTTCAATGATCTGTACACAGAGAGCAACTGCCTGCTGTGATTCTGAATAGTGAAGATTTTTATTTAGCAACCAGAACTGAGGAATTCCAACTGTGTCAACTTGTGCAACTACGTCTGGCTGTAGAGCTTTCCAAACTTTGGAAGACATGTTATCTCTAATTATCATCTTACTGCAAATAAAAGAGACTTTCATACAAATGATACACACAATTTATGCCAGGCTTTAATCAGCATGTAATCGGCCTATGATTGGGTCACCATTCAATAAAAAACTTAACAAATGTATATGCCGTTTTCAACTCTCTAAGCATTTTTGGCTTACTTCAAAACTTCTTATCATCGGTTCCACAAATACTACAAATTTTAGGTGCTGTCATTTTTATTTACTACAGTTCATATATTCTAAGATGATAAATTGTATTTAAAAATATATTTATTTTTGAGACAGGGTCTTGCTCTGTTGCCCAGGCTAGAGTGCAGTGGCATGATCATTGCTCACTGCAGCTTCAACTGCCTGGGCTCAAGCTATCCCCCTGCCTCAGCCTACAGAGTAGCTAGGACTAAAGATATATGACACCATGCCCAGCTACTTTTTTTTTTTTTTTTTTTTTTTTTTGTAGAGACAAGGTCTCACTGTATTGACCAGGCTAGTCTCGAGCTCCTGGCCTCAAGCCATCCTCCTGTCTTAGCCTCCCAAAGTGCTGAGATTACAGGCATGACCCACCATGCCTGGCCAAAGACGATATATTGTAAGACCTCTATCCAATTTTAGAAATGCTAAAATATTAAAACTGTGAAACTTAGATTCAGTGAGTCATAGTGTACCTTTATATTTTATATTTCCATCAGTCATATTAAATAATGACATTATATAGAGCATGACATTGTCAATTAAGGAAAAGCATTATCCCTAACCTCAAATAGTTAATAACCTAATGAGACAAACAGCATATACTGCACTGCCTCAACTTCCTTTTCCTATCTTTGAACACCACAAAACCTTAACACCATGAAAAACCTATCTTGTAAATAGATCTCTGTTGTCCCTGTTATGACAGGGGGGAAATAAGAAATAAGTTCTCTCTTAGTTTTTCATTCATGCACATCTAGGGCCTGATACCTTCAACCTGATATCTTCAACTTACTACTATTCCCTTGGGTTTGTTTTTGGCAGATGGTCTAAGCCTAAAACAAGACAATGAGACTCAAAGAAGACAATGAGCTGACAATGGCTACCAGCAGCTGCTTATTTATATAAGTCATCTGAGAACCCTAGAAATGCTCAATCAGTGGAACTGTGTGCAATATTTTGGCAAGGACTCTCCAGATAATGAACAAGATAGTACTAATATCTCTCTGTATTTTCAGGACGAAAACTCATGAGAAGAGATGTACATCTGAGAAATGAAATTGTGTATACTGTTACTGCTTTTTCCATATGCTCATAACTTTTTAAGTATGGAAAATTATCTATAATCTAAGACTCACATTCACATTCAGATGTTGTGTAGTGCAGGGACCCAGCCCATTGTGATTCAAGGTCAATGACTTTTATGATAAATAAAGTTTGGGAACCAGTTGCTACGAGGTCTGTGGTGGGGATGGGGCAGGAGCAAGCATTGTCTTCAGCCTCCACATATGTGCGTGCATGCACATGTGTGCACACACACTCTTACACCCTAGCATTTATCACTAACCCGTAGCATATTTAACTCACTAATCTGCCACCCACACCCCCTGCCATTAGAATCTAAATTCTATGAAAGCATAAATGTCAGCCTATTTTGTTCACTGTTCAACAAACAGATTTGGGCCTAGTATTTAAAGGCACTTAGCTAGTTTTCCATAAACAGATGAATGAGACCAAAAGCATCCAGAGTAAAGTCCTCCAATAGTGGTCTTCTTAAGATATGTATATCCTATAGTGGAATAAAGCTGGATAAGCACAGCACTTTTTTATTATTACTTTCATGTGAAAACAAATACAAATAAATTACAGAATAAAGTAAAAAATATACTTTAATGAAATTTTGGCTCGTCATTAACAGAATAAAGCTACGTAGTGATTACTCTTATTGGGCAAGAGGGGTAGGAGTTTAGAATGGGGTATGGGTTGCCTCTGTTCTCCCTTGAGGAGTGATTTTAAAGGAATGTGTAGAAAGCATTATACTGGAACTAAAGCATCACAAACAAAAACAGCATTCTTTTTAAAAATACATCTATAAAGAAATTAATGTTTTCTACTTATACATTTCAATATTAAACAATGTTCCTTAAAGCTAACCTGAATCATGTAATCAAAGACTAAAATTAAGTTTTCCCAGAAGTTTATTTTCTACAAGTATGGAATAGAACTCAGCAAGGAGAAAGAAGATAATTAGGAGTGGCCTGAACGCAAGGTTCCTTAAAGTACCAGTTGGTTTCTGAGAATCATAAAGTAAGCACCTGACATAAAAGATCTTCATTTCCCTACTAAATATTTCAAGTATGTCTGATTTCTAGGTCATTGCTCAGGGCCTTAATTCCAAATTGAGAAAGATTTCTTTAATGTTCCTCCACAATCTAGCAGTGTTCATGTTTACAATGAATGGTAAAAACTGTATTCATCCATACAGATAAAACCACTATAGTTAAGGGGAATCTTACCAATTCGGTGAGAAAGATTTTTTTTTAACATCTCCCATATTAACCAGTCTAAATTTAATTTAAACCCATTTTATCATGTAGTTATAAGTAGCACTAATGGGAATTAAAGTTAAAGATTTACAATTTAAATAATCTTCTGGGGCCATGTGGCCAAAATAGCAGATTAGAGGCAGCCTCTGCCACTTGGAAAGACAAAATATTGAGTTGAAATTCACACTGTTCACTTTTTTCCATGGAGCAATGCAGGAACTTAACAGGAAAATGGGAAGAAACCAAAGACTCTTTGAAAGAAGCTGCAGGCTGCAGCCTACACTGAGAGCCAGGTGGAAAAACTGTAAGTCTCCAGAGTGTGAGAGAGGAAGAGACTGCCTCCAGGATACACATTACCACCGGGAAAGCTGGCAATCCAGCCTACAGAGGGAGGCCTTAATCCTATCCAGTGTGGGAACTGATATAGCAAGCGGTGGGGCATGTAAAAGTAGGAACAGCAGCAAGAAGAGCCTTGCACGCACTTCCAGTCTCCAGCACAGGCGGAGGGAAACCATTCCTGATTCTAACTGACAGGGGACCTCACAGAAATCTGCCAACTAACTCAGGCAGTGGCAGCAGGTTGAAAGAAGCTCTCAAATGAAATTCATAATATAATCTCAAGTGGGGACAAACTCCCTTGGCCAGAACCAGGGGTTGAGTGGGAAGCACTTTCCTTGAAATTGCTCCAGCCACAGGCACAGGAGATGGGCACCCCAGCTTTGTGGGCAGATGAGGAGTGGCATTGCCTGAAAGCCAGTTCCTGTCTCCAAGGAAAAGAATGACGGCCTGGGGCAGTATTGAGCAAAGACGGCCTGGAATTCAGCTAGCTGCTGCTAGTGAACACTGCAGGTGAGAGACCTGCCTTATCAAGTGCATGGGAGCTGGGTGAGGCTTCCTGCTGCCTGTTACTCCCCACTCCCTGAGCGAACTCTTCTGTGCAGCAGAAGCTACACTCCTTCCTGGAACATCACCCCAGCGGCCAGAGAACCAGTCCCCTCACCCCCACAGGGGCCTCTGCTTGCCCTGTACACAGAGAACCAGAGCAAGGGCCTGCCTGACCCAGCTCCCACCTGGCTTTGCCCCTCAACCTGCCCTGGTAACTTAACACAAGGGACAGAACTTCTGGGAGCCCTACGGCCCCAATCATCATCTGGAAACCAGAGTACATCCCCTGGGTAACATAAAGCAAGCACAAATCCCATCACTATTGTGGCAGCTGGCATTCTCTTGCGAGCATCACCTTCTGGCTGGAAGCCAACCAACACAGACCATTACAGCATCCACAGGTACAATAACACTGCACCCAGGAAGGAGAAAACTTGTGCATGAGCTATCACTATAGCCTGCACCACCCTGGCTAACCAGAAGGTCCTAAGTCTGTCCACAGGACAAGTTCATTACTATTACAACCAGAATTTGAGAAAGCCAACAAACTAAGACTACTTATAACCAAGAAATCTCAGAGTGTATGTCACGCCCCCATCAGAATGGGTGCTGGCTGGTACCCACTGCTGAGAGGGTTGAGGACAGGTTACATCACTGGATTCCTTGCAGACATTACCCAGCACCAGCCTGAATTACGGCAGACTCACTGGGTGGCTAGACCAAGAGGAACAACAGTAGTCACAGTAGTCTGGCTCTCAGGGACTCCTACCCCTAGGGAAGAGGGAGTGCCCCACATTAAGGGAACAGCCAGTAGTACAAAAGAATCCAGATGGCAAGCCTTGAGTCCCAGATCTTACCACTGGTGAGAAGTTTCAGCAGTGGCACAGTTGCAGCGCTGGGCTCAGCTAGGATAGTCTGCAACAATACCCCAACAGGCAGGCAGCCCTGGTGCTCATGAAGGGCCTTGGAAAAGGGAACTTCTTTTACCCCTCATCCATGACTGTGAAATAACTGGGGCTTCTCTCACTGGAGCTTGGTGTGGGTGCACCTATAGATAACCTTTCTGGATCACTGCAGGTTGACTACATCCCCAGAGGTGGAGCACCCTCCAGGTTCAGGCTTGCACGAGAGGCACAGTCACAATTCCTCTCTGGTTGGAACATCAACATTTCTGCAGATGAAAAAAAGGTACCTGTTGGGCTGGGTGCAGTGGCTCCTGCCTGTAATCCCAGCACTTTGGGAGGCCAAGGTGGGTGGATCATCTGAGGCCAGGAGTTCCAGACCAGCCTGGCCAACCTGGTGAAACCCCATCTCTATTAAAAATACCAAAATTAGCTGGGCATGGTGGCAGGCACCTGTAATCCCAGCTACTCGGGAGGGTGAGGCAGGAGAATTGCTTGAACCTGGGAGGCAGAGGTTGCAGTGAGCCAAGATCGCACCATTGCACTCCAGCCTGGGCGACAAAGGGAGATTCCGTCAAAAAAAAAAAAAAAAAAAAAAAAAAGGTGCCTGTCTGATCTGAATAACCAGAACACTGGGATAGGAGTGTGTCTGTGAGGTGGATCACTTCCCTGCTGGCCTGGTAGGAGAGCTGAGGTGGCTCCCCCTTGCCTGTGTTAAGACCTCAGTGTGTTTCAGTGAGGGCTTTCCCAGCTGCTACCTCTGTCAAGGCTGGGACCTCCATCCACCACTGGGTATTGCATTTACCCATCTACTTTATCTACAACAGGTTTCTACCCAGGAACACCTCTCCTGCTGGTCTGAAGACTGAACTAATCAACCCAGCAAATAAAATACTGCAGAAAAAAAAAAATAAAAAAGTATAAATTAGCTGGGTATGGTAGTGCATGCCTGTAAGTCTCAGCTACTCAGAAGGCTGGCGCAGGAGAATCGCTTGAACCCAGGAGGTGGAGGCTGCACAGTGAGCTGAGATTGTGCCACTGCATTCCAGCCTGGAAACAGAGCAAGGCTCCCTTTCAAAAAAAAAAAAAAAAAAAACACACACACACACTATATATATAACACACATACACATACATCAGCCAGGCACATGGCTAACACCTATAATCCCAGCTCTTTGGGAGGCGAAGGCAGGAGAATCACCTGAGGTCAGGAGTTCAAGACTAGCCTGGCCAACATGGTAAAACCCCATCTCTACTAAAAATACAAAAATTAGCCAGGCGTGGTGGCAGGCCCCTGTAATCCCAGCTACTTAGGAGGCTGAGGCAGGAGAATCACTTGAAACTGGGAGGTAGAAGTTGCAGTGAGCCAAGATCATGCCATTGCACTCCAGCCTGGGTGACAAGAGCAAAACTCCATCTCAAAAAAAAAAAAAAAAAAAGTATACATCAAGGAAGAATGAAGAAAGCTTCAAGAGACCTCTGCAGTTCAAGACCTGTAGGAGGTGGTTGTTAGATTTGAGTTCTAAATTTCTCTTCAAAGAATCAATATGTCAGTATGTTCAGTACTTTGCCTTCTACTTTTAAACTTAACTTCCTTATAAAGCAACCATATTCGATAACCTGCTCCACCCTGACTCATTCCGACTACCTGCTCCGCCCTGACTCATTCTCCACCCTGACTCATTCCGATTTCCTGCTCTGCCATAACCATTTTTCCCGCCAAACCACTCACCCCATCACTCTCTTTAAATTAGCCAATCGTAATTAGTTTAGCCTGTGCGGTCTAACCCTAGCCAATAGGGGAAGGACACAGCAGCAGGGGCCACGTGCATCAGGAATAAGAACCCCTTCCCCTCCCTTGTCCAGGTGCTCCACCCTGACTCATTCTGACTATCTGCTCTGCCCTGACTCATTCTCCACCTGACTCATTCCGATTTCCTGCTCTGCCATAACCATTTTTACCGCCAAACCACTCACCCCGTCACTCTCTTTAAATTAGCCAATCGTAATTAGTTTAGCCTGTGTGGTCTAACCCTAGCCAATAGGGGAAAGACACAGCAGCAGGGGCCACGTGCATCAGGAATAAGAACCCCTTCCCCTCCCTTGTCCAGGTATGCACTCACCATTGCTCCATCTGTAAGGGCACACCCTTCTATAGAAGTACGTTGCCTTGCAGAGAATTAAAAATAAAATTTTATATTCCAGTGCTATTTCTGTTGCAGCACCAAAACTTTATTTATAACAATTTGGGGGCTCATCCAGGATTACATTCCCCTCTGGGGGGCAGTCTCTGGTTTTCTCTCATGAGAAGGGGCATCCCACCCCCTTGTGGCAGCCTCAGGGGTGAGAAATCAGGAGAAATAAGGAGAAATCAGGACCCAGTGTGAGGAATAACCTGAGCTCTCAGCAACGCGGAAAGAAACTGGCCAGCAACCTAGCTTAAAGGATCCTCACATACTATGGCGACAACTCTGTGCACAGACCAAATAAGGAGAAGCTGCGGGAGCCGGTAAAGTACCTCCTTGGTGGTCAAATTCTAGAGGGCTAAATGTGTGTGGGGGTGAATGATCACAAACGACCCTACTTGCAGTGTTGTTCCAGTGGATGGTGATAAGTCCTACTGCTGGACGGAGCGAGTGGGTCCTCTCTGTGGTTCTGTAGCTACCTCATATGGCTTAAGGCAGATCCTGCGGTGGAAGTTATATCGGTACGCCTATCGGAAACACTAAAAGGGGCCTAATTCTCCCTTGGGGGAGCAGCCAGAGAGGACAACACGAGTGGGAAGTGTGCAAGGGACCTTCAGAGGGGGAAAGGGAGGAAACAGGTCAACCTTCCAGGGCAGGCAAGGCGAGACATCCCTGGTTTGAGGGGTTGAGCCTTCCGGGGCAGGCCAGGCGAGACATGCCTGGTTTGAGGGGTTAGCCTTCCGGGACAGGCCAGGTGAGACATCCCTGGTTTGAGGGTTTAGTCTTCCGGGACAGGCCAGGTGAGACATCCCTGGTTTGAGGGGTTGAGGCTTCTGGGACAGGCAAGGCGAGACATCCCTGGTTTGAGGGGTTGAGGCTTCTGGGGCAGGCAAGGCAAGACATCCCTTGTTTGAGAGGTTGAGCCTTCCAGGACAGGCAAGGCAAGATACCCCTGGTTTGAGGGGTTGAGCCTTCCACAAATTTCAGGGGGTTGAACCTCACATAAGCCTTCGGTAGTAAGAAAAGTATTCAGAACTCCCCTTTCCTTTCTTCTCTGGGGAAGAAAGAGTAGCTCCACTCCCACCGGTCCCTCCCCTAGGGAAGGGGAAGGAGAGGGGAGAACAGCAGCATAAGCCGCTGGGAGAGGCAGAGAAAGAGACAGAGAGTCAAAGAGAAAGAGGGAGAAAGAGAGAGGCAGAGAGAGAGAAAGAGACAGAGAGACAAAGAGGGAGTCAGAGAGAAAGAGACAGAGTCAGAGAGAGAGAAAGAGAGAGAGAGCAGTAGTAAAAACAGTGTACCCTATTCTTTTAAAAGCCAGGGTAAATTTAAAACCTATAATTAATAATTGAAGGTCTTCTCCGTGACCCTGTAACACTCCAATACCACCTTGCTGTCACTGTAAACAAGGGCGTAGCCCAAAAGCACTGAGGCCACTGACAACCCGTAGCCTTCCTAATCAAAAATCCTTAACCCAGTAACCCATAGATGGCCCAAATGCATTCAATCTATTAGCAGCAACTGCTTTGCTAACAGAAGAAAGTAGAAAAATAAATTTTAGAGGAAACCTCATTGTGAGCACACCTCATCAGGTCAGCACTATCCTAAGTCAAAAAAAACAAAAACAAAAAAGCAAAAAGATAGCTTACTGACTCAAGAACCTTAAAGTATAAGGCTATTCTGTTAGAAAAAGATGATTTAACATTAACCACTGAAAATTCCCTTACCCAGCAGGTTTCCTAACAGGGGATCTAAATCTTCATTACCATACAAAGGTCCAACCAGACCTACGAGGAACTCCCTTCAGGACAGTCGGGTGATTGAGGGAAAAAGACACAATGGGTATTCAGAGAGTGATATGGAAACTCTAGTAGAAGCTCTGTTAGGAAAATTGCCTAATAATTGGCCTGCTCAAACCTGCGAGCTGTTTGCACTCAGCTAAGCCTTAAAGTACTTATAGAATCAGGAAGGAGCCATCTGTACCAATCCTAAATTAATATGGACTGAACGAGGTCTTATTAATAGCAAAGAATAATTGAAATCCCAAACTTACAAGGTTTTCAACAAAAGTAAAGTTTGCTAAAAGTTAACAGTGTAACATGTATTATCCTAACTTCTAATCCTGTGGCCTTAGACAGTTTAGTACACAGACATGACAGAAGTTTGCTTTGGAAAAGAATGGTTATCATCTTTGAGAAAAAAAAAGGGGGGTGGGGGGTAGAATTTATGTAAAAAGGAATGTTATATGGTAAATTCTTGTCCTAAAATAAATTAAATGGTTGTTTAGAGAAAGGGATGTTTGCAACAAGTCAGAAAGTTGAGGTATGCTGAAGAATTCTCTGTGAAAGTCGTGAAAAAAAAGTTATAAAAGGGAATTTATGCAAGAAATGTTGTATAATTTAAAAGTAATTAGGCCTCCTGAATGTAAAACTATTGAAGAAACAGTTTATGTGCAAGGTGTGTAAGGAAAGTAAAATACACTTTTGGTAAACGGGATTATAAGGAGGAAAAAGAATGTGGATTTTTACCTACATTAAAAGGTTAAAAAAAATTTTTGTTTTAAAGGTTTAAGCAAGTTTTGAAACATAATTATAAAGGTGATTCTGTGTGTAAACACATTGGGTAAAGTTAAAGGGGTATCATCCAGTTTTTCTGTGAATTGGACATTAAAATAAAAGCACAACAGGATTTTCTTAAAGCACTAATCCGCTCTTTAACAAAAATTATAAAAGGTTAAAAAGCGTCTATAAAAATCTTACCTTATGGTCAGACATTAAAAATTGGATAAATATGTCTACAAGGTTTTATTAAAATTAACACACTAATATAAAGGTGAAATTTAGCTTATCTGGTATAAAAATCATACAGGAAGCACTGTTAAATATAAAATGGTGTTTGGCTTTCTTTGGTCTAAAAACTAATAAAGATAGGTGCTAAAGAAAATTTCTCAACAAGAAGGCACCAAGGACTATAAAGTCCACTCTTGATGTCCCCACATTTAAAACAAAGGATCAATTTCTTAGAAATTATATACTTAGTTTATCCTCCACCTTCTCCTCCCTTAAAACAAGAGGTCTTTTAGCACAGGCACCACCTTTGGAGTTTCCAATACATCAGCATGGCCCTGGGGATCCCATTCTCATCAAAGGGTAGAAAGAAGGGAAACTCAAGCCAGCCTGGGAAGGACCCTACCTTGTGCTGCTAACCACTGAGACTGCTACTAGTATGGCGGAAAGGGATGGACACATCACACCCAAGTCAAGCAAGCACCATTACCCTCAGAATCATGGGCCATTTTTCCTGGATCGATCCCTACCAAATTAGAGCTAAGGAAAGCTTAGTCTACCTCTCTTTTCCTTTCCTTTCCTTACCCAGTGCTTATATCCATTACTATTCCTACCACTAGCAACTCTAACACCACTTTAGAGCGCTTCTATGGTTTAGGAGCAGAGGTCACTGGAAAGGATCCTATAGGTTTCTTTAAGGTGCACTTTGTTCTGCCTCCTCCACCTCCTACGGCTGCCCCCTTCCCAAACCTATGAAATCAAACTATGACTCACCTCATGCCAAATGACAACAGCAAGTTCTCAGTAGTAGAAATAGGAGACCTAAGGCAAACCACAGCCATTGAAACAGGGTGTAAAGATGTAAATGCTTGGTTAAAATGGATTAATATTCCGTCCACACGTTAAACAAAGGCAATTGTTATGCTTGTGTGCACGGTGGGCCGGAGGCCCAGATTGTCCCCTTTCCACTAGGGTGGTCCTCCAGTCAACTGGGCGTGGGCTGCATGGTAGCTCTTTTCCAGGATTCTACAGCCTGGGGTAACAAATCGTGCCAATGTCTCTCTCTGCTATATCCCAAAGTTCCACACCCTGCAGGTCAGACCCCGAGGGCCATCCAGCTTCCATTTCCCAACACTAAGCTCACTTCATGTCTCCCATGACAAGAAGGAAACTTAGCGTTCCTTGGAGACCTGAAGGGATGCAATGAGCTTAAGAATTTGCAAGAGCTTATCAATCAGTCAGCCCTTATTCATCCCTGAGCAGATGTGTAATGGTATTATGGTGGACCTTTACTGGACACTGTGCCAAGTAACTGAAGTGGCACTTATGCTTTAGTCCAACTGGCTATCCCTTTCACCCTGGCATTTAATCAACCAGAGAAAGGAAAAATAAGACATCATAAAGCAAAAGAAGCCCCTTATGGGTCTTTCCATTCCCACATCTACTTAGACACAATTAGAGTCCCATGGGGAATACCATATCAATTTAAAGCCCGAAATCAAATAGCTGAAGGATTTGAGTCAATATTTTGGTGGGTGACAATTAATAAAATGTAAATTGGATAAACTACATCTATTACAACCAAAAGCGATCTATTAACTACACTAGAGATGCTATTAAAGGAATAGCTGAGCAATTAGGGGCCACTAGCCAGATGGCTTGGGAAAAATAGGATAGCCTTAGACACGATATTAGCAGAAAAAGAAGGAGTTTGTGTCATAATTAAAACTCAATGTTGTACCTTCATCCCAAACAACACTGCCCCTGATGGAAGTATAACAAAGGCATTTCAAGGTCTGACTGCTCTCTGTCCAATGAGTTAGCCAACAACTCAGGGGTAAATGACCCCTTTACAGGATGGCTAGAAAAGTGGTTCAGTAAATGGAAAAGAATAACAGCCTCAATTCTTACTTCCCTCACAGCCGTAATAGGTGTACTTATTCTTGTCAGGTGCTGTGCCACACCATGCACGTGTGGGTTGCTGCAGAGGCTCATAAAAACGGCACTTACTAAAACCTCCCTTAACTATCCTCCACTTTATCCAGTGAAGCTTCTTCTTTTGGGAAATCAAGCAGAACAACTAAGCCAAGACATGTTAAAGAAGTTTGAAGAGAAAGAGCTGTAAGGAAATGCAAGAGGAGGGATTGTTAGATATGAGTTCTAAATTTCTCTTCAAAGAATCAATATGTGAGTATGTTCAATTCTTTGCCTTCTACTTTTAAACTTAACTTCCTCGTAAAGCAACCTTTTTCAATTACCTTCTCCACCCTGACTTATTCCCATTACCTGCTCCACCCTGACTCATTCTCCACCCTGACTCATTCCGATTTCTTGCTCTGCCATAACCATTTATTCCACCAAACCACTCATCCCATCACTCTCTTTAAATTAGCCAATCGTAATTAGTTTAGCCTGTGCAGTCTAACCTTAGCCAATAGGGGAACGACACAGCAGCGGGGGCCACGTGCGCCAGGAATAAGAACTCCCCTGTCCCTTGTCCAGGTGTGAGCTCACCACTGCTCCATCTGTAAGGGCGCATCCCAAGTACATTGCCTTGCAGAGAATTAAAAAGAAAATTTTATATTCAAGTGCTATTTCTTTTGCGGCACCGAAACTTTATTTATAACAATGGTGAACTTGCTCACACACTGAGCACATTGCTACTACAACCAGTATCTGAGAAAGCCATCATACAAAGACTCTCTATAACCAAGAAACTCATACAGAGTCTTCACTGCTGAAAGCACCAAAAGCAAGAGCCAAATTAGGCTACAATAAACTGTAAACATTAAAGTAACATCCTTAAGGAGCAAAAAAGAAACTAAACACACACACAAGCACGCACACACACACACACACACACACACAGAGTAAAATATAAAACAAATTCAAGAATAATTAGAAGTAATACTCTACCCAAATGAGAAGGAACCAGAAAAATAACTGGTAATATGACAAAACAGGGTTCTATAATGATCACACTAGATTTCCAGCAATGGATCCAGAACAACACAAAATCTTTAAAATACCAGATAAAGAATTCAAAAGGTTGATTACTAAGCTACTCAAGGAGATATCAGAGAAAGGTAAGAACCAACATGAAGAAATCAGAAATTCAGGATATAAATAAAGAATTTTCACTGGGCATGGTGGCTCACGCCTGTAATCCCATCACTTTGGGAGGCTGAGGCGGGTGGATCACGAGGTCAGGAGTTCGAGACCAGACTGGCCAACATGGTGAAACCCTGTCTCTACTAAAAATAGAAAAATTAGCCGGGCGTGGAGGCAGGCGCCTGTAGTCCCAGCTACTTGGGAGGCTGAGGCAGGAGAATCACTTGAACATGGGAAGAAGAGGTTGCAGTAAGCCAAGATCATGCCATTGCACTCCAGCCTGGGCAGCAGAGCGAGACTCCAACTCAACAAATAAATAATTTTCTCAAGAGATAGCTATTTCAGATACTTGAAAGAAAAACCAATCAGAACTTCTGGAAATGAAAGACACATTTGGGAAATTACAAAATGCAATAAGAAGTTTTAACAACAGACTAGAACAAGTAGATGAAAGAATTTCATCTTCTCCTGAAAGAGCTCGAAGAGAAGACTTTCAAATTAACCCACTCAAATAAAAATTTAAAAGAATCAAAAGAAATGAACAAAGCATTCAAGAAATATGAGATTATGAAAAATGGCCAAACCTAAGAAAAACTGGTGTTCCTGAGGGAGAAGAGAAAGCAAAACGTTTGGAAAATTTATTTAAAGGAATAATTGAGGAAAACTTCCCTAGCCTTGTCTGAGATCTAGGCATCCAAATCCAAGAAACTCATAGAACTCATGGGTGATTCATCACAAAAAGGACTTCACCAAGGCATATAGTCATTGGGCTACATATAAAGTCAATGTGAAGGAAAGCATTCTGAGAGTGGTGAGATAAAAGCACCCGGTAACCTATAAAGAAAAACCTATCAGACTAAAAGCAAGCTTCTCACTAGAAATCTTAAAAACCAGAAGATTGGGGTCCTATCTTTAGCCTCCTTAAACAGAATAACTGTCACCAAGAATTTTGTATCCTGAAAAACTAATTTTCATAAATGAAGGAGAAATAAAGTAATTTTCAGACAAACAAATGTGGGGAGAATTTGTCATTACCAGCCCAGCCATACAAGAAATGCTAAAAGGAGTTCTAAATCCTGAAACAAAAGGTCAATATGCACCAGAATAGAACCTCTTGAAAGCATAAAACTCACAGGGCCTATAAAACAGTAACACAATGAAGAAAACAAAGTAAGTAACACTTAACATGATAATTGGAAAGCACCTCCAAGTCCCAATATTTATATTGAATATAAATGGCCTAAATGCTCCACTTAAAAGATATAGATTAGCAGAATGAATATAAATCACACACCAAAAATATCTGCTGTCTTCAAGAGACTCACCTAACATGTAAGGATTCATATAAATCCAAGGTAAAGGGATGGAAAAAGACATTCCACACAAATGAAAACAGAAAGTGAGCAGGAGTAGCTATTCTTATATCAAATAAAACAGACTTTAAAGGAACAACAGTAGAAAAAGACAAAGGTAGTCATAATATAATGATAAAAGGATCAATACAACACAGAGATATTACAATCCAATTTATATGCACCTAACACTGGACCTCCCAGATTCGTAAAATATTTACTACTAGTCCCAGTTCTGCTGGCATTAATGTACTATGTGACCTTATATGACAACTTACTAGATGATGACTTCCTGGACCTAAGGAGATCAGAATACAGATGATATCTATGGACCTTTGAAAAGGGCTGTCATCAGCAGAATGCCTGGCACGTAGCAAGAGTTCAGTAATTTAACTGAGAACGCTTTATAATTAATAAGATCTGTTACTTCAAATTATAAAACACTGTAATTCCACAGGAACCTCAAAGCACTTCAAATATATGACCACCACCACCCAGAGGTCACATATCTGAACCTTGAAAAGTAGAAACCTCAGAACTTCACACACACTACTCCTGCACTGTGTTCCTCAAGGAAAATCAATTAGTCACTGAATAAGACAGACGTTAAGACCACTTCAACCCCAGCATCATCTCCCTATTTCAAACTTTCCAAGGAAATGAAGGAAGACACTGATGCCAGTTTGACAATCAGTTAACATTACAACACAAGGGTATGTATAAATTACACACAAAAATAAGACCCCCTCTCTCATCCAGGAGTTAGCCTGGTGAGGAATTAACAGATTACTTTCAGCAATAGGATCAGAATGATGGCAGTATTTGATCCACAGTGAGCAAAAAGCAGAAGGAGATGTTTTGAAACATGAGTAGAAACTAGTTTGGGGAAACGGAAGGGGAGAAGACTATTTAGATCAGCTGCCTTTGGCTTTTTATTGCCCAAAGAGATCACTAAGGTTTCCTCTAGGTTTTTTTTATTGAAAAAGCCGAAAAACTAAATTTGGAGTCTCAGGTTAAAGCAGACAACCTTATGGATTTCCCTCTAAACCTGGGCATGCCAGAACTGCACATTGCAGTCCCTAGTACAATGCAAAGTACTGCTTGCTTTAAACATTAGTTAAGGGCAAAATAACAATTTTCAGATTAAAATAAATACTTCTCAAACTAAGTTATTTGATTTCACCAAAATTCATTTCTGCTTTCACAATGGGACACTGTGGGGCAGAAGTCTCCCACACAGAGAAATCTGCTTTATAGGCAGTATCTAAGTAACGCATGTCCTCTACCTGGCACTTTGCTTTAGGCTTAAAGCAGTCAGCTGGTATGCCAATAATTTAGATCCTTAGTAACTACAGTAACTATACAGGGTGAGGAAGCTAGGTCTTCAGGGTTCTTCAATCTGGACTAGAGGCTGCAGAGGCAAGGCAGGGAATGTGCAAGGGTCGGTAACACAGCAGACAGGTACTAACAGGAAACAGCCCACAAATGAGTTTCCTTTTTCTCACCCTCTCTCTATTCACACACACTTTACCGTCATGCCTTTACAGACTGAGATGTGTCTTGTGGCTTCAGGAGGCATCACATTTCACTAACTATAAGAATAAGATTTCTTCGGCCAGGGGCGGTGGCTCACGCCTGTAATCCCAGCACTTTGGGAAGCCGAGGTGGGTGGATCACTTGAGGTCAGGAGTTTGAGACCAGCCTCGCCGATATGGTGAAACCCCGTCTGTACTAAAAATACAAAAATTAGCCAGGCGTGGTGGCAGGTGCCTGTAATCCCCACTACTCAGGAGGCTGAGGCAGGAGAATCGCTTGAACCCAGGAGATGGAGGCTGAAGTGAGCTGAGATCTTGCCACTGCACTCCAGCCTTGGAGACAGCGTGAGATTTCATCTCAAAAAAAGAAATAAATAAATAAAATTTCTTATTTTCTCTCTTTATGTAATCTGCAAAGGAGCCTTACAGTCAGTCAAATAAATCTGTCTGCTTTCCCCCTCAAGCCCATGGGACTAGAATAAGGCCACATGTCCCCTCTCCAGGAATAACTAATTAAAGTATAACCACAGATACCCTCTTTATTCTTCTCTTGATAGACATATTTTTTTTAAATAATCCAGTAAGTAACGTTCCAAAGCTTCATCAACCCTGTGCCAAACTTTAACAGTGGTTGAATCTTCCCTGGAGCAGCAAAATCTGACACTCAACAACAGGAGAGGCAGAAGGAGCAGCTGCCAGGAGCAATGTACCTACCCCATCGCTTTATCTTGCAACTGCTGGCACCATCCCCTTCACTTTCAGGAACCATTCTACATCAAACTCTGCTTTCCAAGAACTTTTCCTCTACACATTCCATTCTCCTCCCCCTATACCATAAAGCTTCTGGCTAATGTTCATGGCATGAATGATACTGCCTTCAAATGGCAAAGAATAGCACTTTAGTATCAGACAGACAGGTTCAAATCTTAGTTCCATGACTGACTAGCTTTTGTTCCTGGAGCAAATTAGTTAACCTGTTTTGCACTCTCAATTTTCTACATATAAAAGAACGCTAGTGCTCACTTCACAGTTTTTAGAAGATGGGAGAAATAAATTCAGTGCCCAAGTGTTTACTCAGCAAATACGTTTTTCTTCCCTTGTGCACCAAAGGAAAAAAAACTGAGGGTATCATATAAAATTTGGGAGAAGGGAGAGGCCATAGCATGACCAGGTCTTTTTTAAAAGTTTTATGTTCATAATAAAAGTCATGAAACAAGAGAATCTAAAGGTCTTAGCATTTTAGACTTCACTGTCAACAGGAAAACTTCCAGAAATCATACAAAAAGGATGAACATACACAGGCAAGCTTTAGTGAGTTGAAAATTAAAAAAAAAAAAAAAAATTGTACTAATAACCCTTTAACTTGCAGGCTGACACCAAGTAACTTTCTTTAAAAAATAATATTTCAACACGCAAAAAACAAATCACACACAAAATTTTTTCACAGATAGTCACCGTTCTAGGTAAAAGCCTTTGCCACTAGTATTTTTAAAAGCTGCAGCTGGACTGTGGGTCAGATGGCACTCAGCAGTTGTGTGTGTTGGGGGTGGGGTATGTCAGGAATGAATGCGGTTATCAAGGCATTTCTAAGTAAGGAACCCTTGGAACAACATTAGACTGAGGGTCATGGGAAAAGAAGTTATGCTCACCCTACTTCCTGGCAGCATTTTCAGTACACAAGCCATAAGCAACTCATGTTTACAAAAGGAACAAGAAAAGAGGGGCTTATTAGATGCAGAGGGGAGGGAGAAACAAAGTATAGATACACAGAATTATACCTTCGTACATTACATTTTAAAATTCTTTCTTTAAAAACTCTAGAAATAGTTTTAAAGATTTAGCACACTTCACTATGCAAAATATTTCATCCTGACTGCTTCAGTAAATCAAATTAGAGTATTTTTATCTAAGTTAATCACATAAATGAAACTCAATTAAGGAAAAGAAAACAAGCATGGTATATCTACTTTATCCTCTTTAGAACAAATTGCAATCTGAAGTTATTTTTGAGAGTCATAGAAAAAATGTTTCTCAGGATTTCAAAGTTTCAAATCAAGAGTTCTTCAGGTTAAAACAAGATTGTTTAAGAACCAAGTGAATGGTCCTGAACTTTAACTAAAAAAAAAAAATCCAAGAGTATTTTAATTACCAAAAGTCAATAGTTCCTTATTTTTTGATCACTTTGGTAAAACTCAGACAAAAGATAACCAGTTAATGAATCTCAAAACTGCTTCATTTAAAACAAAAACAAAAACAAAAAAAAAGACTCTAAGATAACTTGAACAGAAGAAAAAAGCCACTGTCAAATCTACATATTTCTGTTGTGCATTTCCTTGAGTTAATCCTAGAATTCTGGAAAATTATAAGCACTTTTCAAAAAGATCTCAAACTAGGTCTGGGCTTAACAAACAGCTTTTTTCCTAAGTTCTGAAATACATGCTTTCTTTATAAGCATGGATTTACCAATAGGAGTGGCCTCCTGATTGCTTCTGTGCTTGAATGCTATTAAATTAAACAGTCAGACAAAATATGGAGCATTGACCTTGGCAAGGAATGCAACGGGCACAGTTTGTTTTGCCCTGCTTCTTCTTAAAAAGAAAACAAAATATTCAAACTTGAAACGTAATAATAAACAGATTTCTACATGTTCACTTTATTTGTATTATAATAAAACACTTTGACTTCTTAACTACCTTTAGTAGTCAGCAGCAATAGTACTTCTCTAGCAACATAGTTTTTTACTTTATTTAGAGGAATAAATTGTTTGCAAGTTTTACATATATTACCCTCACTGATGAAAATCATGATACCTCTCATTATTCAAAAACAGGTAAATGGCCAAGAGCAATACTGCTTTGATGGAATTGCAAAATGAGAAAAAATATACATCTGATGGAATTAGTGAGTTACCTCTCTTTTGTCTGTAATGTCAGATCCTTTAGATGATACTCTTTTAAATCTAAAACAAAGCTGGCACTTCTTTGTTAGACTGCGGTACTGTGAGGTTCCAAACAGACTGCAGCTCTGAAATATCAGCATCCAATTTCTCCTGGTTATTTCAATGAATTGCAGCCCTTTCCACATATGAACTCTCAATCCACATTTAAAAAATGACTTTCTCCCAGCTTCCCGCTTCCACGTTACTATATTAAAGATGAAGAGAGAAAACATATGTAAATAATTGCCTCTGAAGCATTGTAATAATTTTAACCAAGTCAGTATTTGACAGCTATAAATTAAAGGCTATCACAGTATTTCTACGATATTTTCTTGACTCACAGAAAAAAATCATTTCTTACACTGAATATTCTCCCAGCTCTCCCAGTTCCCATCAAAATATCTAAAAATATTTTGGGTACAGAAATAAAGTCTTCTTTTGACATTTAGCAACTGCCTACTATGTGCAAAACGTAAGGATTCTAATACAATTTCTTCCTCACTGTATAAAGACTTTGCAATCTTGATGAAAAAAAGAAATGACCACGTGCCTACTTTCTGAGGAAGAGGAATGAGAGGGGATTGATCATGAGCAATAGGCAAGCAACTAAAAACACTAATGTGAGATGTAGGCCCCTTTTAAGTCCTCTCCCAGCAGCTTATCAATATAAATCTGTTAGCATTTACTGCCAATAAGAAGCTGCAATAAAGTTCCTTTTTTCTGCTTTAAGTTTAACAGGGAGAGTTCATTCATTCAACAAATAAGTCAGCATCTATTCAAGGGCAATTGCTGGGCCTGACACAGGACCTTGTGGTAAGAGTAAGTGGTGAGCAAGGCCAAGATGAACCAAGACACCTCTATCTCATGGAGCAGGCCATCTGGAATACCTGCGAACGTTGAAAGGTGGGACACCAGTATGATCACCAATAGGAAAAGAAATGGAAACACATGAAAGTTTTAAAGGATAGCTAGAGTTAGAATTAATATGATACATGAACCTCATATAGTGATAATGATAGCCAAAAACAACAACAACAACAACGAAACATAAAAATCACTCACAGGATTCTACGCTAGCATTGTCTCATTCTACCTCCACGTCAACCCTACAAAACCTTCCAAAATAAGCATCTTCTTTGTAGCTGCAAATACTAATCCTAAGTGAGATTAAGGGACTTGCTTCATTTGTATTCATGTGGGAATGGAAGCAGAGATGCTTATATAACCATAAGGTTATTATCATTTATAACAAAATTAATAGTAATTCCTTAATACTATCAAAAGCTAGTTCACATTCACATTTCCCCAATTATTTTTAAATCTGTTTTCCACTTGTTCACAAATAAGAATCCTAACAATGTCTACTCATTATATTTCCTTATGTCTCTGAGATCCCTTAATCCCTTTTAACATAGAATAGTTATCTCTTCCTTTTTTCCTTCTTTTCACAGGCCACTGACTCATTAACTAAACTGGTTCCACTGTCCTATAGGATGCCCCAAATTCTAGATTTAGCATAGTGCTTGCTCAAAGTGTTGCTGACCTTGTTCTTCTATCCCTGGTGTTTCCTGGAGTCAGGAAGTTATATGTAAAGCCTTGATCAAAGGTAAGGAAAAATCCAGAATAATGTGCTTCTCCTGTCCTTTTTTTCTTTCTTAACAGAAGACACTATCGTTTATGTAAGCCAAACAAACATATTTTTAATTTAAAAAAAAGACAAACTGCTTAGCTTATTATAACAGTAACACGTCAAGATCCTTTCGGAGAAATTACTCTTTACCCTCCAGGTCTAAATCCTTTAAATCTGCTGCAAGTGGCAGATGCCTGTAGCACAAAAGGTGCTACCAGAGTATTGTTTGAAAATCCATTAAAAGAAAGAGAGAAAGACAGTGTTTGGGAAGGAAAAAAACACAGAGACACCCTGCAGGGATGTGACACTGTCTCTCCATTACATTCCAGTTCCCATTAATCACGTTTGATAAGATGGTGGTAGCAGTCCCATGATTTGTCCACCAGGCATTTTCTGTGTGCCCAGAGCCCCAAGATTTCTCAACCCAGGTTTATTCCAGGAAGGCAGCTCAGGGGGATTTCCACCAAGTTCTCTGTCTCACCAGAGCCATCCTCAAGTGATCATCGGGAAGCCCCCGGCATGCATCCATATAAAGAAAATCCTGAGGCTACTGTGGAAAACGGAGATGTAAAAGAATGAAAAAGCTCACAAAGCTTCACAAAATGATGAGAATTCTCTATCTCTATTCCTTGTTGCTCAAGCCCACTGAGGCTTCAGGTTTCAAAACAAACTAACTAAAACCACCTAAACAACCTTGGGCTAACCACATTATCATCTCCCATTGCCCTACTCTAGGTGTCCCCAGTAGAAACAGCTGGGCCATGATTTTTTTGAAAAATATATCTCAGCTCTGAAAACTATCCTTTCCTTTCTATTGCTTCCTTTTACTCTCTTGATTTCTGAACACAGTACATATGACTACATTACCTAGGTAAACAAAGATAGCCGCTCAAATAGGATATGAAACACTTAAAAAGTACAAGTCTGCTGGGCGCGGTAGCTCACGCCTGTAATCCCAACACTTTGGGAGGCTGAGGCGGGTGGATGGCCTGAGATCTGGAGTTCCAGACCAGCCTGGCCATAGTTTCAACAGTGAAATCCCATCTCTACTAAAAATGCAAAAAATTAGCTGGGCGTGGTGGCGGGCGCCTGTAATCCCAGCTACTAGGGAGTCTGAGGCAGGAGACTCGCTTGAACCCAGGAGGCTGAGGTTGCAGTGAGCCTAGATCACGCCATTGCACTCCAGCCTGGGCAACAAGAGCAAAACTCCATCTCAAAAAAAAAAAAAAAAAAAAAAAGTACAAGTAAAATATTGTCAAATCACCAACCTTTCCCCAGTTTTTTCATATTTCTTATTCCTTTTTAAAAAGCCCTGTAAAACTAGAAATCATGCAAAGAAAGAAGATGACTTAAAGTGATTTCCTATTCCTATTTCCTATTCTTTTTTAAAGCCCCTGTAAAACTAGAAATCATGTAAAGAAACAGAAAATGACTTAAAGTGACATTATTGGAGTCACTTTTGGCATTTCCTCTTCCATCACAAAGCAAGCCTCTTAAATAGTTCAGAAACATAAGGGGGATTCCACTCACAAAGAGAAACTAAACTAGGAAAGGAGGCAGAATTTATCTGATGGCATTGGCTCACTATTAAACTCCACATGCTTAAAATAAAAGCAATCATAAAAGAATATGTACTAGAGAAAACTGGAAAAAATCAGAGCAAGATGGGAAATGAGAAATGGTTTTGTCAAGTCCAACTCTTCACCACACAGTGAGGATATGGATCCTGAAGGGGTCTGGTGGGAACTTTCACATCCAGTTGGTAACTAAGCTGAGTAGACCCAGGCTCCTGCAAACCCCAAACACAGGGTTTTGTTGTTGTTGTTGTTGTTGTTGTTTTGTTGTTGTAGTTGTTTTCAGATTGTCCTTACTGTGCATTTCAGTTTCACTTCTGCATCTGTTATCAGTGTAAACCAACTACATCTGTATACTGACGAACTTAACACATTAAATGAAAGGTGTTCCATCTTTGGAATCATAGCACACATGTGTGTCCCACTCTCAGAAACCTGAAAAGATTAAAAAACTGACAGCTTCAGCTTGTTCTGCCACCACATCTGTTTCTGTGAGTTAAGTAGAGTATGAGAAGAAAGTCACATTGGTTCAACTGGGATTGTTCTTCCAACAGGTTGACATTTTGAAGCCACTAGGGACAAACCTTTTCACAATTAAAAAATTGTCTTAGCTATACATGAAAACTTTAAGAAAAATGCCAAAAATCCTGCAGAAGAGCTCTCCTTTAGCATAACAAGTGGACTCTGGTTGGGCGTGGTGTCTGACGCCCGTAATCCCAGCACTTTGGGAGGCCAAGTAGGGCGGATCACCTGAGGTCTGGAGTTCGAGACCAGCCTGACCAACATGGAGAAACCCCATCTCTACTAAAAATACGAAAAATTAGCTGGGCATGGTGGCGCATGCCTGTAATCCCAGCTACTCAGGAGGCTGAGGTAGAAGAATCGCTTGAACCCGGGAGGCAGAGGTTGTGGTGAGCCAAGATTGTGCCATTGCACTCAAGCCTGGGCAACAAGAGTAAAACTCTATTTAAAAAAATAAAAATTTTAAAAAAGGGGTGGATTTCACGGATAACAATCATAAAAGCTTTGCTTTGGGCCAGGCGCGGTGGCTCACGCTTGTAATCCCAGCACTTTGGGAGGCCGAGGTGGGCGGATCATGAGGTCAGGAGTTCGAGACTAGCCTGGCCAACACAGTGAAACCCCATCTCTACTAAAAATACAAAAATTAGCTGGGCATGCTGGTGGGTGCCTGTAATCCCAGCTACTCGGGAGGCTGAGGCAGGAGAATCGCTTGAACCCAGGTGGCAGTGGTTGCAGTGAGCCGAGATTGTGCCACTGCACTCCAGCCTGGGCGACAGAGCTAGACTCCATTTAAAAAAAAAAAAAAAAAAAAAAACAACTTTGCTTTGGAAGGAAGTTTCTTTACCAAAAGATTTTCTAGAAGCAACTGTATCTAATTTGTATAAATGGAGTGCTTTTTTTTTTTTTTTTTTTTTTTTTTCCAGACAGAATCTTGCTCTGTTGCCCAGGCTGGAGTGTAGTGGCACAGTCTCCACTCACTGCAACCTCTGCTTCCTGGGTTTAGGAAATTCTCATGCCTCAGCCTCCCAAGAGGCTGGGATCACAGGCATGTGCCACCACACTCAGCAAATTTTTCTATTTTTAGTAGAGATGGGGGTTTCACCATGTTGGCCAGGCTTGTCTCAAACTCCTGACCTCAGGTGATCTGCCCGCCTCGGCCGCCCAGAGTGCTGGGATTACAGGCATGAGCCACAGCATGCAGCCCTCTGGAGTGCATTTTAAATATACAAAGAGAGCTACATCTCTTAAGGAACTTTGTTCTACATCTAATTTATGGGATCTCACTAGCAATCAATTTATAATTCAAGTGTATATGTAGAATTAGTGTTTGCAAACCTTTCTCATTTCTTAGCCCTACTGTAGACACTCAAAAAATCTTTGTCATGTGAATAATTCCTTTAAGCTAACATTTATTAAGCACTTACTATGTGCTAAGCATTTTGCCAAGGGCCTTTAAGTAATCTTATATAATCCTCATGACAATCCCATGAGTTAGGTCTTTTTATCCCTATTTCATAGATAAGGAAACTAAGGTTTGGCTATATTGATTAACTTGTCATGAGTCAACCAGCTCATTGGAATCTGCACCTAGATTTGAATCTAGCAGCTGAACTACAGAATCAAAGTTCTTAACCACTGTTTTTATATTTGCTTTGCATAAAGTGAAAGTATGCTAAATCCCAGGCTTTACATGCCCAAGTGTTACACTGGATTTGTGGTGATTTACTTTGAAATATTAATTATGAGTAATATGAAGTGTGTTAACAAGTTAATCTGACTCAATATTTTGGAGCTGGCTAATTAACATGTGTCCTTATTAAATCAACATATTGATGTTGAATAATTAGTAGAATAATTAGTATAAAAAGTATCTCAAGATTTTAAGGCAGGCTGAGTAGCATAGAAAGAATCAGAGATAATTTTTCTATTGGTAAAATTGCTGCTTAAGGTTAAGTGTTTGATGGAAGAGGAGTAACAGCTACTAGCCCTTAAATGAATAAGACATAAGCCAGTCACTCACTATGCCATAGACACAGCTCTCTACATCTACAGCCTCTTGGCCTGTGTCCACCTCAGAGGGTCTAGCTGCCTAGGCTGAGCACAGGACCTATCAATCTTGTCCAGGACTTTCCTGTGTTGTGCTTTAGAATAAGGCTCCACCCGAGAAGTCAGTTGATATGCTTGAAGATCTAGAGAAGAAAATCTTCCAAGCCAGACATGAACGGCTGTTTGTACCTACTTGCAATCGAAGGCCCATATAAATATATGGCTAATTTTGGTCTGAGACGATGTACATTCTTGTTTAAGTTTGCAGCGGTAGAGACATATAGACTGTTTCCACAAGCTTCTGACTATCAAAAACTATTCAATCATCATCCATTCAAAACTTATTGAGCACTGTCCTAGCTACTGAGGATTCAGCAGCAAACAAAAGAGATAAAATCCCTGCCTTCATGGAGCTCACATTCTGGTTGAAAAAGACAGTTAAGGCCAGGCACGGCGGCTCACACCTGTAATCCCAGCACTTTGGGAGGCTGATGCGGGAGGATCACCTGAGGTCGGGAGTTCGAGACCAGCCTGACCAGCATGGAGAAACCCCATCTCTACTAAAAATACAAAATTAGCCGGGCATGTGGTGTATGCCTGTAATCCCAGCTACTTGGGAGGCTGAGGCAGGAGAATTTCTTGAACCCAGGAGACAGAGGTTGAGCTCAGTGAGCTGAGATCACGTCATTGCACTCCAGCCTGGGCAACAAGAGCGAAACTCCATCTCAAAAAAAAAAGAAAAAGAAAAAAAAAAGAGTTAAATATAGAATGTGTTAGAGAGTGATAAGTGCTATGTAGAAAAACATGGAAAAGGCAACAAGGAAACTGTTCAACTTTCTTTGAGATGGTGAGGGAAGGGCTCTGTGTGAAAGCTACTTTTGAACAAAGATCTGATGGAAATACAATAGTCATTAACTGGAAGCAGGGATTGCATAGCTGCTAATTGGGGTGGGCAGATGGTCACACTAAGATTCTCTTCTTATCAGTCATATATTTAGGGACTAAACAATAGCTTACCCAGTGCACTCAGCAGCTCAGATAACACTCAACCTTCCCTGCTCCCAGGGCCCCAGAGCGTCCCATTAAAGCAAGTCTTATCTATTTAAAGAACCCAATTCCCAGACACAGCCCTTTCTATTGACAATATCTGGGTAAGCAGCAAAATGAAAAGATCTGCCCACAGTTCTTTAGAACATTAGGATGAAGTTATTTACTGTGTTGACTTCAAACCTTTAAAAGAATATAATGATGGCCGGGCACAGTGGCTCACGCCTGTAATCCCTGCACTCTAGGAGTCTGAGGCGGATGGATCAAGAGATCGAGACCACCCTGGCCAACATGGTGAAACCCCGTCTCTACTAAAAATATAAAAATTAGCCGGGCATGGTGGCAGGTGCCTGTAGTCCCAGCTACTCGGGAGGCTGAGGCAGGAGAATCCCTTGAACCCGGGAGGCAGAGGTTGCAGTGAGCCAAGATGGCATCACTGCACTCCAGCCTGGCAACAGAGCAAGACTGCATCTCAAAAAAAAAAAGAAGAATATAATGATATAAATCTAAGTTATACTGTGAGGCACCAAAGCATCATTCCTTATTTTAAGGATTATTTTTCTAAAGTCATTTCATTGAAAGGTAAAAACAAAACAAAACTAAAAAAAACCTGAATGACTGCCATCATATAGCAAAAGCCAAAAGAAAAAAAAAGCAAAACCTTTGTCAACAATAGGCTGCATATAGGATAGTGGTCCCATTAAGATCATAATATTGTATTTTTACTGTACTCTTTCTATATTTAGATACACAAATTTTTACCATTGTGTTACAGCCATCTACCATATTCAGTACAATCATATGCTGTACAGGTTTGTAGCCTAGGAACAATGGGCTTTATCATATAGCCTAGGTGTGCAGTAAATTATACCAACTAGGTTTTTGTAAATACATTCTATGATGTTCACACAATGACAAAATCACCTAAGAACACATTTTTCAGAATATAATCTTGTCATTAAGCAATATATGACTTACTATTTAAGCAACCCACTTTAAGGAAAAAATGCAATTAAAATTTTGCAATTTCTTAGACATGGCTTGTATCAGCATTTGCATGAGGCTTAATCAAAGACATATGCCAATTCTGATAGCCCTTGCGAAAGAAGGAATTTAAGCTCTAACGTGCATATTCAGTGTTTCTTAAAATCTGATTGTGAGAAAGCAACATTGGCTTTTCAGCTGTAATTGAATTTCAGCCTAAAGAGGTCATTCTTGGTCAGAGGATTTCTCCATATTCACCCACACACCCAGAGCATTCATACATAAGGCTTAATAGCCATGCATACCTCTGCGGTCAAATACAAAACTGCTGATTTTCTCCTAAAGAGAATTCAGATGCTGATGCTTAGCAGAGAGTAGAAAGATAAAAAACCATGATGCAGTTTGAACTTTTCTTCCTGCTTTGTACTTGATTAAAAAAAAAAAATCATGATGTCCTTGAGGAAAATGAAGCTACACAATCCACAGTACATCAAACTTTCCTTAAATAGAAAACTACCACCTTGTGTATTTCGTCAAATTAGTCTTATTTGAAATTTAGGCCAGGCACAGTGGCTCATGCCTATAAATCCCAGCACTTTGGGAGGCCGAGGCAGGTGGATCACAAAGTCAGGAGTTTGACACCAGCCTGGCCAACATGATGAAACCTCGTCTCTACTAAAAATACAAAAATTAGCCAGGTGTGGTGGTGGGTGCCTGTAATCCCAGCAACTCGGGAGGCTGAGGCAGGAGAATCGCTTAAACTTAGGAGGCAGAGGTTGCAATGAGCCGAGATCACACCATTGCACTCCAACCTGGCAACAAGAGCAAAACTCTGTCTCAAAAAAAAAAAAAAAAAGAAAGAAATTTAGATTACAAATTTACAGAGCAGGGGAAACAGTGTTACATGATATTCATACTAGTCATCCGGAAAAGAGATTCTATTATATTCAGTAGACTCTGCTGTAGTATAACATGGATGCAAATAATACGTTTAGAAATGTTTTAAAAATTACTATTTTTTTAAAGTTAGCTTTAATTTATCTATGCAAATTAGGTACATGGACAGTTTGCCGCCTATCAGTGATTAATAAACTAACTAGCAAGTCTAGATGGTTATGACAAAGCATTGCAGAATATCTTCTTAGACTAGAAATATAAATTTCAATCTAATCTCAAGTCTAACTACATAAGCAATTGACATATGCTCCAAAACTGGGCCAAATTCACAACAGAAGCATAATCTCCTCAGCTGGTAGCATTCACAGTTTTCTTATGCTTTAATTTTCAACTTTGTGATCTACAGGTTTCCTTTTGCCACACAAAATTTAGATATATTAATTAATATAAATTAATAATTACTAAATTGTATAATTTCTTAAAATCAGGATTCAGGGTTTATATCTACTCAGTATGTTTATCATACCACTTTAAAAAAAAGTGACATCCTTTGGCCATCATACTAATTAAATAAACAAATACATATCTGTATATTTTGTTAAGAGTAGCCTAAAAGTAAATGGTTTGGCTAATCAAGAGAAAGCCCACCACTTTATTTTCTGACTTTGTTACTGAAAGTTAAGAGAGAGAGAGAGAGACAGAGGCTGCGTGCAGTGGCTCACACCTGTAATCACAGCACTTTGGAAGGCCGAGGTGGGCAGATAACCTGAGGCCAGGATTTCAGGACCAGCCTGGCCAACATGGCAAAACCCCATCTCTACTGAAAATACAAAAGTGAGCCAGGCATAGTGGCCCATGCCTGTGATCCCAGCTACCCAGGAAGCTGAGACAGAAGAACCGCTTGAAGCTGGGAGGTGGAGGTTGTAGTGAACCGAGATCACGCCACTGCATTCCAGCCTGGGAGACAGAGTGAGACTCCATCTCAAAAAAAAAATTAAAAAAGAAAAGTGTGCATATATATATATATATATATATATATATATATATATATATATACGCAAAGTCATTCATATAATTTCACTTACTCAACACTTATTTAGATCCATCGTGAACCTAACACACTGCTTCATGTTAAAGATAGTTTTCTACTCCTAAGGAGCTTATAATGAGGAAAAGAGGAAAGTAAACAATTGCAATTGCATGGTGTAAGTGCTACAATTATTCCTCAAATAGAGGGGAAAGAGCCAGCCAGCAACCATATCTGAGAGGATGAACCAGAAGGCTCCAGAAGTCCCCAACTTGAAATAGCAACTCTACAGTCTTCAGTGTTACCGTCTCTTGCCCAAGGCATCTTTCTCTCTCTCAGGGGAAGACTTTCTAGTCAGTAAGCCCCTGGCTAAACTGGAAAGAACTGGAATTTTTATTCCTAAGACTCAGCTTATAGGTGCCCAATCATCATACAATGTAGGCTGCTTCAATCCCACCCCTTTTGCAGGTGGGAGCACAGGTGTGGCCTTTTCGATAGCCAACTGCTTGATTAAGGAGATTCCATCCTAGCAGGCTTGCTGTTGAGAGGTTTCAGTAAAATCTATGTCTTTCTTCTTAGGAGGGAACAAAATTCACCAACCAAGCTGAATATAGGAAAAACCAACTGTGTTTCTCTTCTATACTCCCACACTCAGCACTTCAGTGAGCAGAGGTGTCAAGTTTTTTCCTTTCACCAACCAATTCTCCAACACCAGCTGGGTGTCCTACAATTCAATTGAATTCCGATACCAACCAGGTTTAGCACAGACCCCACAGTTTAGGGGCTCACTCCCACAAGACTGCCCTGCACTTCAGATGCCAATCACAAGTAGTAGGGCCTTAGGTTATCCACACTTCTGTCCGACTTGGCTACAAATCAGAGGTTCCCACAAACCATCCTCAGGTTCAATAATTTGCTGGAGTGTATCACAGAACCCAGGAAAGCAATGTATGTACTACTGTCGATTTATTACAAAAGGTATTTTAAAGGACACAAATAACCAGATGGAGAGGTACATAGGGTGAGCTCCAGAAGAGTCCCAAGCTTCTGTCCCTGTGGAGTTACAGGGCTCCACCCTCCCAGCACGTGGATGTGCTCAGCAACCCGGAAGCTCCCGGAACCTCATAGTTCATGGAATTGTATAGAGGCTTCATCACGTAGTCATGTTCTATTATTAACTCGATCTCCAGCCCTCTCCCCTTCCCAGAGGGTGGGGGTGGAGCTGAAAGTTCAAGGCTTCTAATTGTGGCGGACTCTTTCCGGTGACCAGCCCTTATCCAGAAGGGCACCAAGAGTTATCATAGGAGAACAAACGATGCTCCTATCACCCAGAAAATTCCCAGGAATTCACCACTATGTCAGAAACAAGAGTCAAAACCAAATATTAGAACAGAAGATGTACCCAGCACCCTTACTGCCCATGAAATTACAAGGGTTTTAGGAGCTCTGCCTCTGGCAGAGGCCATATATATATTTAAATTATATCACATATGCAAATTTCATATTTTAGCATTTATTTGCACATATCAAAGTGCAAGTGCATTAAATGATGGTTTTCCAAGTTTGCTGCACAAAATCACTTCAAATCAAACTATTAGAAAAAGAAAAACTTCAGAATGAACAATAATAATTTCTTCATAGCCTTCATTTCTTTCATCTATGGCTCTTCAAACACATGACAGCAGGTGATTTTCACGGATCCCCAGGAGGAACAGAGGAATTGTAACCAGCAAGAACTTAAATCATTCCCCTCAATCTAAAAAACAATTCTGCAGCATTCCTCAACTTTCAGGACTTCCCCTAGGATCACCTCACTTCCCTGTTGGAATCATGACTTCAAATTGAGCAAGGTTAGATGAATGCCAAATGAAGCCCCACTGCTATGGATGTAATTGCAAAAAGAAAGCACCACAGAGAAGTTCACCCAACTGAGTGCAGCCACTTAAGAGAAAGTAATTCCAATCACCTCCACAACTCAGATGGCAACAGCTCAGTCATCCACTCAAGGAGCTGAAATTATACAAGGCTTCCCTAGTGGGATTCTATAATGACTTTTTGGTAGTGCTCCATGTAAATTACAGATATGAAAATACAGCTCCCCAAATAACATGACTTTCTTTTGCAAACAGACTAGATTTTTCTTAAGAGTAAAATAAGTTTTCGTCCTTTGAAATTTGCATTACATAGTTCTAAACAAAATGGTAACTGTCATTGCATTTATTTGCTTACACATAAAAATGTACCCAGGAATATACCTTTAATTCAAAACAATTATATGCCACATAGCTGAATTTGGGTTCTATTACCATTATTGAACAATAGCAACCATTTAATGGGTACTTACTATGTGACAGACGCTGAGTTAATTACTTTACTTCCATTATCTCAATTATCCTAACCCATCAGCACCACCAGTATCTCCACATGTAATACAAAATAGAGCCAGGATTCAAATTTACATCAGCTGTATTCCAACTCCCTTGCTTTAGACTTGGGGATTACTTTCTGAAAAGGGCAGAATCCGAAAGCTTGCTCGTTACATCTCTTCTTTTGTCCAGAGTACATCACTTTAATGTAATATAACATTACAACCTTTTATTTTCATTTCTTAACTCTGCCTGCAGTTAATTCTCTGTTCTAGTAACTTTTTTTTTTTTTTTTTTAGAGAGACAAGGTCTTTCTCCCAGGTGCAATCACAGCTCACTGCAACCTTGAACTTCAAGGCTGAAGTGCTCCTCCCAGCTCAGCCTTCCAAGTAGCTGGGACTACAGGTACGCACCACCATGCCTGGCTTTTTTTTTTTTTTTTTGAGACGGAGTCTCACTCTGTCCCCCAGGCTGGAGATCAGTGGCGCGATCTCGGCTCATTGCAAGCTCCGCCTCCCGGGTTCGCGCCATTCTCCTGCCACAGCCTCCTGAGTAGCTGGGACTACAGGCGCCCGCCACCATGCCCGGCTAATTTTTTGGTATTTTTACAGAGGGGGTTTCACTGTGTTAGCCAGGATGGTCTCGATCTCCTGACTTCGTGATCCGCCCACATCGGCCTCCCAAAGTGCTGCGATTCCAGGCGTGAGCCACTGCGCCCGGGCCACCTGGCTTTTTTTTATTATTATTTTTGTTTTTTTAAATTTTTGGTAGATACAGTTGCCCGCTCAAACTCTTGGCCTCAAATGATCCTCCTGCCTCAGCTCCGAAAAGTGCTGGAATTACAGGCGTGATTCTCCATGCCTAGCCGTAATTCTTAAGTCATGAATAATTCACCAAGATTTTGGTCACGGCTGGGCGCGGTGGCTCACGCCTGTAATCCCAGCACTTTGGAAGGCCGAGGTGGGCAGATCACAAGGTCAGGAGTTCAAGACCAGCCTGACCAACATGGTGAAACCCCATCTCTACTAAAAATACAAAAATTAGCTGGGCGTGGTGGTGTGCGCCTGTAATCCCAGCTACTCGGGAGGCTGAGGCAGGAGAATTGCTTGAACCTAGGAGGCAGAGGTTGCAGTGAGCTTAGATCACACCGCTGCATTCCGGCCTGGCTACAGAGCAAGACTCTGTCTCCAAAAAAAAAAAAAGGAAAAATATTTAAAAGCAATAAAATGGGCGCATAAGGGAGCAAATAGAATTATATAAAATCCAAAAACACCAGGAGATTAAATAACTTACTTCAAAAGGACATACAGGTCGTAGAAATCTCCAAAGAAATTTAAAAATATTTTGAGCTAAATAAAAATAAAACTTATAAAAATTTTGGGGTGTAACAAAAGCAGTGTTTAGAGGGAACTATTTAGCAATAAATGCATATAGTAGAAAAGCAGAAAGGTCTAAAAGCATTAATTAAGCTTCTGCCTTAAGAAACTAGAGAAAGAAGAGCAATATAATGCTAAAGCAAGCAGCAAAAAAATAAAAAAAAAGAAATAAAAAGTAGGGCACAAACCAATAAAATTGAAAATGGAAAATTAACAGAGGAAAAAAAAATCAATGAAACCAAAAGCTGGTTCCTTGAAAAGATTGATAAAATTAATAAACCTCTAGCTAGGCTAACCAAGAAAAAAAAAATAGTAAAGACCCAAATATCGGAAATGAAATCAGGGTTATCACTACTAATCCCCCTGGGTACTGAAATGATAATAAAGAAATACTATAAACAACTCTATGCCTACAATATGAAAACTTAGATGAAACTGAACCAATACCTTGAAAGATACAAACTTTCAAAATTCACCCAAGTAGATAATCTGAATACATCTTTATCTTTAAAAATAATAATAATAACTAAAAACCTCCCGAAAAAGAAAGCACTAGGTGCATACAGTCTCACTGGGAATTCTACCAAACATTTAAAGAAAAAATTAAACCAATTCTCCACGAGTTCTTACAGAAATAGAAGTAAAAATAATGCTTGCTAACTCATTCTATGAGAACAGTATTACCCTAACAACGAAACCAGATAAAGACATGACAAAAAAGGAAAACTACAGACCAATATCTCCCACGAACATAGAAATAAAACTCCTCAACAAAATACTAGCAAATCGAATCTAAGAACTGTTTAAAAAATTACCCCCCACCAAGTGAGATTTATTATAGGTATGCAAGGCTGACAGAACATTCTAAAATCAATTAATGTAGCCCATAATATCAACAAGCTAAAGAAGAAAAATCTTAAGATCATATCAATAAATGCAGAAAGAGCATTTGAGATAAATATATACAAGTTTCATTGTCAATTAAAATTAAAAAGTTAAAAGAGTTTGAAAAACATTTAACAAAATCCAACACCAATTCATAATAAAAACTCTCAGCAAATTAGGAAGATTGACAGGAAGTTCCTCAATTTGATAAAGATGATCTACCAAAAACCTACAGCTAATGTCATATTGAATAGTGAGAAACTAGATGCTTTCTCCATAAGATTGGGAACAAGACAATGATATCCCTCTCACCACTCAAATCCAGCATCATACTAAAAATCCTAGCTAATATAAACAAGAAAAGGATATAAAGAAATACAAATTGTGAAGAAAAAAAAAGTTTTTGTTTACAGATGACAAGACTGTACATGTTGAAGATCCTAAAGAATCAACAAAAATATTCCTGGAACTAACAGCAAGGTTTCAGGATACAAAGCTAATATATAAAAGTCAATGTCTTTCCTATATCAGAAATGAAAAGGTGGAATTTGAAATTTAAAACTCAACATCATTTACATTTCACCATAAAGAAAAAAAAAGAAATACTTAGGTTTAAATCTAACAAAATATATCTAAGATCTATATGAGGAAACCTCTGATGAAAGAAAATTTTTAAAGATTTAAATAAATGGAGAGATATTCTATGTTTCTAGATAGGAAGACTTAATGTTGTCAAGGTGTCAGTTCTTCCCAACTTGATCTATAGATTGAATGCAATCCCAATCAAAATCCCAGCAAGCAGTTTTATAAATATCAACAAAGCTGATTCTGGAGTTTACTGAAAGGCGAAGGATGCAGAGTAAGCAACAGTATTGAAGAAGAATAAAGTCAGAGGACGGGCATCACCTGACTTCAAGACTCACCATAAATCTAAAGTACTCAAGATTGTGTGATATTGGTAAAAGAATAGAAAAATAGACCAACAGAATAAAATAGCCCAGAAATAGACCCATAACTGATCTTCGACAAAGGAGCAAATAAAATATAATAATGCAAAGACAGTCTTTTAAACAAATGATGCTGGAACAACACGACATCCACAAGCAAAATAATAAATCTAGATATAGACTTCACACCCTTTACAAAAGTGAACTCGAAATGGATCACCGATCTAAATGTAAACACAAAACCATAATACTCCTAACAAGATAACCTAGTATTATTATAAAATCTAGAAAACTTTGGTTTGGCAAACCCAAAGTTAGATATAACACCAAAAGTATGATCCAAAGAAAAAACTGGTAAGTTGCACTTCATTAACATTGAAAATGTCTGTTCTGTGAAAGAAACTGTTGGGAGAATAAAAAGCTGTAGACTGGAAGTAAAGCTTTGCAAAACATATGACGTAAACGTTAAATACACACAATAAAATTTGCGCGGTGGCTTGCGCCTGTAATCCCAGCATTTTAGGAGGCCAAGGCGGGCGCATCACCTGAGTTCAGGAGTTCGAGACTAGCCTGGCCAACATGGTGAAACCCGTCTCTACTAAAAATACAAAATTACCCAGGCATGGTGGTGCATGCCTGTAATCCCAGCTACTCGGGAGGCTGAGGCAGGAGAATCACTTGAACCTGGGAGGTGCAGGTTGTAGTGAGCCAATCGTGCCACTGCACTCCAGCCTGGGCAACAGAGCGAGACTCTGTCTCAAAAAAAAAAAAAAAAAGTAATAAATTTTTTTTAAAACTTTGCAAAACACATATCTGATGAAGGACTTATATCCAAAATATACAAAGGACTAGTAACATTCAAGAATAAGAAAAACAACAACCCAGATATAAAAAAGGCAAAAGATCTGAACAGACAACTCACCAAAGAATACATAAGGATGGCAAAACAGCGAATGTAAAGATGCTCAATGTTATATGTCATTAGGAAGGTGCAAATAAAACAACTATGAAATACTACTATTTACCCATTAGAAGCACTAAAATCCAAAACACTGACAGCACCATATACTGGCAAGGATATACAGCAACAGGAACTCTTACTCATTGCTTATGGAAATGCAAAATGGTACAGCCACTTTGGAAAAGTTTGGCAGTTTCTTACAAAGCTAAACATACTCTTATAATATGATCCAGCAACCATACTCCTCAGTACTAACCAAAATGAGTTGAAAACATTATGTCCAAACAAAATCTGCTCACAAATTTTTATAACAGCTTTATTCAATATTGCCAAAACTTGGAAGCAACCAAAATGACCTTCAATAAGTGAATGGATAAGCAAACTGGTGTACATCCATATAACATCATATCATTCAGCAATAAAAATGAATAAGCTGGCCAGGCATGGTGGCTCATGCCTGTAATTCCAGCACTTTGAGGGGCCAAGGTGGGCAGATCACCTGAGGTCAGGAGCTCGAGACCACCCTGACCTACATGGTGAAACCTTGTCCCTACTAAAAATACAAAAAATTAGCTGGGCGTGGCGGCGGGTGCCTGTAATCCCAGCTACTCAAGAGGCTGAGGCAGAAGAATTGCTTGAACCCGGGAGGCAGAGGTTGCAGTGAGCCAAGATCACGACACTGCACTCCAGGCTGGGTGACAGAACAAGACTCCGCCTCCAAAAAAAAAAGAAAAGAAAAGAAATAAGCTATCAAGTCATGGAATATGCATTTAAGATGGAAGAATCTTAAATGCATATTGCTAAGTGAAAGAAGTCAGTATGAAAGGGCTATACATTGCATGATTCCAACTGTATGACATTCTGGGAAAGGCAAAACGATAGAAGCAGTTTAAAACAAAACAAAATATCAGTGGTTGCCCTGGGTTAGGTGAGAAAAGCACGGGAGAGTTGTTAGGAGAAGAACAAGGGAATTGAAGGGTTATAAAACTATTCTACATGGGACTGCAAAGGTAGATACATGACATTGTGCATTTGCCAAAACCCATCCAGTTGTAGAACACAGAGTGAACCTCAGTGTAATCTCTTGACTTTAGTTAAGAATAATGTATCAATATTGGTTCATTTATTTTAACAAATGTACCACACTAATGCGAGATGTTAATAGGGGAAACTTGACTTCATATGTGTATGGGGGCAGGGAAGAGGTGGGTAATATTGTAATTCTGTATTATCTGCTCAGTTAAAAAAAAAAACTTAAAAAAATTCTGTATAACTATAGAATCTAAATAAGTAAATGGAAGTTCACCATATTATTCTATTTTTAAACCTCAGTGAGAAGTATATGGTAGTTCTTTTTAATATTCATTTTTGAGTACGTTTGAAAATGTTCATGGTAAAAACAGTTAAATTTTTTAAGAAAATAAAAGCCTAATAAGGACCATGTATATATGTATATTTTAAACTTTTAAAAGCAATATGTGTTCAATGAATATTACATGTCAATGTTAGGCTCTCAAAAAAAAAAGGTTATCTCAACCAATACAGTCATATACAATTAACGTTAAATATCCTCATTTTAAGTTCTTGGGGTTTTTTGTTGTGGTGTTTTCGTTTTCAAAATACTCTTGAAGACACTGAATCTAGCCATATTTTCACTTTTATATGACTGGACTTTTTTATCTTGGGCCTTTTTCCCCCATGAGAACAAAACCAGTTGTTATTATTAAATATTATTATTGTATAAACAGTACTGAAACATTAGAGAAAGTTTGGAAAATAGGACAGAAATAATTATATTCCCACCATCAGGGCAGTCATTTGTATGAATTCTTTTCCCATTTTTTTCCAACATTATCAACAATCATTCATAGGAACAACTTACATATGGAATCCCACCTTAAACTTTTTGCTTTAGGTTTTAAACAAAATAATCCATTTAATTCTGCCAGATCATCCAGTTTCTGGGCAATCAGTAAAAGGCTGCTGAATTGAATTAAGGAGTGACTTACTGGATTTTCCCATCTCACATACACCAGGCCATCTACGTGAATAACCACCACGGTGTGCCTTCTGGGGCAAGTTTCAGCACCAGCAGATTCTCTATTTAGGAAAACCTAATTATCTAGCCTATAATCTAACCTAGTGATCTAGCTCCAAAGCAACAATGGTAAAAGCTACAAATGTTGACTACGGTGCCAGATCAACTAGGACATGATGACTCAGCCAATAGCAGGAATTTGGCACCAGCCACATTCAGCAGGGGAGGCAAGGTTGGGGGTGAAACTACAGCCTGGAAAACTGCCTAGGATACAGAAGTAGTAAATAGCCTTGCTGCTAAGCACTCTCTGCTGCTTCTTCTCTCTTTTCAAGCACACTTCTCTATGAATGTGTGAAGGGGCTTCATTTTTCTTCCATGTAAAACAACAGGCTCAGGATGTGCAATATCTGAAAGACAGGAAGAGCCGGTATAGCCAAGAGTATCCTTTTGCTGCTCATTTTACCACCTGTCATTTTGAACCTGCACACACAACACACACACACACAATAAAAGAAAAAAAGGAAAGAGAGAGGCAGAGATATGGGTGAGGTCACCTGTGAGTTAGTGAGTAGATACCAGAACCTGGATGCAAATGTGTTTGCATCACAAATCTGACCTCCAGCTTGCTGCCAAGTGCAGGCAGACAACAAGCTAAGGAAAATGCTAATAAGTAGCCCACAGAAGGCCAGCTGCTGGCTCCTACCGGACTTGATCACTTAAGGTCCTCTGAATCCATCTGTTTGTTTGCCTAGAGCTTTTCCCCTTGCTGCCATGGAGACTGATGTTAAATAATTATCATGGCCAAAACTTCCAACAGAGCTCAAAGTAGATACATCCTCCTGTTACAGTCTTAATCTGCAGTAAAATCCTCACCTAACTTGAAAGTTATCAATTAATATTCAGTTGTTTTCTCCTATTATTTGACTGGCCAATATTTCAGCAAAAAGAAAAAGACAGTATCTAGTGGTGAATGAAGAATTAGGAAGCAAGAAATGTGAATTCGTTTAGCTGTGCCTGACATTTTTAAATTTATCTACCACTAAATGCTCTTATTCTAAGTTTTTCAATTAGTCCAATGTTCTTTCCAATATTTTCCCAGTAATCTATTTTCTTTGAAGGATGATTGGTTCTTCCAATCTATTAAGGAATTGTATTCAATAAGGTACATAAATCATGAGGTATAGTGAAGCATCACAACCTTCTCTTCCTTTCTCCATCACAAATACCATTCATTAGAGAATACTTTAAAGCTTGAATAAAATAATATGAAATCTATCAAATGCAATACATATTTAAATAAGTCACGTTAAATAAAGTACTGAACCATTACATAAACAAGAAACTAATTTACATGATAATTTACTCAATATAGGATTCACTTTTTTAGTAATCTGTGCATTTAATATACATGAAGGGAGAAATTACTATGTGAGAAATTAGTCTAAGTGAGAATTTACTCTGTGAGAATTAGTAAAAAATTACTATGCACCACATGGTAGATGATTCCAGTTTAATTAAATTCTTGTTCAGAAATACACTTTTATTTTACCATTTGAAATCCATTTCCCTACCTATATGTAACTTTAATTTTTCTATTCGTGGTGTGTTTGAGTCCTTGTCCAATTTATTTATCTTCAAACTTTGCAGGTTGGCATTTTGCTGTTTCAAATTTGTTTATCTGAGTAAATCTTCCTTTTTTCTGACAACCAAGCTATACTCCTCCAAAAGTCTGAAATATTCTTAATAGAACAAAATTAAAAGACATGGTTTATGTCAAAGGCATGCATTTGCACAGAAAATATCTGCTTTCATGAACTAAATAAATTCTTTCTTGACCTTAGTATCAGATGCTAGATCCAGTGGCTATGACCACCTTCAAGAGCTATTCACAATGGGGCTGGCCAAGTTCTACCTTGAAGGGCCTCATAAGACCTATAAAATGTGTCTCATGCCACAAACACTGTGACCTCCAAACCATCTCTCTTCTCCAAGTGATCTGTCCCACATACCTTTGGAATAAAAAGTGAATCAGGCTTCACTATATACATGCTAGAGACACACACCTGAACTCATAAGATAATGTACCTCAATTTTTTATTTTGACCATGACTCGCAGTAATAACTACATTTTCAAATCTGATATTGTATCCTCATGCATGTGTACTTATAAAACAGAAACAAGTTTCATTAAACAGCATTTGCCTTTAATACACTGAATACACTACGGTGTCTTTTTTTTTTTTTTTTAAGGCAGAGTCTCGCTCTGTTGCCCAGGCTGGAGGCAACAGTCCACTGCAGCTCACTGCAACCTCCGCCTCCTGGGTTCAAGCCATTCTCCTGCCTCAGCCTCCCGAGTAGCTGGGATGACAGGTGTGTGCCACCACGTCCTGTTAATTTTTGTATTTACAGTACAGGCAGGGTTTCACCATGTTGGCCAGGCTGGTCTCGAACTCCTGACCTCTATTGATCTGCCAACCTCAGCCTCCCAAAGTGCTGGAATTATATATGGAATCTTTTTTTTTTTTTTTTTTTTTGAGACGGAGTCTCGCTCTGTCGCCCAGGCTAGAGTGCAGTGGCACAATCTCGGCTCACTACCAGCTCCACCTCCCGGGTTCATGCCATTCTCCTGCCTCAGCCTCCTGAGTAGCTGGGATTACAGGCGCCCGCCACCACGTCCAGCTAATTTTTTGTATTTTTAGTAGAGACGGGGTTTCACTGTGTTAGCCAGGATGATCTTAATCTCCTGACCTTGTGATCCGCCCGCCTCGGCCTCCCAAAGTGCTGGGATTACAGGCATGAGCCACCGCGCCCGGCCTATATATGGTATCTTTTTTACTCAATTTTTTTTCTAATAGTAGTTCAACTTACTACATTGATTTCACCAACCCTCTAGGGTCACAAACCACTGTTTGAAAACCACTGGAACATTTGAATATATAATATCCTACGTGAGAGAACCTGAGTGCCAGGACAGAATACTCAGGCCAGTTCATGCAGAGTAAATACTAAATCCACATCAAGTTTGAATTATCACTCCTTCCCTTCTTGCATGAAACAAAACCAAGACTGCTTCTCCGTGGTTTCCTTTTTTGAATTTATCCTCTACGTAACCAGAGCCATCCTCAGATGATAAATGTTTAGTGATGTGTGTTATTCAACAGATGTCTAAGCTGTTGAAATCCCCTATGAATACTTAATTCTGTAGCTTTAAGTATCTCAAGAGCTCATCCTGGAATTTTCCTCTCTGGCCCTCCTTCAGTCAAGGGGCTCTGAATTGATACCCAAGGTCTTTGCTTATTTATTATTTATTTTTGCTCCACCCAATGCATTCATTCTCCAAATAACCTAAAGATAGTTTTTAATTTAAAGGGGGTCAGAGGTTCCTATCCTTCCTAAAATCTCTCACAAGACTTATCCTACAAAAAAATATTTTTAATTAATTTCTTTTTTGCAGACTTGCCTACCAACAAAATAAAACTACTGAAATTTATATTTTTAGCATATTTTTACGGTGAAATTCAAGTCATTTTCTAATAATACTGTCGTCCTCCTAAGAAACATGCTTTTACCCTATACGATATAAAACCACAAAAATACAGTTGTATTTCACACAATAAACATACAAGTGAGTCCAGAGAAAGAACTGATGCTTCAGAAATTGACAATCAGTAAATTTACTAACTAGAAAACTATTGGTTCGTTTTCTGAAGTACTCAATTTCATTATCTTCATTAATTACCAACAGCATTTGTTTGACACGGAATCCACTGGTTGTTTTGTTTTTTGGTTTTAACTTATAATTAAATTCTCGTGTTTCAATTATCTAAGCTTAAAAACGTCCTTCACAGTGAACCACAAGCAGGTCTTAAAATGTGCAGTGGTATGTGCTGCATTGCTGTCATGGCCTGTACTCAACACATGATGATTCTGCACCCCCAAGGACCCAGCACAATTCAAGGGGCAGAAACCACAGTGAATCAAATATAGGATAGGCAAAAGTCCCCATGAAGCTTACGGGATAGTTTAGGCTAACTTTCAAAACTAACAGTACGTGTTTCCCAGGTCTCCCCTCGTTTCTCATTTGTTAACTGCTATCATTTTAAAAATATACCAATTTGTCAGCCCTGTTATGAAGATTATTCATTTCTGCTTCAGTGCTGTCCCTGCTGCCCTGTACTGCCAGACTGTCTTCCTACACCAATCCCATCAGTAGATATCTCCCTCGAAGACACGCTGACTGCAGTTCCTCCAATGACTTCTCAACCATCTGAAACCATCCACGTTAGTTCTTTTCACATATCTGTATTATGTTTCGTTGTAAGCTTCCTAAGAATATAAATCATTGCTTCCTCACTCTTTTATAAGGCCCCTAATGTGAAGTAGAATACAGTGCACCAGTATCAATCCCTGAGAGGGGATTACCACACACCAATATCAATCTCAGAGGAGGATTCTAAATACCTCGCCAATACTATGCACCAGTATCACTCTCAGAGGAGGACTCTAAAGCCCTCATGAATGTCTACTAAAGTCTATCACTGACAGGAGGTTTTTACACAAGCTCAGTTTTGCACATACGCCAAGGATGAGTCTTGTGAGACAGAACACTGTCACATCAAGTTAAGCAAAGCAACTTTATTACTCACAGACAGGCAACAAGAAGCAAGAGAAGCCTAAAATCCATGGCAAGCCAGTCCCCAAGTGTCAGGAAAGCTGCCTGGGAGAAATGAAGTCTTTTCTGTGCATGCCCCACATCAAACTGCAGCTGAAACTATTCCACTCTAGGTTTTATACTCCAGGGGATACTAGATTCACTGGGTTAAACCATTGCAGGACATCCTGTTCTACAAAGGACAAGGACAAAGTCTGGGCTGTTCTGGATAGTTCCTAAGAAGTTAACTAGAACAGGAAATGAATGCGTAGGGAGATCTCCCTCAAAGGCAGAATACTTCTTCCACCAAGTTTTAAGTTTTCTCCCAGCCCTACATATTTAAGGACAGAAAGTTACCCTTATTCCCCAACTGCAGACAAAAGCTAAAAAACTACACAAGGGTATAATTAATTTGAGATACAAAGTAAACCTGGTTTAAATAAACTTTTTTTTTTTTTTTTTTTTTTTTTTGAGATAGGGTTTCACTGCATCGCCCAGCCTGCGGTGAAGTGGTGCAATCACAGCTCACTGCAGCCTTGACTTTCTCAGGCTCAGGTGATCCTCCCACCTCAGGCTCCTGAGTAGTTGTGTCTACAGGTGTGCACCACTATGCCCAGCTAATTTTTGTATTGTTTTTGTAGAGAGAGGGTTTCGCCATGCTGCCCAGGCTGGTCTTGAACTCCTCGGCTCTCGAACTCCTAGGCTGAAATGATCTACTCACTTCAGCCTCCAAAAGTGCTGGGATTATAGGCGTTACCACTGTGCCTGGCTAAATAAGAATTCTTTAGGTCTATCTGTTGTAGTTTAACCTGATGAAAGAGAATTGGAAAAGCCTGACCAAAAAGAATCTGAAAAGCCTAGCCAGATATCTCTACGCTAACTGATGTCTACTACCTCTCCATCAGGTCCAAGAACTAAAAACTATCCCGAGATGTTAGAGGGCTGGCTGTCACATGTGCTCAACAAAATTCTTTTCACACTGGAATTTCGGAAGTCCTTTCCCATTGGTTGTAGAAGAAAGATGAGGCATCCCATCAGCTCTGGAAGTTAGGGTTAGTGGGAATGGCTGCTTCCAACAGCACTGAAGTATCTCAAATACACACACACACACACACACACACACACACACAAATTTTTATGTTTTACATGTAAGTGAACCTAAAATTCAATTCCCTGTTAGCCCTTTGAAATGTTTTTATAAAGTTTAGTAGAATTAGGAATATGAAATGTCATTAACAATAACCTTTTCACATTGCAACATTTAAGAATTGACTTGACAGGTAAATACATTTTAGTCCTCTTTAAACAAATCATTTCATAGTCTTTAGATCATATAAAAGCTCTGCTAAAAAGATTTTCACAAAAACAGGATTTCAGAAATTTTTGCATCATTCTGCCCATTACGGTTTACTCATGATTTAAATAACAGAAACTGCAGGATACTGATACCATATTACAAAACCATACCTATTCAGAGTGGCCAGACAGAGCCCAGTGGCCAAAATTCTTGCCTTAAATTATTTTTTTTCTTTTTAATTCAGCAAAAGAACAGAAGAGATGATTGTGGCATAACAATTTTGTAAGAAAGGATGACTGATAAATACAGTAAAATTCAATCCACATTAGAAATACAAACATATGGATCACCAAAGTAAACAAAATGCAACGAATTTGCTCAAATATAAGCTTGATCCGAGAAGGCAATGAATACAGCAGGCCACATAAGAGTAATAATTCCAAAAAAACAAATTTCTGCAGATCCCCTAAAGAAATCTCTAAAGGATAGCCAATAACAATGTTTTATTATACCAAATTCCTTTTGGGTAAATACCTTAAAATTTCCATGTATTTTTTAGCAGAAATTAAAGAGAAACCAAATTATTTTTTTTACTCGGTCATTTATTTTAGCTTAAGTATGTCCCTCCCTAGCATGATGCTTAATCCACATTAGGTGACTAATAATTAGCTGAAAAATGAATTAATTTAATTATCACAATAAACCTGTGTGGCAAAGATAGTTATCCCATATTTAAAATAGAGGAAACAGCCTCAGAGAGCGCTAAGAACTTGCCCAAGGTTGTAGGTTGTACAGAGGATCAGAGGATCCATTCCCAGGTTGGTCTAATCAATGGCAGATCTTACAAGACTGTAGCAGTTTGTTTCATGATTTCCAAGTCTCAAATTTTCTCCTTTCAACTTTGACCCATCTGCCTCAATATCTGTGACTTCAAAGACAATAAGGACATATTTTCCTATGAGGGACTGTCACAGGAATGAGATTTGTTTCTAATAGTATATAAAACATTACAAAAGATATTAAACTCACTATAGGTTCTCTACTTAAACCTGTGCCAGAAATGTATTCTCAATAATCTTAAAACCTAAATCTGTTTTCCAGGAGAACACTTATGGTTGTTAATACTAGTTATGTCTTAATGGGAACACCTGGTATAATTAATTTGTCCACAAAAACCACGTGCTTACCACAACCAAGTAAGACAACCCAGACTTGGATATGTATATTTTATGATATTTTCGATATGTCATTTCTAAAGGAATGAAAAGAGGCACTGCTCAAAGATAATTGGATAAAAGGAGAGAAAGCAAATTAAATAGCCAGACATTGGAGGTAGGAAGGCAGGTAGAGAAAGGTTGTGAAGACTAAAAACTAAGGAAGTTGCTAGCAAATTATTTACAGAGTACTGTTCATGGATTGAAAAAAAATGTAGTTAAAGAGTAAAGACTTTAAAAAGACTGTATCTATTCCAGCTTCTACCTGATCAATTCTCAGTAACTGGCGGGAGCTTCAGAACTCATTAACTCCTTCCCTCACCCTCACACAAACACACGCACATGCATACTGAAAACCCACGTGCACTCTGGAGAATTACACCTGCAAAGCTCAGATAGAAGGACAACCAGGAGGTCCCTCCCTCCCACCACCTGCCACTCAGTTCTCATTAACTTCCCTTATCCCACTTCTGGGGGGAGAAGGGGGGAGGAAGAAAAATATCTTTAATATCACCACCCTGATACATTTTGCACACCGCATTTCTTTCTGCTATATTTTACTAATTTTTTTCACAGGCAATTTTTTTCATATAATAACAGTAGCATGTAACAATTCTGTACTTCGCTTTTCTCTTAGATTTATATCAGAAGAGTTATATTTAATTGTCTAGATAACTAATTTGGTAAACTTTATTAGCAATCACTTAAGTCATTTCTAATTATTTTCTATTATAAGTAAATTCTAATTATTTATACAGGTTAAAAGCACAGTTCCCAAACTGCATGCAATACTGCAGCGAACTCAAAGGGGTGCTGTGTGACTCAACTAATTAGTACTTACCCCCAACCTGGGTAGAGGTGTGTTCCCGAAAAAACTCAAGGTTCCTTTAGAAAGGAAGAAAAGGCAAGGGAGCTGGGTAGGCAATCAATATTACCTGCTGTAGAAAGAGTATCATAATTGAGATCACGAAATCAGTGGGTACAAACCCTTTAATGTTCTTGAAACATATTACTAATTTACAATGCCATAGGGAGCATAATGAAAGTTAGAGTCTCAGTACACCTTTAATTAGCCAAAGATATTATTTTTACATCTTTTAGCTAATTAATTAGATTTAAACAATTTACCTTACTCTCATATTCATTTGCATTTCTTTGACTCCTGGTAAAGGTGATTATCTTCTCATAGGCTAACAGCTGTTTTCATCTTTTAACTAATCAACTGTCCTGTGTGTAGTGCCCAGTTACCTATTGGCTTCCTGACCTTTCTTTCCCCTTGTTTATTGCATAGATAATAACCATTTGGTTGTGGATAAATATTCATCACCAATTTAAGTTTACTGAGAAAAGGGGCTGGGCACAGTGGCTCACGCCTGTAATCCCAACAATTTGGGAGGCTGAGGCAAGAGGATCACTTGACCTCAGGAGTTCAAGACCTGCCTGGGCAACATAGTGAGACATCATGTCTAAAGAAAGTAGACAAAAAATTATCTGGGCATGGTAGTGTGCACCTGTAGTCCCAGCTACTTGGGAGGCTGAGGCAAGAGGATCACTTGAGCCTAGGAGGGCAAGGCTGCAGTGAGCCAAGATCTCACCACTGCACTCCAGCATGGGCGACAGAGACCTTGTCTCAAAAAACAAACAGAGAAGATTCTCATTGGACAATATAAACACATTCAAGTAGAAGGAAGAAGTAAAGGACCTATAAGAGACTAAGAAGAAAAAGTTGGAAACGCTGATGAAAAGATTGATAAGAGAATATGGCTCCCAAGAAGCCAAGGGAAAAGAAGCTTCAGTTAGCAAGGTCAAGCTTCAGCCAACAGAGTCAAATATACAACAGTCCCATAAAATAATGACCAAAGTGTTATTTCAATTTGGCAACTGATCACCAGTCCTAAGCTCTGGAATATCACAGTGTTAAATCTTCACAAACTCAACATAACCATTTATTCAATAGTTACCTAAAACAAATGTGTACATGGCAAAGTACTAAATATAAAGGGACAGAGACCATAGCTTTGAAAACTCTAGGATGTTAATGCACACATGCATGTGCACACAAGTATGATCTGAGGGGGTGTGGCACCACAGGGTTGAACAGAACAAGTGGCCATAAAGAGCCTGAAGCCAAAAGGCACCCTACGAGATTTTCTTCTAATAAGAAACTCCTGGTTGCACACAGTGGCTCAAGCCTGTAATCCCTGCACTTTGGGAGACCGAGGCGGGCAGATCACAAGATCAGGAGATCAAGACCATCCTGGCCAACATGGTGAAACCCTGTCTTTACTAAAAATACAAAAATTAGCTGGGTGTGGTGGCATGTGCCTGTGGTCCCAGCTACTTCGGGAGGCTGAGGCAGGAGAATCACTTGAACCCGGGAGGCAGAGGTTGCAGTGAGCCGAGATCGTGCCATTTGCACCCCAGCCTGGGGACAGAGCGAGACTCTGTCTCAAAAAAAAAAAAAAAAAAACTGCTGGCCGGGCGCAGTGGCTCATGCCTGTAATCCAGCACTTTGGGAGGCCGAGGTGGGCAGATCACAAGGTCAGGAGTTCAAGACCAGCCTGACCAACATGGTGAAACCCCATCTCTACTAAAAATACAAAAAAAAAAAAAAATTAGCCAGGCATGGTGGCATGCACCTGTAATCCCAGCTTCTCAGGAGGCTGACGCAGGAGAATCGTTTCAACCGGGAGGTGGAGATTACAGTGAGCCGAGATCATACCACTGCACTCCAGTCTGGGAGATGGAGTGAGACTCTGTCTAAAAAAATAAAAAAGAAATTCATTGAAAAAATACAATGTTATAATATATAAAAGATAACATGATTTGTAACTCAAAAATAAACTTAATAATTTAGAACCCCAAAAGAAATATGCAAGAGCTGACTTAAGCTGTCCACATTAAGAAAAAGGAGTAATCTCAAAGTGTGAGCCTGAATGTGCTTTGAAAATAGTTGTTCCTGATTTCCAGTTAAGTTCAGCAGATGCCCCCCCGACCCCGCTGAATTCCCAAGTGCAATAGAAGAATATTCTGGGGCTTCCCAAACTCCATGTCACAGTGTGTATATCACAGGCTTCATTTCAGGATAACAGATGGATGCAGATTTTAGGCAGGAAAAATTCTTTAAAAGATGAAAGTCTTATTCAATCGCATAGCTGATACATGATCCAATTTCCTTCTGGTGGACTGCAGCAAACTGCAGATGTTTCTTTACTCAAAATGTAACCCATTCTGGTTTCACTTACATTTTGTATGTCAACTGCTTTAAATTACTCACACATAAGTATCACCTTCAATCTGAGGACTTTAAGCCATAAATATGCTAGTAATAAAAAATATGCAGAAGCGAGAAAAATATTCCATATAGTGGTATAAATGCTATATATAGTAGGCCTGCCTCATCCAGTTTTGCTTTCCACCATTTCAGTTACTCACAGTCAACTGAGGTCTGAAATATTAAATGGAAAATTCCAGAAAGAAACAACCAGTTTTAAATTACATGCCATTCTGAGTATCACAATGAAATATTGACTGTCTCAAGCAGTCATGAGTCATGAATCACCCCACTGTCCAGCTTCTCCATGCTGTATATCCTACCTACCCATCTGTCACTTAAGAGCTGTCTCAGATATCAGATTGACAGATCACAATAAGAAAGCTGAGTATAGTACAGGGTATTTGAGAGACAGACAGACAAACAACATTCACTGGGAGGCCAAGGCGGGCAGATCATTTGAGGTCAAGAGTTCAAGACCAGCCTGGCCAACATGGTGAAACGCCGTCTCTACTAAAAATACAAAAATTAGCTGGGCGTAGTGACATGTGCCTGTAGTCCCAGCTACTCAGGAGGCTGAGGCAGGAGAATCGCTTGAAACCAGGAGGCAGGGGTTGCAGTGAGCCAAGATCATGCCACTGCACTCCACCCTGGGTGACAGGGTGAGACTCCATCTCAAAAAAACAAAAAGAGCTGTCTCAGGTAGCAGATTGACAGATCACAAAAAGAAAGGTGAGTATAGTACAAGGTATTTGAGAGACAGACAGACAAATCATATTCATGTAACTTTAATTACAGTACATTGTTATAACTGTTCTATTTTATGATTATTGTTGTTAATCTCTCACTATGCCTAATTTATAAATTAAACTTTATTATAGCAATATATGGATATGAAAAACAGTACACATAGGGTTTGTTACTATCCTCAGTTTCTGACTGAGGGTCTTCAAACTTATCTCTGTGGATAAGGAAGGACTACTGTGATACAATTATAATATTTATATTTTTTTAAGTGTGTGCATGTGAACATGGGAGGTTAAATTAAAAATATAATAAAGTTTATCATCATAGAAAGCCAGAGAAACATTTCTCTTTTGGAATATTTTTAATAGTGATGTTACTTTGCCTTTTCTATTTAAAAACTAGTGTCATTATAATATCCACTATTTGCTGATTTCTTGGGGGATTTTTTGTTTGTTTTTTGTTTTGTTTTGTTTTTGAGACAGGTCTCACTCTGTCACTCAAGCTAGAGTGTGCAAGGCTTCATCATGGCTCACTGCAGCCTTGACCTCCTGGGCTCAGGTGATCCTCCTGCTTCAGCCTCCCAAGTAGCTGGGACTAAAGGCGTGTGCCACCACGCACAACTAATTTATTATATTTTTTGTAGAGATGGGGTCTCGCTATGTTGCCTAGGCTGGTCTCCAACCCCTGGGTTCAAACAATCCTCCTACCTAGACCTTTCAAAGTGCTGGTGTTGCAGGTGTGAGCCACCACGCCCAGACCAATTATTGATTTCTATGTACCAGGTACTATGCTAGGTACAGCTCACAAAAGGGACTTAATCTTCATTTTAAAAAGGAGGCATTACCATTATTATTATCCACACTGCAAAAATGAGGAAGGCAGGGCTCAAGAAGGAATGACTTACTAGGGCTACTCAGTGTACATACATATACAATCTCCATATCTACAACAGTGCCTGAAGTGTAGTAGGTGGTCAATAAGTATTTCCTGAATAGATCTGATTGGATGAAGAACAGATATCATATTCTCATATAAGATTCCTATGCTGTATGCCTACTATCAAGAAAGTATGTACAAATCAGTCTATGGAACACACAAAAGAAGGCAGCTATCTGGAGGAAATAAAGGCTACACATGGCACCTACTAACTCTCAACACCAAGCAATAACAACATGTATACCATATTTGCAGCAGGTCCACAGTCATGTAAACCCAGGAAAACAGGACCTCTGTCTGGCCTATATTCCCAAGGCCTAGAGCAGTACCTGACACACAGCAAGTGCTAAATACATCTGTTGAATGAATATGCGAGTAAATGTCTCATTTTCTTTCTCCTTCACCTCTTTCGTCCTTGCTCAACACTGTTCTTTGCATCTTCTTGTCTTCTCCTCCCATTCCTCTTACCACCCTTTGCACTTATGTAAACATTGCTTTTGTCTCGCATTTACTGATGATGAGAGTTTAAAATAGTTATCCATCTATAATTAATAGAATGCAGAAATGATACTTCTTTAAATACCTTCTAAGTCATTCTGTTGTCACCAGCATATAAAGGCCCTGTCTGAATTTGTTACGAAAAATAATTAATTTAAATATATACTTGGCTCTTGAAATGCTTTCTATCATAAAGAATGCAATTTAAATGCTTATAAACTTAAGTTTCTCTTTGTAAAAATGAGTTGTAATACAGAGTTACTATATGACCCAGCAATTCCACTCCTAGGTATATACCCAAGAGAATGAAAATATATGTTCACACAGAAAAAGGTACATGAATGTTCACAGCAACATTATTCTTAACAGCCAAAAAAATTAGAAGAAACAACTAAAATGTTCAACTGACAAATTGATAACAAAATTTGGTGCATTCATATATCTGAAAAACATTTGTCAATAAAAAGGAGTGAAATACTGGTCTATGTTTAAATATGGATGAACCTTGAAATATGCTAAGTAAGCACAGCACTTCACAAGAAGCTACATATTATATGGTTCAATTTATATGAAAAATCCAGAACAGGCAATTATGTAGAAACAGAAAGTATATTGGTAACAGTTTCCAGGGGCTAGGGAAGATGGGGAATGAGGAGTGACAGCTAATGGGGATAGAGTTTCTTTGGGGGTGATAGAAATATTCTAAGATTAGATAGCAGTAATGGTTGTACAACTCTGAATATATTAAAAACCAGTGGATTCTTAAAAGGGTAAATTTTATGGCAGTGAATTATATCTTAAGAAAGCTGTTAAAAAATATAAATGGCATCTTTAAAGAAGGCATTCCCATAAAATTAAAATCAACCCTTTGAAATGACATCTTGAAAATGCAAAGCTTTGTTACAAACAGGAAATATAAATCATTTGTACATTTTAGCAATATCCCTTGAATCTGAGTTACTATATATAATTGTCATTGCTGAAGAGAAAATTAATTATTTAATACAAATATCAATTCCCTGAATAAGCCTACTCTAATCAACCTCTTTCTGGTAAGTCTACATAACATTCTAAAAGAGTTGTCACAATGATATTTGTCTTCACATACAAAGTTTCAGAAGTGGTTCCAATATGAAGTGGTTAATGACCACCTGTAGACTTCAGCCTCTCCAAACACTAGTCTGACACAACTTCCTGTAAGCTCAGTCATGTAATGAGCACTTACTAAAAATATATCATGTGTCCATCTCCTGAGTCCCAAAGATTTGGTGCCTACTCTTATGGAGCTAACTTGCTAGGGAGAGAAACAGGGAAGTAATCAAATCATCCAGACAAGATACAATGAAAACCATTTTATTTACAAAATCACAAAATCTCAGATAAGGAAAGGTCCTTAAAAAGTCAGCTAACTCTGGGCGTGGTGGCACGCGCCTGTAGTCCCAGCTACGTGGGAGGCTGAGGCAGGAGAATTGCCTGAACCCGGGATGCAGAGGTTGCAGTGAGCCGAGATCGCACCACTACACTCCAGCATGGTGACAGAGCAAGACTCCATCTCAAAAAAAAAAAAAAAAAAAAAGTTACTTAACTATTCCACAGAAGTACAGGTGCACTCCCACTGCAAGGCACATTCAGGAAACTAAGCAATGATACATGGTCTACAGCTCTCACATCAATATGAAACATTAAACATATGCCAGGCACAGTGACGCCTATAATCCCAGCACTCTGGGAGGCCAAGGCGGGAGGATCATTTGAGACCAGGGGTTTGAGACCAGCCTGGGCAACACAGTGAGACCCTGACTCTAAAAAATAAAATAAAAAATAATTAAATATAATGCATGTGTCCAGGTAAGGTAAAGATATTGCTTAGAAAAACCATCTCACATCCTCTTTTGAATGAAACATGGTGGTGGTTATTTATAACTCTGGTCTAATTTCTCTCTAGTCTTAACATTAGCTACAGATGAACAAGGTGAGAAAACTAACATTTAATACCGAGTACCATAAATTGTACTAGATACTTTACATGTGTTATCTCAATGAATCCCAAAAATATGCAGATAAAGTAAATATTGCTCCCATATTAAGGACAAAGAAAAAAACTCACAAAAGAAGCCAGGTGATGTGCTCACAATCAAGCTGCTAACTAGCCGCAGACCTAGAATTGAAAAGCATTTCTCTGACTCCAAAGCTCACTCTCTTTCTACTATTCTAGGCTGACTACTGTTAAGGCTAAATCTTCAATGATCCTACTTAACATTAAAATGTTCTAATGATTAAAGATGAAATGTTATTAACACTGCACATGTGTGAGTGATAACACTAAGCTGTTAGCTACAGAGCACCCCTCTGTTTCTTTTAGCCAGATTTAATGTTCAGATTATTTGGTTAAATTGGGATTAGTTTGTGCCAATATATATCCTGACAGAAGTACAAAGCACAATCTCAAAGATACAAATCCAAGCCATAACCTAAGGACTTAAAGTAGGAACAGTGTCTTTCTTTTTCTTTTCTTCTCTCTTTTTTTTTTTTTTTTTTTTGTTGTTGTTGTTGTTGGGGTTTGGCTCACCCAGGCTCACTCAGGCTCACCCAGGCTCACCCAGGCTGTGGTGCAGTGGCTTGAACATAGCTCACTCCAACCTCAAGCTCCTGGGCTCAAGCGATCCTCCTGCCTCAGCCTCCTTGGGTAGCTAGGACTATAGGTGCATGCCACCACACCTGGTTTAATTTTTTATTTTTGTAGAGACAAGGAGTGGGCGGCGGGGGCGGGGATTCTTGCTTTGCCCAGGCTGGTCTCCAACTCCTAGCTTCAAGAGATCCTCCCTCCTTGGTCTCCCAAAGTGCTGGGATTACAGGCATGAACCACCGAGCCACCATACCTGACCTGAGAGTTATCTTTCAATTGACATCTTGCTTCTGCATCCTTGTTTCATCCTCTCATCCCCTCTTACCGGTGGATATCACAAAACATCACACTCAGCCAGCCATGAATACTCACAGATTTCTAATTTCCATTAGAGCAGTCTGAGGAATGAAGGCAATACTGGGAAGAAAAGGCTGTGCACCCAAGAGAGTTTAAACTTGACAAACCTGGATGCCATCACTCTCACGCACTTTCCCTGTTCAGGATTATTCAGGATCTGCATTCTCTTTCTTTAACCTCCGAGGCTGGCCTTTTCCGGCCTGTGCTTCACTTTCTAAGCTGTCCCAAAAGCTAAGACTTCCTGTCCCTTGTTCCCTAATTCCCTCAACCCCGGGCCTGAGCTCCTTTTTAACTCACAGATCCAATAAGAAATATCTTTCCTTCTTTTTTCTTTTAAATATTGTTTTGTTTTTAGGGCACCATCCACATATCTGCTCCTGGTGATTCTGACACAAAGTTAACTGTACCACCTTTCCTGGATCAACTAGCTAAAAGGCTCAATTCAATGTTCTCACTGAGCCAGCTGAATCTTCCCCTTCAATTCTTAACTGAATGTCTCTTTTGTCTCTAATTAACACACTCAGCCCCTCCAGCAATGTCCTATCAATTTCATCATTTTCTTTTCTCACCAATAACTGCCTGGATGATCTCACCTTCAGCATAATTACATTTACAAAACATCTGTGTATCATAAGAGACACCTAGGAAAGCACTTTTCTAAGCCATTGTCTGTCTTCGGTGCAGAAACTAACATGGGAAAGAGTTCTGTCATCTGCAGTTTGGCCTGTTAATTTTGTAAAATTGCTGAATTATTGATTTCACTTCTGAGAAGTGCAAATTGTGATCATCATTTTAAATAATTTGTATACACCACTGACCTGAGCCAGCAGAACTAAAGCACCAGTAGATATGTCTATAAAGTCTCAAAATCTATACTGTCTGTTCATTAAGCCCTAAATGGCAACCTAATTCTTGGTTCTCAAATCAAGATAGATAATTATTTTTTAAAAGGCAAATCAAAACTATATCATATCTTATAATCATTTCCTATTAAGCAGATCTAATTTGAGTGGGACAAGCCCATGCTTTAACATCTAATAGAAGCATTACCATTTCAATAATTTCTCATTTTTAGGGAATATGATAATAACATTGACAAGAAACTGTTAAAGTTAAATCTTGTAAAAAGCTGAAATAATTCCAATTACAATGATCCTGCCAAGAGCAAGTGAAAAAAAAATGCTACATCTTCATAATATGTTATTATGCATTCTTTCCATTGGCCCACACAAAAATCCTGCAAGAAATATAAGGCAAATGCTATTTTCATTTTTGATGAAAATAGAGTATGGGGCCAATGGCTTGGACCCATAATACTGGTTAGTGGCAATGCCAACACTGGAACAAAGCTCTAACTCCTGATGATGTTCCCCCAGATTATCTAGTCTGAGAAGTTAGCCCAGAGAAGCCAGCGCAGTTGCACGTAAAACCTGCTGAAAGTAATACGAAACAGTATATTCATAGTCCCCATTCTCTGGCTCATTTACTATACAGATATTCAAAATACTCTTCCATCTCATGCTCTTAGTAAAATGCAAACTGGTTGATATTCAGTAGTTACTGAGCATCCACTATATGGTAAGAGCTAATTAGAACACAAATATCCAGGCAGGGATTACAGTGGCTCATGCCTGTAATCCCCGCACTTTGGGAGGCCGAGGTGGGCGGATCACCTGAGGTCAGGAGTTCGAGACCAGCCTGGCCAACCCCGTCTTTACTAAAAATATAAAAATTAGCCATGCATGGTGACACGTGCCTGTAATCCCAGCTACTCGGGAGGCTGAGGCAGGAGAATCGCTTGAACCTGGGAGGCAGAGCTTGCAGTGAGCCGAGGTCGTGCCATTGCACTTCAGCCTGGGCAACAAGAGCAAAACTCCGTGTCAAAAAAAAAAAAAAAAAGAACACAAATATCCTAGGCACCTGGATGTTTCTATTAAAATTGAAAGACTAATTGAAATACAGGCAAACCTCATTTTATTGTACTTTGCAGTTTTTTTTTTTTTTACAAATCGAAGGTTTTTTACAACACTGCATCGGGCAAGTCTATTGATACCACTTTTCCAAAAGCATGTGCTCATTTCCTGTCTCTGTCACATTTTGGTGATTCTCACAATATTACAATTTCTTCATTATTGCTACATCTTTATGATGACCTGTGACCAATGCTCTTTGACGTTACCACTGTAATTGTTTTGGGATGCCATGAACAGTGTCTATAAAAGCCAGTGAACCTAGTCAATAAATGTTGTGTGTGTTTTAACTGCTCCACCAACCAGGCATTCCTCCATCTCTGTTTTTCTTTTTCTGCCTCCCTATTCTCTGAGACACAACAATATTAAAATTAGGCCAACTAATAACCCTACAATGGCCTCCAAGTGTTCAAATGAAAGGAAGATTTGCATGTCTCTCACTTTATTTTTATTTTTATTCATTATATTATTATTTTTTTTTTGAGACAGGGTCTTGCTATGTTGACCAGGCTGGTCTCAATCTCCTGAGCTCAAGCAATCTGCCCACCTTGGCCTCCCAAAGTGCTGGGATTACAGGTGTAATATACCATGCCCAGCCATCCCTCACTTTAAAGATAAAATGATCAAACTTCATGAGGGAGGCACAAGAAAAGCCAAGACAGTCCGAAAACTAGGCCTCTGTTGTCAGTCAAATTATGAATGCAAAGGAAAAGTTCTTGAAGGAAATTAAAAGTGCTACTCCATTTCTCCTAGTTCCATGAGGTAGAAAAAAAAAATGCTACTTCAGTGAACACACAAATGATAAGAAAGCAAAACAGCCTTATTGCTGATATGCAGAAAGTCTGAGTGGTCTGTAGAGAAGATGAAACCAGCCACAATATTGCATTAAGCCAAAGCCTCATCCAGACCAAGGTCCTAACTTTCTTCAATTCTATGATTTCTATAAGAGAGGTGAAGAAGCTGCAGAAGAAAAGTTTGAAGTGAGCGGAGGTTGGTTCAAGAGGTGTAAGAAAAGAAGCCATCCCTACAATATAAATGAGCAAGGTGAAACAGCAAGTGCTAATGTAGACGCTGCAGCAAGCTCTCTAGAAGATCTAGCTAAGAGTATGGATGAAGGTGGCTACAATAAACAAGAGACTTTCAATGTGGATGAAGCAGACTTCTATTGGAAGAAGATGCCATGTAGGACTTTCATAGCTACAGAGGAGAAGTCAATGTTTGGCTTCAAAGCTTCAGGCTGACTCTCTTGTTAGGAGCCAAAGCAGCTGGTGACACTAAGTTGAAGCCAATGCTCCTTTACCATTCTGAAAATCCTAGACTCCTTAAGAAGCATGCTAAATCCACTCTTCCTGTGCACTAGAAATGGAACAAAGCCTGAATGACAGTACACTGTTTACTGAATATTTTAATCCGCTGTGTGGTTAGAGGCCTATTGCTCAGAAAAAAAAAAAAAAAAAGTTCATTTTACAATATTACTGCTCATTGACAATGTACCTGGTTACCCAAGAGCTATGATGGCGATGTATAAAAAGATTAATATTGTTTTCATGCCAACTAACACAACATCCATTCTGTAGCCCATGGATCAAGAAGTAATTTCAACTTTCTAATCTTATGATTTAAGAGATACATTTTGTAAGGCTATAGCTGCCATAGACAGCAATTCCTCTGATGGATCTCAGCAAAGTACATTGAAAACCTTCGGGAAAGGATTCACCATTCTAAATATCATTGAGAACATTGGTAATTCATGACAGGAGGTCAAAATATCATTAATAGAAGTCTGGAAAAAGTTGATTTTTAACCCTTATATATGACTTGAAGGGGTTCAAGACTTCAGTGGAGGAAGTAAGTGCAGATGTGATGGCAATAGCAAGAGAAGTGGCATTAGCAGTAGAGCCTAAAGATGTGACTGAATTGCTGCAATCTCATGATCAATCTTGAACGAATGAAGAGTTGCTTCTTACAGATGAGCAAAGAAATCAGTTTCTCCATGTGCAATTGACTCCTGGTGAAGATGCGGTGAACACTGCTAAAATGACAGCAAGCGATTTAGAATATTACATAAACTTACTTAATAAAAATCAGCATCAGGGTTTGAGAGGACTGACTGCAACTTTGAAAGAAGTTCTACTATGGGTGAATGCTATCAAACAGCATTTCATGGTATAGAGAAATCTTTTGTGCAAGAAGAGTCAATCAATGGGACAAAACCTGCTATCATTTTAAGAAATTGTCACAGGAACTCCAGCCTTCACCAGCCACCACCCTGATCAGTCAGTAGCCATGAACATCAAGGAAAGACCCTTAACTAACAAAAAAGATTATAACTCGCTGATGGCTCAGATGATTGTTAGCATTTTTCAGCAAAGAAGTGTCCTGTAATTAAGGTCTGCACATTTTTTAAACACAATGCTATTGCACATTTAATAGACTATGTATAGTGTAAACATAAGCTTTACATGCACTGGGAAACCAAAAAATTTACATGACTCACTGTATTGTGATATTCACTTTATTGCGGTGGTCTGCAACCAAACCTGCAATATCTCTGACATCTGCCGGTATAATAAACAGAGACACATAGGGAGAATGACATGTGACAGCAGAGGCAGAGATTGGAGTGATACATCTACAAGCCAAGAATACCCTGGATGGCTGGCAACCACGAGAAGCTAGAAAGGGCAAGGAAGGGTCCTCCCATAGAGAACTCAGACAGAGCATGGCACTGCTGGCACTTTTATTTCCAATTTCTAACCTCAAGAATTATAAGAGAATCACCAAGCGTGGTGGCTCATGCCTGTAATCCCAGCACTTTGGGAGTCCGAGGCGGGTGGATCACCTCAGGTCCGGAGTTAGAGACCAGCCTGGCCAACATGGTGAAACCCCATATGTACTAAAAATACAAAAATTTGCTGGGCGTGGTGGCGCACCTCTGTAATCCCAGCTGCTTGGGAGGCTGAGGCAGGAGAATCGCTTGAACCCAGGAGGCAGAGGTTGCAGTGAGCCGAGATCACGCCATTGCCCTCCAGCCTGGGTGACAAGAGTGAAACTCCATCTCAAAAAAAAAAAAAAAAAAAAAAAAAAAAAAAAATATATATATATATATATATATATATACATGAATAAATTTGTTGTTTTAAGCTAAGAAAAAAATCATTAATCTCTCTATATATAAAAATATATTAATGCAGACAGAGAAAATCAAATTTAAGATATTTTAGATATAGAATTGCAGGGCTAACAAAATGGATGGGGTGAAAAATGGGAAGAGTTAGAAGGATTCAGTGTTTCCCAATAAGATTTACCAGATGCATGAGGTTATAACTGAACAAAAAGGAATACAAAGAGAACAAGCTGGAGGAAAAGAAAAACTTATTTTTTGACAGATTGAGTCTGATGTTGCCTAAAGCACATCAGCATCAGGGTAGTTATATCCCCTGGGCTGGTAAAAATCGGGCCCAAAGTTTAGGAAAATGAGGTCAGGGTTGGAACCCTGGGAGGTGACGTTATCATACAAGGAAAGCAAACAGTGAAAGGGCTGAGAAGGTACCACCAACATTTAAGAGAAAGAAAGAAGAAATAAAATGAAAATGGAAGAGGAGCTCTGCAACATCACATACTGAGAAACAGGTACAGTGATGGAGCTGGAACTAGAAAAAAGTAATAGCCTTAGCAAAAGTCACCCCTAAGGAAAACCAGAATTGTTTTTAAAAACTCCCTCTTAGCTCATATGTCAACATCATTATTTCATGGTACACAGCTTTCCCAAATCTCCCGCAAACAGTGTGCCTCTAAAAAAGGCACCTCGATTATCTCTAAAGTTGACAATTTTTAAAGAGAATGTTCTTCCTTAAGTTTTCCATAACCAATTATAAAAAAATGAAAAATAAATTTTTTAAAAATGACCCTTTTTTTTAAACGGAGTTCCACTCTTGAGTACATTGTCTAGAGTACAATGGCACGATCTGGGCTCACCGCAACTTCCGCCTCCCAGGTTCAAGTGATTCTCCCGTCTCAGCCTTCCCTTCCCCAGTAGCTGGAATTACAGGCATGCGCCACCATGCCCGGCTAATTTTGTATTTTTAGTAGAAACGGGGGTTCTCCATGTTGGAAAATGACCTTTTTTTAAGACAGGGTCTCGCTCTGTGGCCCAGGCTGGAGTACAGTGGCGTGATCATGGCTCACTGCAGCGCGGACCTCCTGGGCTCAAGTGATCCTCTTGCCTCAGCCTTCCGAGTAGCTGGGACTACAGGTGCACACCACCACACCCAGCTAATTTTCTTTTTTTCTATAGGGACAGGTCTCACTGTGTTGTCCAGACCAGTCTTCAACTCCTGGCCTCAAATGATGCTCCCACCTCAGCCGCCCAAAGTGATGGGATTACAACCAACTTTTAAAACAGTTGAAGGCTGAGTGTGGTGGTTCATGCCTGTAATCTCAACACTTTGGGAGGCTGAGGTGGGAGGATGGCTTGAGGCTAGAAGTTGGAGACAAGCCAAGGAAGCATAGCAAGATCCTATCTCTACAAATAATTAATTTTTAATTTAAAAATGTTTTAAAATAAATAATAAAACAGTTGGAAGGCTAGTCTCAGAGTCTTTTGATTCTCTAGTATTACAGAGTAACTTTTTCATAGAAGGAAGAGAAAGTCTAATACAAGTTCCAAAACCATAATATGTAAATTGTTGTCACAACTGACTTTAATTTGCTTCCCCTTGCTCTCCACTCCCACCGTTTGGCCCCTATCTTTCATTCAGACATTTTAAGGAATAAGGAAATTAAATAAATGAAGAAGAGAAAATTCTCACAACAGCGAACTAAAACCAATTTACATAGCTCTCATTTGGAAAGGGATAATACACTAGACAGAATACTTATTTCTATTAGTGCCTTATCACTCCAGTCCACACACAGACACAGACCAGTTTTCCAAATTAAATCATCACTTTTCCTGTATACGAAAGAGAAAAACTGAACCTGGGTCTTTCATTTGGATAAGCTCCAGTATATATTTACACACAAGGGAACACTATTTGGCACGTCTTTCATAGAGCAGCAAGCAATATGGCTTTTTAGATTTGCATGAGGAAATATCATAGAAATTCCACTACTGATTGGCCGGGCGCGGTGGCTCACGCCTGTAATCCCAGCACTTTGGGAGGCCGAGGCGGGCGGATCACGAGGTCAGGAGATGGAGACCATCCTGGCTAACACGGTGAAACCCCGTCTCTACTAAAAATACAAAAAATCAGCCGGGCGTGGTGCCGGGCGCCCGTAGTCCCAGCTACTGGGGAGGCTGAGGCAGGAGAATGGCTTGAACCTGGGAGGCGGAGCTTGCAGTGAGCCGAGATGGCGCCACTGCACTCCAGCCTGGGCGACAGAGCGAGACTTCGTCTCAAAAAAACAAAAAAAAAAACCAAAACAACAAAAAAAGAAATTCCACCACTGATGACCATGCCTAACTTCCAAATAAAGGGATGTCATTCCGTTTCCACCTACTTTTTTCCAGAGTAAAGCCAAGATTCAGGGATAGTATTATTATTAATCTAGCAAGTTATATACAGGCAGCAGTTTTCCAATTTTTTTTTTACATGTTACCTGACATTGACAACCCTCCTAGAGATGGTTCCCCATTCTTAACAAAATAGAAGACACTCTCCAGTATACCCAGAGATGATCACCAAATCAGATAAACCAACATTTTAGAATGTCATATTTGGCATTTTAAAAATACCTTTAAAAATTAAGACTTTTTGAGGTAAGTGCAGTGGCATGTTCCTATAGTTTCAGCTCCACAGGAGGTAGAGGTGGGAGAACTGACTGAGGCCAGGAGTTTGAGGCGGTAGTGCACTATGATCTTGCCTCTGAATAGCCACTGCACTCCAGCCTGGGAAACAGAGCAAGACCCTGTCTCTAAAAATAAAATAAAATAAAAAATTAGGGGGCCGGGCACAGTGGTTCACGCCTGTAATCCCAGCACTTTGGGAGGCTGAGGCGGGTGGATCATATGAGGTCAGGAGTTCGAGACCAGCTTGACCAACATGGTGAAACCCCATCTCTACTAAAAAGACAAAAAATTATCTGGGCGTGGTGGTGCACACCTATAATCCCAGCTACTCAGGAGGCTAAGACAGGAGGATTGCTTGAACCCGGGAGGCGGAAGTTGCAGTCAGCCAAGATCACGCCATTGCACTCCAGCCTGGGCAGCAAGAGTGAAAGTCTGCTTCAAAAAAAATAAATAGATAAAATAAAAAATAAAAAAAATAGACATTTTACCATAGAATCTAAAAATTGGAACTGAAAATCTGTCATAATTGATTTTACATAAAATAATCTACAAAGTGTTACCAGTTTTTTTGTTTGTTTGTTTTTTGACACAGGGTCTTGCTCTGTTGTGCAGGCTGAAGTGGAGTGGCATGATCATGGTTCACTGCATCCTCAACCTCCAGATCTTCAATCGCTCTTCCCACCTCACCCTCCCAAGGAGCTGGGACTACAGGCACGCATCACTACACCAGCTAATTTTTTGTATACTTTGTAGAGATGGGGTTTCGTCATGTTGCCCAGGCTGGTCTCCAACTCGAACTCAAATGATCCATTTGCCTCAGCCTCCCAAAGCACTGGGATTACAGCTGTAAGCCATCACGCCCAGCCACTATTAGTCTTATCCTAGCTTTTTCCCACTATATTCCATGTAAAAATTAAATTAGAGGAATTATCCTCAAAATCCTAGAAAATTCAGGCTTATTTTTCCTCTCTTATGTGTTCCCATGTCTGCAAAAAGGAAAAAGGTTGGGACAACTGACAGATTATTAGCTACTATTACTATTATTCCACAATTCACATTCCTTACACACACTGTTCTATTTGTGTTCCACCAAAACACTTTCTTTAGTATTATAACTGGATTTTTGATAAAAGAATCAGAATACTGCAGATAAAAAGAATGGAGTATTCTGATTAACCAAATATTCTGGTTAAATGAATCCTAGAGGCCGGGTGCGGTGGCTCAAGCCTGTAATCACAGCACTTTGGGAGGCCGAGGAGGGTAGATTGCCTGAGGTCAGGAGTTTGAGACCAGCCTGACCAACATGGTGAAACCCCATCTCTACTAAAAATACAAAAAATTAGCTGGGCGTGATGATGGCCGCCTATAATCCCAGCTCCTTGGGAGGCTGAGGCAGGAGAATAGCTTGAATCCGGGAGGTGGAGGTTGCGGTGAGCTGAGATCGTGCGATTGCATTCCAACCTGGGCATCAAGAGCAAATGAATCCTAGAGAGAAGAATCTACCCTACCAGAAATATCCAGGCTGATGTTTGAATTCACCTAGCCAAAGACAAAATAATTAAAATAATTACATTTCCATTGACTGCCCTGTTATCATCCTGCCTCTTTTCCTTTGCTTCAAGGGCCATTAAGGTGAACAAATGTTATGTAAGTTGCTACGCTTATACAAAAGCCAGCCATTATAACTCAGAATATGGCAGCTGTAAAAGATGGAGCACAGGTCCTGTGCCTTCCAGATCCAGGTGCTCAGCAAGTGTTTTTATTATTTTCTACTTCTTTTTGAGACAGTCTCACTCTGTCAACCAGGCTGGAGCGCAATGGCGCGATCTCAGCTCACTGCAACCTCTGCCTCCTGGGTTCAAGCTATTCTCCTGCCTCAGCCTCCTGAGTAGCTGTGATTACAAGCATGCACAACCATGCCTGGCTAACTTTTTTGTATTTTTAGTAGAGACGGAGTTTCACCATGTTGGCCAGGCTGGTCTCGAATTCCTGACCTCAAGTGATCCACCCACCTCAGCCTCCCAAAGTGCTAGGATTACAGCCGTGAGCCACCACGCCTGGCCTCAGCATGTGATTTTAATTTTCAGGATGAAAGTCAGCAAGAAGCAGCCTGTGGTTGATGAGGCCTGAACCACTGGAGCTATACTATAAGGATTATCAGATGCTGGGCAGAGGTTCAGCAGGCTAGAGGAAAAGGAAGACTGGCAGAGCTGCAAGGTGAAATTGGTGGGTGGCAGGTGGAGCTGCAGGGAGGCTGGCACCGGCCTAGAAGGCTGAAATGAGCAGAAATTACCATTCATACAGCAGGGATGGCTGGGCCAGAAAAGGTGGCAATCACAGCTCTCGCAAGAAATCAGCATTCATGAAAGTGACTTTAGACTAAATAACCCCCCTTTCCTTCAACCTTTCTTATCTATCTAAAATAAACATTTCAGTGTTGCATATCATTTACTTAATGCAGCTTAATATCCTAATTTTAAAATATTAGGATATTATTTGTTTATGAATCTAGAGAAAAGATTTGCCACTCTCCATATATACATTAATAAAAACTGCACTTGACACCAAAGCAATCCTGGCCAGGTGCTATGGATCATGCCTGTAATCCCAGCACTCTGGGAAGCTGAGGTGGGTGGATCACTTGAGGTCAGGAGTTTGCGACCAGCCTGGCCAACATGGTGAAACCCTATCTCTACTAAAAATACAAAAAATTGGCCAGGGGTGGTGGCACACGCCTGTAATCCCAGTTACTTGGGAGGCTGAGACATGAGAATTGCTTGAACCGGGGAGGCAGAGGTTGCAGCAAGCCAAGATCATGCCACTGCACTCCAGCCTGGCAACAGAGCGAGACTCCATCAAAAAAAAAAAAGAAAGAAAAGAAAGCAATCCTAATGTAAGCTTTATCATTTTCACCTTATATAATCTGAATAATTCTTAAACACCATCATTAACACAATCAGCACTGTACTCCAAGAAATGTTAATAAATGAATGGACAGTTGCTAAATCAGCTCTTCAGTGACTTAAAGTGTAGTGGTTACCTGTGTTTCCTGGACTCTGAAAGTACCTTGATCATAACTGTAACAGGCAGTGCAAAAGGTAGTTATTGCTAAGCCAGTCTCCACTAGACAGGAACTGTTTTTTGTTCTGACAGCAACCCATTCTCTGACCGAACCCAGGAGAGGCCTTTAATTACAATGGGCTGAAAAAAGAAATCTAGGAGAAATAAAGATACTGTTAAAGGGCACCTATTAAGCTCATGGAGATCATGAGAAGAGAGGTAGATGGAAGTAAATAGCCAGCCCAATTTCATTTCACTCTAATGAGTGCCAAGGCTCACATTTAAATTAACACAAGTATAACTGCTTTTACTTGCAACAGGTCTCTGGAAACAGAACCTTAAAGCACCACATTCCTAATCTACTAGTTCCTAAAATTAATTACAGCTCATCTGAAAGATGCAATTACTTCTGCTCATTTAACTTAAATTCTAATGATTATAAGAAGTAAATGAATGGTTGAAGTAATTACACCTCCACACCTCTGATTAGGCTGCCCAACTACACAAGCAAACAACCTTAGTGGAATAAGGAACTCTCACAAAACAAACAGGAATCTGCGATGAGTTCCACTTCAAAAAAAAAAAAAAACCTACGTGCAAATTTATATAACCAAAAATATCCTAAAACAATGGCAGTTCTTACAAGAAGCTAAAGGATGACCAAGTAAATAGGGCAGTAACTATGGGAAGTCTCAAATTTTGTAAACTTGCCTTTTTCCCCCTTTTAATTCTTTCCTTGTGCTACCAAAAATTCTAGTAGCTAAGTGGGCCCTGAACACACACACAAAGTCAAAGCTGGCTTAAAAAGTAAAACACTGAGTGAAAAAAGGCTAAGTTGCATTAGTGAAACACAGAAAATGAAAGGCAGAGGTGCCTCATCTTGTCTAAGGTGTTTCCACCTGTTATTTGCACTTAGGGTTTTCCTTCACTATAAACACCCACTTAATTCTCAAATCAAAAATGTATCATAGCAGCGTATCTCAAACTGAGGTCTGTGGACACTCAGGGTAGACACCTTTAAGAAACTGTGCTCTCCTCTGGCTAATGCCTTAACTGACTGCATTGTCCACATCATCAACATAATCGGTGCCATCTTCATTTGGGTCATGGATCACTAGTGCCAGGAACAACTGCTACCAGAACAAAGGCAACATGACCGAGTAATAAACAAATAAAGCTTCTGATGGAAGGAAGGCCTTCATCAGGGCAAGAAGATTCTCAAGAACTGCAGGTTGCAACTGGGAAAAGTGTGAGAAAATGAATCATCAACAACACACTAGATATTATCAGCAATCTCTGAGAAGAAAATGAGCTTCAGCACAATAACATCATCCATTAGATTAACTAAATGTTGCTGACAAGTTTTGTACTGGTTTCACAATATTGTTTTTATTTACTTTGTAAACTGATTTGCTTTTAAGATTGCATGAATGTTATAAGCATAGAATTATAGTTCCATGCTTGTGTATATTTAATTATCACAATAAATAATTAAATGTATACAAGAGTCCATTATCTTTTTTTTCCTTTGATCAATACTAAACATACAAGTTTAGAAACATTTTCCAAAAAGCAAACCAAACAGCAGTCCATTTGCAGCTTAAGGGAACTAGAAGACTGAAATAAGGAAGAAAGGATAGCCAAGATGCTGCAGGCTAGGGTGGAGAAGGAATGCTGATAATGCTGTCCCCACCCAAACAATTCAATTCAGTGAGTATAACTCTTGCTATTTATTTCTTTTTTTATTTTTTATTGACAAATAAAAGTTGTATGTATTTATGGTGTATAATATAATGTTTTGATAGACATAACATGATGTTATATATATTTGATACATTGTGGAATGGCTAAATCATGCTAATATGATCATTACCCCATAAACTTATCACTTTTGTGTGTGTGGTTAGAACACTTAAAATCTTGTGGCACTGGATATGGTGGCTCACACCTGTAATCTCAGCACTTTGGGAGGTGGAGGCAGGCAGATCGCTTGAACCCAGGGGTTTGATGAGACCAGCCTGGACAACCTCAAGGTGAAAACCTCGACTCTACAAAAAATATCAAAAATTAGCCTGGCCTGGTGGTGCATTCCTATGGTCCCAGCTACTGGGGAGGCTGAGGTGGGAGGATCACCTGAGCCTGGGAGGTAGAGGCTGCAGTGAGCCGTGTCTGTATCACTGCACTCCATGACAGAGTGACCCTGTCTCAAAATAAATAAATAAATAAAAATCTCCTTGCTTATCAAGTTTCTATTCTGTTTATTTCTGTCTATTCTCTTTTTGTCTCTTTTTTGGGGTCTGTGTATTATTACAAGGAGAAAGCTCATTTTACTTAAAGATGACTCTTTGAATTCAAAAGTATAAAGACAAGAAAAAGTAAAAGGCAAATTATATAAAAAATCAATTTTGAAATGTTTCTTTGAATATAATTCCTAAAAGGAAAAAAAAATTAATAAGCAAAAGTAACCTACTTTTTCACAGCTCAAATTTTAAGACTGAGACCTGTTAAAAGGATACAGTTCAAAGAATTATATTTGATGAAAAGGGTAGAGATGTTCAGTCATACACCATTAACTAAAACTATTCACCAGTAAGAATATTTTCAAACATCACTCACAAAATATCTATGTGGCATATAACAAAATGAGCAAACAATCCTAATGGTAAGATTTGTATAGATTTTCCTCACTTCACATGAAAGTTAGGACTAAGAGAGGTTAACTTACTTGCCAACTATCACACTGTACTTGATAACACCAAAAGTCAAATCCAAGTCTAGGTCGATACACTTAATTAACCATTATCCTTTTTCTCCAAGTGGACATGAATCTGAAACGTAATAATGGATGTTGGCCGGGCGCGGTGGCTCACACCTGTAATACCAGCACTTTGGGAGGCTGAGGCGGGCAGATCACGAGGTCAGGAGATCGAGATCATCCTGGCTAACACGGTGAAACCCCATCTCTACTAAAAAAAAATACAAAATATTAGCCAGGTGTGGTGGCGGGCACCTGTAGTCCCAGCTACTTGGGAGGCTGAGGCAGGAGAATGGTGTGAACCTGGGAGGCGGAGCTTGCAGTGAGCCGAGATCGCACCACTGCACTCCAGCCTGGGCGACAGAGCGAGACTCTGTCACAAAAGAAAAATAAATAAATAAAATAAAAATATTGGATATTTAAACACGTGTTAAGTATGTTATATGTATTATTTAAAATTGAAATTATCTAGTTCAATTGAAATCTTCTAGTTCAATTTAAAGGAGCCTTCCAAATAGTCTACTGAAGAAATTACAACTTGAACCACAGAGCAAGGAGCATGTGTGACTCTTATTGGAATAGTCAGGCGTGTATTACCTAAGAGAGTGCAAGTCAAAACTCTCACGGGAAAAGTTAACAACAGGGATAAAAATAATATAATATGCTTAGAAATACACTGATAATTGCTTAATAAGGTTACATTAAGAATGCATTAATTATTAATAAAAATAACAGTGCCGTGCTAAAAAAACTGAAACGGGTAATGGATACATCTATTGAAATAGTCTATATAAAGTTAGGGAAGGTGAAGTCCTCCCCAGGCAGGAAAGAAAAACAGAAAAGACAGACTGGGGGAAGAAGGACTCCCTTAGTGGAGTGGGCAGACTTATGGTACAGGGACGCTCCCACAGTGGAATGGTCAGCCCCATGGTACAAGCACTGCCAGCTATGCCAGGGGACATGTCTGGGCTAGTGGTCAGGGCAGGGGCAGCCAGTGATAGAACCAAGCAGGCTTCAAATCCTTTCTGACACACTCCTCCTATCCAAGCAGCTGCAGCCCAGCCTCAGAGCATCCTTCCTAAGGGACAAAAGGTGGCTTGGTACGAAAAAAATCAGTGCTACAGTGTGACTTCAAGGGTTCCTTTGCTCCAAAATCCCTCCCATTTGGCAGCTGCTGTTAGGAATCCTTTTACCAAGGAATAAAATCTTTTCCTTTTCACAATGAAAGAAGTAATAATCAAACGTTAGTTAAAGTAATACACTCTCACCACAAACTTAAGAATCCTAGAAAGATAGCAGGTTGTATAATTAAGTGCATAAGCCAAATTAATGATGCAGGGCCTATATCTTCAAAGAGCCTACGCTCCCAAGATTTCTTCACTTATGAATGGAAGAACAAAACTATAATGATGGGAATCACCTGACTTTTACAAAGCTAGATTCAACCATCATAATAAAGTATGTAATGTCACTCGTAATATAATGTACATGTCAGAGCATTTATCACAGGTATGTAAGTATTTTGACCTTCTGAAACACTAAAGTTTATCTCAAGCAGAGCGGGGAGAAAAATGTAGAATATCTGGCACCTCCAACAAGAACTGGCTTGGCATTTGACACTCTGAGATGCAGCTCTTTTTGAAGAGGCATCATGCTCTCTTAGATGCAAAGAGGTTAGTCCCGCGAGACTTTAACCAGGATTTGCAAGCCAGAGGAAGGACAGTTCACATTAGTGTTTATGTAGGGTGGCAAGAATTGCAGACAAACTATATTTTTCACAAATCACAGTAAATACCATTATTAGTAGTAGCCTCAAATTCAGAAATTAAGTGAATATGGGCATAAAATATATTATCTTTACCTTGGTTAAGTAACACAAGTGGTTAAGTAAATGTTTTAACATTTGGGATGATTAAAAGATATTTTGGAGCACATTAATTTCAAGACATCTTGCTAAGCTCTCTCCTTACTGTTAATACATGTTTCAAAATATAGATCCGATACTAGTATTGTCTCAGTTTTAGGCGCACACATCCCTATCATGTTGTTATACAAAGATGATGCCCCCATATATGTCCTGGGGGTAACTAGATCACCCAAAGGTCTCTCTACCTTTTGAAAGTACCTCACTCACCCAGCTTTAAGTGACCAGAGATTCCACGGCTTCATTTCAGTAGCTAAAACATCCAGAAGCCTCTATTAAGATGCAAATACTTTTCACAGGCTCCTTTGAAGATGGAAAATAAATAAATACATAAATAAATAAAAATAAATTTTTTAAAAGATGCAAATACCTCCTGGGAAAGGTAACAAGCCATATCATGTAATTGTGCTCAATTCTCTGTAAGAGAAACTCTTCAGTTTCAGATACTCTTAGGTCTTAGGAATTGAAAGCTAAGATCCAGAGGATAAAAGGAGGAAGGAAAATTTGATCAAGAGGTGTATGGGAAAGGAGGTGGAAGAAGCCCTATATTATAGACTATAACAGTCTTTATATTCTACAGATCATCAAAAGTTCTGATTGGCCTTTAACCCCTTAACTTTCATCCCAATGACACACCCAACACCCACACAATGCAAACCAAAACTAAGACGCACAGAAAACTTGCAGAGTTAAAATGCACTGGTGCCTTGCTGTCTTCCATTATCTTACAAAATGGCAAAACTGCAAATGTATGCTTTTTAAAAAGCCAACTCAATGACTGTGTCCAATGAAGAGCCACTGACGTATGAGAGACATTAATAATTTTCTTTCAATATCACTAAACTAGCCTAATTTTATCTTTAAGACAAACTCTTGATTCCCCCCTTAAGGGCTTTTTTAGTTCAAACTATTAATAGACACAATAAATTAAAAAAAAAAAATTAAAGTCCCCAACATCTTCCTAGGAGCATTACACAACGAGATGACTTTGAACGACTTTCCTCAGGATATATTCCAGTGCCCTGTAGAGAACTTTCCCCATCCCTGTAGACATGTGAGTAAGTAAAGAACACCTCAAGAACAAACTTTGTTGGCCACCAGCAGGGGAGCTCTTCAGCTTTTGTCCCCAAATCCATTCAAACAAAAGAAGCTCCGACTCCTCCAACCCACCCTTCGGACCCGCACCCCGCGGGGACTCTCCAGATGCGGGTGTCCACTCCCCCGCCAGCCCTACTTACTCCTCAACGCCCCAATGAGCAGAGAGCCGTCCTTAATGAGCTCCTTGATGAACTTGTTGGTTCGCTCCAGCTCAATCTCGTGACACTGCAAGCGCTCCCTGAAATCTGGGCTGTCCAAGTAGGAATCGCTGAACTCCAGAGTGGGCAGCCCCATGGCACAGGCGCTGCCAGCGGCGGCCGCGGACACGTCCGGGCCGGAGGTCAGGGCGGGGGCAGCCGGCGGCCGCGGCGGGCGCTGGGGTCGCGCGATCGCGGGGAAGGCGCCGGGACGCGAGGGGACTGATTGCGCGGAGGAAACGGGCCCCGAGCGCCGCGCCGCCTGCGCCGGGCTCAGTCTTCCTCCCCCGAGGCTAGGCGAGCGCAGGCGCGGGCGGCGGGCCGAGGCGCGAGTCCCCTCAGGTTGTTGTCATCTGGACGCATCGTCGTTCGGAACGCGGGGGCGGCGAGGCTCCGGGCCGCGGCCGGAGCAGGAAAGTTTCTCTCACGGCGCGCAGACACTTCCGGCAGTTCCACTCCCCAACTCTCTTGACAGTCGTCGGCGTTGTGAGCCAGAAGCAGCGCACAGCCGCAACTCCGGCCGGGCTGGGGAAACCCTCCCCCTCGGCGGACGCAGGCTCAGAGCGCTTGCAAATCGCACCCGGGCTCCCAGACCCTCCTCCCCGCCGCCGCGCTCCCACCCAGCGCCACCCCGCCCCTTCGCCCCTTTGCCCTCCTGCCCCACCCGTCCGCCCGCACTGGGCTCCAGGGCTCCCCGCGCTGCAGCCCCGCGCTTGCGCTCCGGCCTTGGCTGGGGTGTTAGCCCTGTCCCCTCTTGGGCCCCTGGTTTCGGCTAGCCCTTGGTGACACTTCGGGGTCCCTCGCTCCACAAAAGGATCTGACTCCCAATATACCTCCCCTAACAGTGTCCCCTCCACCCACTCCCTACAATTCTCTGGGAGAAAAACCAACGTTAAGTTTCCCTAAAGTCTGAGTATTTTGAAGCGTAGATGGAAGATACTACTGTCTAGCGTTCGTTTAGATTTTACTTCACACTTCCCCACCGAATGCATTTGAATTCCACGTTGAAAAATTGTCCCGTCGCTCTCCCACCCCTCAGCTTCAATGATCCAGCCTGGAGGTGTTTCTTCCCCCTGCCCCCACTCCATAGCTGGGAAGGTGGGACGATTTTTCAAGTCATCCTCACTCTGCTTACGTGCTCCTACTTCTAGTAGAATACCTATTTGCATCACAATAGTAGTATCTCCTATTGGCACCTGGATGGAATTGTCCTAGGAGCGGGAAAATTTTCAAATTGTTGAAGTGGACTGGAGTTTGAAATAAATAGTTAACTCCTACCCACAGGCTTTATCCTTCCTCCGGTGGAGGTTCACCTAATAAATTTCTGTTCTCTTAAAACCTTGACAGCAAAAGAAACGACTGCTTTACATCTCGTCCTGACATCATCTATAGGATTTCTGAGAACTCGGATATTGTTCTTAAGGATCTGCTTTTAATTTCTGCATTTTCATTGCTTTGTCCATATGAACCATCTGTTTAAAAACTATTCTACAGATCATGGGAAAAATTCCACTAAAGTGCTTTACATTTTTCCCAATTAAGTTTCAGAGCCAGTCAAGATTCTTGGTTTCAATTTTTTAAATGTACAGGAACATTAAAAATAACATGTAAACCTAAAACAGATAAGATAATGTAAACAGTATGGGCCAGGCGCAGTGACTTAACGCCTGTAATACCAGCATTCTGGGAGGCTGATGCAGGAGAATCACTTGAGGTCAGGAGTTGGAGACCATACTGGCCAACACGGTGAAACCCAGTTTCTACTAAAAAATACAAAAATTAGCTGGGCCTGGTGGCGCACGCCTGTAGTCCCAGCTACTTGGGAGGCTGAGGCAGGAGAGTCACTGGAATCCGGGAGGCGGCGATTGCCATGAGCCGAGATTACGAGATTACTCCACCGCACTCCAGCCTGAGTGACAGAACGACTCCATCTCAAAACACCTTCCATCCATATTCACATCTTTGGCCCCATATTGGCAAAATGACCAGTCACTATTAGAGCCATTTTAACTCCAAGTGTTAAATTTGTTTTTGTTAACTAAATACTCTTCAATTTTTTTTTTCTTTTGCAGGTTTGGGGAAGGGAGAGGCAGTAATTCTGTTTGTCAGTTAATGAAATGACATGACATAAACACCAGTGGACTGTGTCTCACCAGAGGTGATTTTGTATTTACTCATTACTCTGCCTGAAAGACAAAAAATCACCCAGGCCAAACAGTTTCCTTTCAACTTTTGCCATGTTGCTGTTCCTATCAACTGAATCCAGTGCCAAACTGCTGAGATACGAAACGATAAAATATAACATTCTCTTCTTGTTTTTCATTAAATCATCGTACTGTGATTAAGTCTTTAAAAATGCATCATTGGTGTTTCATAAGTTGCATTTAATATGTTGGATGTCAATGTTTAGTTTTCTTTAAAAGTGTTACATGCCAGGGCAGATGTATTGTACATTCTATGATACAGGTTATCATTTGCCCATTCATGTATGTAATGATATGTTTTATGTCTACTGTCTACATTACTAAGGTCTGGGTGGGGAAGTGATTTCTATAAAAAGACAGAAGCATTATCCGTGACCTCAAGCAGTTCTCAGAAAAAGGAAATGTGGAAAATAAGTACCCATAAAGCATAAGGCAGAATATGCTGTGTTCCACAGCCTCACACAGATGCTGTACTAATAATACATTGATGCTATTGTTTATCAATATGTTTCCACTCAGGCCCATCATTGCATTTACATGGAATTAGGATTTTTTCTCCTACCCTTCACTCATGATTCCCTAAAGTTTATCATGTTATAATGGGCTTATTTCTTGTAGGTGTTTTCATAGTTACTCATGCTTATTCCTATGATTCATACTTTAATTATACCTGCTAGTCAGGCTTTCTCTTATGCCACATTAACACAGCTACTTGAGAAAAACCAGAAATGCTTTTGCTTTGAGGTGGGTTTACTGTCGGTTTTGAACTGTTGTTTCCATGCATGATTCTCTCCATCATAATTAACTGAACCAGATTCTTTCCTAGAGAATAGACTTTCTATATAAAAGATCAGCAATACCTGCAAGCCTGTTTTCATAAACAAATGTAATGGATTGAAATATAGCCTGTCCAGAAATTTCCACTTCATAACACATGACACCGTAAGCTGCGTGGTAAGCTTCGCAAATATTATTGGCTGACAGGCTCTTTGGCACAGAGAAATGTCTCTTTGTTTTCCTGATTCTGGAATGGGATATGTGGGCTTTGTTTACTTGCTTTTGAGAGCAAATAGATAGTAGAGGATAGTAAACTAATATGGCATTTGTAAATCTGCCTAAAACTGTTTCTTGACGTAGATCATGTCTGACACTTAAGCCTGGCACTTCGTATGTACTCAGTAAGTGTTATTGTCAAGCTATTATTACTTTTCAATTAATTATGTAGATTTAGACCACCCAGACTCAGCTGATCTGAGGTTAAGTTCAAGCCTGGTAAGAGATGACTAAACAGAAACCAAGTGTTTCTTCTTGGTTTCCCCTCCTCCCAGCTCCTGGTAACCATTGTACTTTCTGTCTCTATGAATTTGACAATGTAGGTATCTCATATAAATGAAATTATACAATATTTGCACAATGTGTCTGTCTTATTTCACTTAGATGATTCAGTCATCAAAAAGAGAAGCAAAGAAGAAATAAGAATTAGATATACATTTAAAACCCATATGAGGAGCCAGGCCTGGTAGCTCAGCCTGTAATCTCAGCACTTTAGGAGGCCCAGGTGGGCATTTCACCTGGAGTTCGAGACCAGCCTGGCCAACATGATTAAACCCCATCTCTACTAAAAATAGAAAAATTAGCTGGGTGTGGTGGTGTGCACCTGTAATCCCAGCAGGTACTAGGGAGGCTGAGGCACGAGAATTGTTTGAAGCCAGGAGGCAGAGGTTGCAGTGAGCCAAGGTTGTGCCACTGCACTCCAGCCTGGGCAATGGAACGAGACTCTGTCATCTTAAACAGATAAAAATTTTAAAAAACCCAAAACAAATAAACAAAAAGAAACAAGCATTTGAACCTACTTAATTTTTGACTTAATTTTCTAAAATACTCTTCTGACAGCCAAAAAATGAAGTTCAGATTAAGCCCTTAGAGGGCGAGATCTTTTTATTCTGCCTTATTAGAAGTATTATTATTGTCACACACAATGCTCTTAACATCACTATTTCTCAAAAAATTAGTTGGTGTATGACACTGCATTTCTGATGGGCAAATGTACACATCATTAGTGACAGGAGCCTATGTGACTTAGTAACATTGTCTTTTCCAGTTTAAAAAAAATGCTCTCACAAATTGTAGAGCCCCTCTCAAATGCATACAGCTCTCCCTGCTTCCTCTCCATGGTTGTCATGAAGCACAGACAAATGCTAAATGTAGTCCGGGTTGAAAAAGAAACTTCGCTTTGTCTGGGGGTAGGAAATGGGAGTCTCTCACAGGAAGAGTACAGAACATAGCCCACATTGTATGAGTCTATGGATTCCAAGAGCTCATTATCCAATAGATGGACTAAAGAGCAATGGTTGGAAGACCAAAAAGTCAAATGACTGAGAGATGAGAAAAGAGAATTTAGACGGGGTAAGTACACATGAGATTGGGCAACAGATGGGCAGTAAGCAGATTAAATAAAGGAAGGAAATATAGTGTGATTTTTGTGGATGAGGTAGAATCCAACATAACTCTGAGATTTAAGCCTATACAACTCAGAAGTGTTATTTTTTTTAGAAGAAATATACATTTTAGGTTGAGTCTCCTATGCTGAGTTTGAGGTAAAGTTAGAATAATTAAGAGGCACTTTCTCAGAAAGAAAAGTGCAGCACAAACACTCAGGGCTGTTGTGTTAGCTTAACGGAGGGGGACACAGAAGCAGAAGTCAAGGTCAACTAGAGGGGAAGAATAGCTGCAGAGAGTGGAATTTGTTCTATGTGACAATATGACTCCTTTTTTCTAAGAGATGGTGTCTGGCTATGTTGCCCAGGCTGGTCTTGAACTCCTAAACTCAAGCAATCCTCCCACCTCAGCCTCCCAAAGTGCTAGGATTACAGGTGTGAGCCACTGCACAATATAACTTCTAAAGTCCCTGCCAAATCTAGATTTTATTATGATGACAGATTTCGGATGAATGGGTTGAAGGAAAAGAACAGAAGTCTAAGCAAGAAATACTCAACAACTAACTACATTTATGAGGGGTGGGGAGAAGGAAAAAGGAGAGGGAGAGAGGTAATCACTTAATTTAGGAAAAGACATTTTTTAGCACAGATTTTGATTTCAATTTAGTATTGCCCTCTTGTGGCAAATCATGATGTTTGCTAACTCTGACAGAAAACTTCATAAAGAGCACAGGAAAAGGAGACAAAATGAAAAGAAGCAGCCTCCACCAATACTGGGCATGATAGTTTTTGCATGTATTGCCCCATCTAAGCTTATCCACAAGCATGTGAAATAGGTATTAAATCTGATTAGCCCCACTTTTAAAGTTTTATTTATTTCTTTATTTTGAGATGGAGTTTCGCTCTTGTACCATAGGCCGGAGTGCAATGGCGCCATCTCGGTTCACTGCAACCTCCGCCTCCCAGGTTCAAATGATTCTTCTGCCTCAGCCTCCCGAGTAGCTGGGATTACAGGCACGTGCCACCATGCCTGGCTAATTTTTGTATTTTTAGTAGAGATGGGGTTTCACCGTGTTGGCCAGGCTGGTCTCGAACTCCTGACCTCAGGTGATCTGCCCGCTTCGGCCTCCCAAAGTGCTGGGATTACAGGCATGTGCCACCGTGCCCAGCCTGATTAGCTTCATTTTTAACAAGTGGGAAAGTTATAACTGAAAAGTGATTAACTTTCCTAAATTTATGTATAATATCTGGAAGGTACTGGAGTTGGGATTTCAATCCAGGTCTACCTTGGTAAAAAGGCCATGCTAAACACACACACACACACACACACACACACACACACACACACACACACACATTCAACAAATATTCATAAGTATCTGTTATATTTCTGTGCTGCTGTAGATGCTGGAAATACAACAGTAATTTTGAGTAAATTTACCTCAATCCAGCCCTAATCAAATTTTCAATCTAATAAATTATAGCAGCAATATTAATCAAATGGCCAGCCAAAGGCCATTTATGAGCTGTGTGACTTAGGATAATTTAACTTTTAGGCTTTACACCTTTCCCAAGTATAAAATTAAGGATGATAGTGATAACGATAATGACTATCATTTATTAAACCCTTACCATGTGCCGGACACTGTCCTATGCTAATAATGAAATAACATCTATTGTTTCACTTGGGTTATTTTAAGCTCTAGACACGAGACATTTTTATACCTCTATGACTCAAAGTTAGAACAAGAAATCTCCTCCGACCAATAATGACAATCAATTACAGCTAGAGTGCTGTTGACACTCCACCCATGTGTGCTCAGAGGCTTGCAGCTGCATTAGAAGAGGAAGTGCTGTTCCTCTCTTACCTCTCACTGAAACCCTCATGGGCGTGGCCTCCGCTGGATTTCAAAGCAGCCACTGACCACACAGAAAGGAAGCAAATGTTTACTGAGCAACCACGCTGTCCATGTCCCACGAGGCCTACAAATCCTCACACTAACCCTGGAGGTAGGAATTTTATAATGAGGATGAGATTGTTGAAGCCCCAAAATGCGAAAACAAAAACCAAGAACCACAAAAAGCCAACAAAAACACCCAGACAACTTGCCCCAGGATGAACAGCAAAGTCTCTAACTCCAAGACCACACCACAGTGAATACGTTGGGACACATCATACGCATTATATATATATATGTATATATATATATATTTTTTGAGACGGAGTCTCACACTGTCGCCTTGGCTGGAGTGCTATGGCACGATCTCTGCTTACTGCAGCCTCCGCCTCCCGGGATCAAGCGATTTTCCTGCCTCCGCCTCCCGAGTAGCTGAGATTACGGGCACCCGCCACCACACCTGACTAATTTTTTGTATTTTTAGTAGAGATGGGGTTTCACTATGTTGGCCAGGCTAGTCTCCAACTCCTGACCTCGTGATCCATCCACCTCGGCCTCCCAAAGTGCTGGGATTACAGGCGTGAGCCACCACATCCAGCCTACTTTTATATAGCTCTTTTTCCACATTTACATTTTTTGCGTTTAGACCCTAAGCTTTTAGATTAAATCTTATTTCTTTGTATCTCTTGCACTTTGCATGCTATCAGCCCACAGATGATACCTAACAAATGTTTTTAATACTTGAGTGCCTTATAATCTTCTAAAAATCATTCTTCAGCTTCTGCGGTAGAGGTGTCTGCACAGATTTGTAGAGAAAGGCTTCTCCCATTTGGCACGGAGGTCTCTACGTGTTGCTTGAGCTCTGCTGAGCATGAAAGGAGTGGAGCTCATTATCCGTGCTTCCAGGCGATGAGTACATCTGCGCTAGAACTGCTGCCATCCAGCACACTGTAACAGGCCCTGGCAAAGGCAGTGAAAGCGTGATGAGGAAAATAACTAGCCCAGAAGGAGCTTAAGGAAACTAACTCAAATAAATGGCTCCACACCCAACAAAGAGAAGTCATAACTCAATCACAGTGAAGCATACTAATGAAAGTGATAAGAAGGATCATTGAAAAAGAACAGACCCACAGTCTCTACTGTTTGAACATTTCAGATGGAAAAAAAAAAGGAAAAAGAACAAATCTGAAACAATCTGTAACCCGTAGTCACAGCGGCAACTTCCTTTACAAGGAATAAAGATACATAGTATTATCCTTTAAAAGGTATATTATCTTACATTCTGTCAATGTGAATTTTAATGCTAATGGAATTAGAAAATTTTACAAAATTTGTCAGTTTTACAAAACTAGGTATAAGAACAATTTTTTTTCAGAACAGTAAAGTTCTTATTTTTATACTTGTTAGTAATTTTTTTCCTAGCTGCCAGTTTGTTGAAATTTTATTGTGAGACAAAAGTGGATTATTGAGATTAAACTTTAGTTTACTAGATAAATAAAAGTAGAACTAGTCCCAGTTCCATTTAATGTTGCAGTGTATTTTACCCTTATGATTTTTTTGTGATCTTTCAAAGAATGCTTCAAAGATTTGTGGAGCTCTTTGAACTCTATTACATTATGTGGTCAAGTAGAACAACATTTACCATATGGTGAAAATCTTGTTGGTACTGAAAATGAATATTTAATGAATCATTATAAATCTTCTAAACCTGCTTTTCCCTCAATTTTGTATTATGAAAATTTTCAAACTTACAGCAAAGTTGGAAAAAATAACGCAATGGATAGCTACATGCTTTCTACTTGGATTCAACAAACATCAACATTTTGTCATATTTGTTTTCTCACTCCTCATTTTGTTTATATATATATATATATATATATATATACACACACACATGCATATCGATATAGAAAAGTTTTTGGTGTTTTTGTTTGTTTGTTTGTTTTAAGACAAAGTTGTTTGTTTTTTTAAGACAAACCCAGGCTGAAGTCGTGCAGTGGGGCAATTTCAGCTCACCGCAATGCTCTGCCTCCCAGGTTCAAGCGATTCTCCAGCCGCAGCCTCCCAAGTCGCTGGGACTATAGGCGCGCAGGCCACCGTGCTCGGCTAATTTTTTGTATTTTTAATAGAGACAGGGTTTTGCCACGTTGCCCAGGCTGGTCTCGAACTTCTGAGCTCAGGCAATCCGCCCGCCTTGGCCTCCCGAAGTGCCGGGATTACAGGCATGAGCCACCGCGCCCGGCCTATATGAAACATTTAAAGTAAATTTTAGCCGGGCTCGGTAATCCCAGCACTTCGGGAGGCTGAGGTGGGCGGATCGCAAGGTCACAAGTTTGAGACCAGCCTGGCCAACATAGTGAAACCCGGTCTCTACCAAAAATACGAAAATTAGCCCGGTGTGGTGGCGGGCCCCTGTAATCCCAGCTTCTTGGGAGGCTGAAGCAAGAGAATCGCTTGAAACCGGAAGTCGGAGGTTGCAGTGAGCCCGAGATCTCAGCAATGCACTCCAGCCTGGGTGGAAGAGCGAAACTCCGTCTCAAAAATAAATAAATAAATAAAGTAAATTTTAGATATTTTTGACACATAATCTCTAAATATTTTAACATGAATCACCAAAGAATAAGGAAATTCTCCAACATAACTAAAACTTAAAGAAAATTAGTACATGATAAAATATTAATATCATCAAATGGCAAATTGTTCCAAAAATGACTTTTATAGCTTAAAAAAAAAAAAAGCAAAACAAGATCTAACCAAGATCTTTACTGAGTCTTAGCCAATGGCCTATGTAACTCCAAATTCCTATTTTGGAGGGCAAGAAAAAAATAGCTCATTAATCATTCCATTCACTAATTAAGATTTTTGGAATAATTGAGCCTAGATTAGTATGAGCCTTCCTTTACTACTGTCCTGAATAAAACGTTTGCTAATCAAACCATTGGAGGAAGAACTGTTTTAAGTAGAACCATTCCTAAATCCTTAAATACTTGAATTTGTCATTGGTGGCTTCTAGGAAAAGATTGCTCTAGAGAAAGAGAATGCTATGCTATGCAAAATGGATGTCTGGCATATAGTGTGTGGTCAGTAAATATTTTTTGACTAAATTAATGAATAAAATACTGGGGACCTAAAGATAAACAACATCAGCATCATCTGGAAAGTGGTTAAAACTGCAAAATCTTGGGCTCCACCTTCCACCTACAGAATTAGAAACTCGCAGGTGGGTCCCAGCAACTGTGTTTTAACAAATCCTCTAGGTAATCCTCCTGCTGGCTAAAGTTTGAGAACAGCTGACCCAGAACATTTCTTAGTAGACATCAAGATTGAAGAGCAGTCTTAGAAAAGGAAATTGAGAATACAGCTTTGAGATTAGGCAAGGGGAAAAATGGTAGGTAGAATGGCCAACAGAGGCTTAGCTAGATGCCAGTGTCAGGGGGAGCCAGCCTGTAAGCAGGGCCTCTGCTAGGGAACTGACAATAGGAACACCACCCTTCAATTACATCATTACATATCTAATGTTCTTGCTTTTACTCTCACTGTTGAGGTGCACTTGAGGATAGCCTTTATCTTCAGAAAATACTATCAGAATGTCTTATTTGGACAGGCGCGGTGGCTCATGTCTATAATCCCAGCACTTTGGGAAGCCAAGGTGGGCAGATCACAAGGTCAGGAGTTTGAGAGCAGGCTGGCCAACAGGGTGAAACCCCGTCTCTACTCAAAAAAAGTACAAAAATTACCTGGGCATGGTGGCAGGTGCCTGTAATCCCAGCTACTCGTGAGGCTGAGGCAGGAGAATTGCTTGAATCCGGGAGGTGGAGGTTGCAGTGAGCCAAGATTGCACCACTGCACTCCAGCCTGGGCGACACAGCATGACTCTGTCTCAAAAAATAAAAAAAAAAAGAAGAATGTCTTATTTAAATTTAATAACTGACAGTACTGAAACAATAATTTTTTTTTTTTTTACAAGCCTAGTTTTATCCTAGGCCTCTGGGTTCAACTCACACAGAGAAGATGGGACTGGGACTGGGCGGGAGTGATAGGTGTAGGTGGGTTGTCACCTGACACAGTCTCTTCCCTTGGGAGGGAACTTTTGTTATGACAATGACTCCCTGGTGTTAGCTTCCAAGGCCAGTTGCGCCATGAAATAGGTATGCTGGGATCTTGTCTGATAGGTTGCCTCAGTCAGAAGGCTTAAGAATGACTCAGGACCTGAAATGATTTGACTTTTCCTTTCATGCGGGAGATAGAGACAGTTGAAGAGGGAAGGAAACAATAATAAAAATAGCGAATGAGGTTGTTTGACAGGGAGGAGCAGAAAGACTAGAGATTTCCAGGTTATCCCTCCATCTCTAGTGAACTCCATGTGAGAGATGACTCAATGGGAAACATGAAAAACTGTCTTTTTCCAGTTTTGAAAACAATTCACCTGCCTAATGATCTATTAGTGAGATTTTCTTTCTAATAATGATTGATTTCTGCCGTTCCAGACAATAAGAAATGACTATGGAGTTATGTGTAAAAAGGAGACTGCTACTCTCTAGCCTTCTCTAGACAGAAAAAAAGGGTTACCTAACCATAAATATTTTCTTCTCAAATAAGAAGAATAAAAATCATAGTTCTCTTCCAAGGTTTTTCAGGGCATCTTCAAAAATTAGAAATAATGACTAGCTAAATTATTTCTAAAACAATGTGATTAGGCCGGGCGCAGTGGCTCACGCCTGTAATCCCAGCACTTTGGGAGGCCGAGGCGGGTGGATCACGAGGTCAGGAGTTCAAGACCAGCCTGGCCAAGACGGTGAAACCCCGTCTCTACTAAAACTACAAAAATTAGCCAGGCGCAGTGGCAGGCGCCTGTAATCCCAGCTACTCGGGAGGCTGAGGCAGGAGAGTTGCTTGAACCCGGGCGGCAGAGGTTGCAGTGAGCCAAGATCGCGCAATTGCACTCCAGCCTGGGTGACAGAGTGAGACTCTGTCTCAAAATAAATAAATAAATAAATAAAACAATGTGATTAATCCTGTTAACATAGTAGGACCCTTAACTGTGACAATATATGAGTATAAAATTTTGGTCAAAAGTACACATTTCATAAACACCAGGAACCCCATTTAACTGTGTAGATTATTTAGCAAGGTAAGGCGATCATTTTGAATTCCACATTTTCTCCATGAGTTACTCTGATGAGGATTTTTTTTTTTTGAGATGAAGTCTCGCTCTTGTACCCCAGGCTGGAGTGCAGTGGCGCGATCTCAGCTCACTGCAACCTCTGCCTCCCGGGTTCAAGCGATTCTCCTGCCTCAGCCTCCCGAGTAGCTGGGATTACAGGCATCTGCCACCATGCCTGGCTAATTTCTGTATTTTTAGTAGAGACAGGGTTTCCCCATGTTGGCTAAGCTGGTCTTGAACTCTTGACCTCAGGTGATCCGCCGGCCTCGGCCTCCCAAAGTGCTGGGATTACAGGCATAAGACACCTCGCCTGACCTCTCTGATGATTCTTGTTGCAATCTCTTTCACTGCTCCGATATCTGTATCTCCAGGCAGGCCCTTGTAGCAGCTGCCCACTGGACATCTCCGCGATGGATATTTCAAAGGTACCACAAGCTCAGCATGTACATATTGGTACACTTATCCTTTTTCCTAAACCTGCTCTTCAAATTGCATTCTCTACCTAAGTTGGATATCTAGGAAACTTGACATGCAATCAGTCACCAAACTACCTCTTTGCTATCTCCTCTGTAGCCTCAGCTTCAGCACTAGGTCAGTCCTCACTGCCCAGGCAATTAAAATAAGTCCTTAGCTTGCCTCCCTGGCTCCAGTCAGCAGTTCTCTAATCCATGATTACAGCCAGAATAATCTTTCTAAAAAAAGCAAATCTCATTATTCTCTCTAGGGCTTCAAGTCCTTCAGTGGCTCCTCATTGATTAACGGATAGGGTCCAAACTCTTTCGTGTGCCAAACCAGTCTCTGTTATCTCTCCAACATTATTGATTGCCTTATCTTTTGCCTCTGAAATTATGCTTCAGTCCAGCTGAATTTCTTTAAATTCCCCTAATGGGTTAGCGAGAGGGGTCATCAGAAGTTTAAGAAGCATCTATGAGCAATTTTACGTTTTAATTTTGATTGAAAATTTTAAAATGATTTAAGCCTACTTTGAATCATCGACATCAGTGCTTTTCAAACTTCCGTGTGCATAGGAATCACCTGGAGATTTTGTTAAGGCACTGAGTCCGAGTCAGTAAGTCCTGTATGGCCCAAGATATTTCTAACAAGCTCCAGGTGATGCCAGTGCTGCTACTCCCTGGAACACTTTTTGAGTAATAAGGGTCTAGGATGATGACCACTTCGTATTTTATTTTTGAGATGGGGTATTCCTCTGTTGCCCAGGCTGGAACGCAGTGGTGCGATCTTGGCTCACTGCAACCTCTGCCTCCCGGGCTCAAGAGATCCTACCACCTCAGCCTCCTGAGTAGCTAGGAACATAGGCACATGCCACCATGACCAGCTAATTTATATATATATAATATATATTAATATTATATATAATATATATTAAATTACATATATTAAATTATATATAATATATATTAAATTATATATATTATATATATTAAATTAATATATATTATATATATATATATATATATATATATATTTTTTTTTTTTTTTGTAGAGACGGGGTTTCGCCATTTGCCCAGGCTGGTCTGGAACTCCTGAACTCAAGCGATCCACCTGCCTCAGCCTCTCAAAGTGCTGGGATTGCAGGCACAAGCCATTGCCCCCTGCAGCGATGACCACTTTCTTACTAATACCACAAACTTGCGTTATCATCATGGACTAATGAGTAAAGAGAGGAGACAATATTTCAAATGTTAGTTTATTTTACAAATGAAGACCAAGTGATGTCACGGCTTGCTGTACAAAGATTTGGCAATGGTTCTAGTTTAAAAAAAAAAAGCTGAAATAATTGAATCATCACTTAGGACAAAGTAGTATAGGCGTATCAATTTCAAAAGATTCATAGCAATCAAGACAATATTGTTTTAGCAAAAATTATCAGTCATACCATTAAACTAATATTATTTACATGATACTAGTTTTATATTTTTCTTTATAATTAATTTGTTTATCTGTTTGGTTTCATAATTATGTAACAGCTATAAGCATTAGGGTTTATACTTAGTGTTATGTTTCTACGCGTATAATCCAAATTGACTCCAGGATACATGAGAAATATATTCCTTTATAAGAGATCTAAATACTACACAAGTCTGAGAAATACTGGACTAAGCCTACTTATGTGTCTTTGCCTTTGCTCCTGTTGTGACTGCTGGAGTACCCTTCCCTAATCCCTTGTCAACCTCACCATTCTGCCATGTCTCAGCAGTACCTGGCAAACATGTACTGTTCCCTATGATGATGGCTCATTTTCTGAGACCCATAGTCAACTTCATACAACAACTGCTTCCTGTCCTAATTTCTTTCATCATGTCTGTAATGCTGTGCTGCACACTTAAACACACATGTTTACTTACTTTATTCATTATCTCTTCTGTCCAAGGACAAAGGCCCTGTCCTGCTTATTTGTAATTATTTGACACACCATAGCTGCTCAATAAATGTTTTCCGGAAAACTAAATGAAGGCAAAACTTGGTTTGCTCCTTTCTAACACAGACAAAAAAAGAGTGTGCTGACCTAGCACGTGTTCACATTTGTGAGTGGAAAAAAATTAAAACTATAAAATAATTGTAATATGCTTCTACATGTAATTTGATTCTAATAAGGTAATTCAAAATCCTATTTTCTCCTAGAGAATCTGCTGAAAAGTTCATATTTTCCCTAATTTTCCAGAGGTCTGATTGTTTAGGTTAAGCTTAGAGAGCTTTCAAATACTGCAACAAGAACATTATGATTACATTTTGGTTGATGCATCATGAGAACTAAAAATAGAATGGAAAGGCTGAAAACCTTTACTTGAACCTTCAGCCAAAGTATGGTTAAACATTATGGATGAGAAGGAATTGTGGCTTTTAACTTGCAATTACACAGGATAAATTCCACAGCGTGTAGATTGTCCTGGCTCAATTTCCCAGCATTTTGGCTCTGCCTTTCAATTATGGTTACACCTTCACTGGGGCTGGAAGAGAGAGTGAAACTCAGTTTACCTTGAAGGACAAGACAAACCTGAAATACAATATTTGGCTTTATTTGAGAAGACTGATTTTTTGGCCTATGTACAGAAAGTAGTCTACTTTCTAATGTGGAATACCCTCTCTTAATTAACCAGGATGATAGACAGTGTGGGGTTGGGATTGGGATAAAGAACTGGAGACCAGAAATGGGTTCCGTCCAATTCTGTCCCCGATGTGTAAATATGACTGTAGCACTGTGCGGATACTGTTTGAGAGAATGGCTTTGATGGAACAAAGCCAAGATGGCAAAGTACAGATAGATTTTTATGTTATGTTAATAGCTGCTTCCACTTCATTATGAGAACAAGATCCCCTTAGCCCTAGAAGCCACAGAAACTTGTACAGTTCAGTGGTTTTGAAGAATAATTAATTCATTTATGGCTTCAACCAAGCATTTCCCTGCTTAAAATAGAACAAATAATCTAGGAAGGGGATTTCTCTTCCAACTCCTCAGGGTTACTTATTTTACTCTCTAGGTATGTTAAACTCTCCTCCAAGTTCATCATGATTTTCTTACCTCTGGACCACTCTTTCTCATCCTCATCCAAGGAAAAATCATTTTTTCAATATCTTACACAGATTACTTCCATCAGGAAGCTTCCCAGCCATGCTCAGTGAGAGTTACCCACTATTTCCTTTGAGCTAGGCTTATTTCTCCTACAGGATTCATGGAGTACGTAATACACATTCTATTTGTTGACCTGATGTAAACAGGGTGGGAATGGATAAACATAGACATGTGGAATCTTCAACCTGTGATACAGTGGATGGAACACCTGATCAGGAGTCAAAATGTGTGGTTTCAAACCCTCCTTCTCCATATGGCCAAGTAGAGAAATTTCTGTCTTGCACATTTTGTAGATTGGGCTTTTATATTTTACTTTTCTACTTGAGATTCAGTATTAACCAGTTCGTATGCCCACTCTTTTGCTCAGTCTCTGTCACCCAATGTGTGCTCAAATAGTCATTATATTGAGCTAAATTAAATGTGGCATTCTTGTTTTGCACTAATATGGCCTTCTGTGTTTCACAAACAGGATCTTGGTGCAAGATTGCAGGATTTTTTTTCCATTTGGTAAAGAGGAAAACACACAGACTAAAAACAGATTTGCCCTATGTATTTTCTGATGTGTTAGAAAATTGTCTGCCCACGTCACAGAGTTAGATTAACATTATTGTGTATTTTACTGTCTAACATTGTGCTTATAAAGGAATTGAGCTAGTCCTCGAGATTTTATTTATCTTCGATGTCTTTGCTCTACCTGTACACTGTGTTAATTTCTAAATGGACTCCTATCCTGGGAATCCCATTTTTCAGACAGATATCTAAACCACAATCTGCATTCTGAATGTCTTAAATGCCTACGCACTAACCGCAGCTGTTTGTTTATTCCCTGTTTCAACAGGGACAAATATAGTCACTAATTTTTGCCTTTTAAGGTAACAACCCAATTTAGTACTGAAGGTGGGGGGTGGTAGAAGACAGAGGAGAAATCATCGTAGTCACAGAAGACACAAAACTACAAAATATCACAACAGTCTCTGTTCTTTGAACATTCACGTAGAAGACATAAACAAAGTGTGTACAATGTAATTTAAAAGAATAGGTGCAATTCTGTGGTATTTTGACAGTATATCTAAATGATTTGTGCTTTTAGGCAACTTTTTGAAACTTTATCATGTAGTGTGGCTCATCAGAGCTCAGTTTGTACTGTCTTATCCATATCTTGTTCTGTAGAAATTCAGGGTATGCTGGGCGTAGCTCACTCTTGTAATCCCAGCACTTTGGGAGGCTGAGGTGGGCAGATCACCTGAGGTCAGGAGTTCAAGACCAACCAGCCTGGCCAACATGGTGAAACCCCGTCTCTACTAAAAATATAAAAATTAGCCAGGTGTGGTTGCACATGCCTGTAATCCCAGCTACTTGGAAGGCTGAGGCAGGAGAATCACCTGAATCCAGGAGACAGAGGTTGCAATAAGCCGAGGTCACGCCACTGTACTCCAGCCTGGGCGACAGGTGAGACTCCATCTCAAAAAAAAAAAAAAAAGAGAGAGAGAGAGAAATTCAGGTATACTTCAGGAGGAAAGTGGCCCCTAAATTTTTGTTATGGATTGTATGGGACATAATTGGAGGTCATGTCATTAGTACACTATAGTCATATTTGTCAAGTGATTCCACACCATATAGTCCTGACTCTATTTCTCTGATACCAATTTTTATTCATAATAAATTTAGGGGTGTGGCATGGCATTCCCTGAGAGTGATAGTTACACCTTATGTTTGTACATATCTTTATACTTCACGTACTTTGTCTCGTTTAACCCTCTCTATTACTCAGAGTCCTTTCAGTTGCAAGAAGCACAAACCAACTTGAACTAGTGTAAGCATTGAAGGGGAGGGAATCCTTCGGGGGTGTGTGTGTGGGGGGGGTGTTAAAGGCTTAATTTAAAACTTCAGGGGCATCTCTAACTCTGTCCCAAACTCTCACCTCAGATTTTCTCTCTGATAATTGGCCTGAGAATAAAATCCAAAGCCATCTGGCTTTGGCTTCACATATTTCTCAGTGCTTGCTGTCCTAGAGGACAGATTCTGTGTGTTCATATAGCAAAACTCAAAGAGGGACTTCAATTGGCCCTTTGTGGGTCATGTGCCCATATCTGGGACCAATTATAATACAAAGAGAGGGTTGCAGTATTCTGATTGGCTATGTCGGTGTCACTTGCTAAACCCTGTGGGCAGGAGATTGGTGGGGCTCTCAGAAATAACCATTGTATCAGAACTACAGGAGGTAGGAAGGCGCTGCTCCCAGAGGGAAAAAGAATGCTGGGAATTTGACAGCAATAGATGGTGACTGTGTTTCAAAACACTAGGAGTGGTATTGCTTTTCCTATTTTAGAGACTTAGAGAGATTGATTTGCCAAAATTCACATTGCTAGCAAATAGCTAAACTAAATCTGCTAATGTAGTTTATTCCTTTTGCTGATCTTCAGATAGAACACGTTAACCACTTACAAAAATTCTTCCTTCTTGGCTGCGTGGGTGGCTCACGCCTGTAATCCCAGCACTTTGGGAGGCTGAGGTGGGTGGATCACCTGAGATCAGGAGTTTGATACGATCCTAGACAACATAGTGAAACCCCATCTCTACTAAAAATACAAAAATTAGCCGGGCATGTTGGCACGCGCCTGTAATCCCAGCTACTAGAGAGGCTGAGGCAGGATAGCTTGAACCCAGGAGAAGGAAGTTGCAGTGAGCCCAGATTGTACTGCTGCACTCCAGCCCAGGTGACAGAGCAAGACTCCGTCTAAAAAAATAAAAATAAAATATAATGAAGAATTCTTCCTTCTCTATGGAAGGGGCATGTAGATAGGCCCATAAAGTTACCATTTCAAAGTAATAGTAATTTGATGCACTTTACGACCTGGGAAGAAATCAGGAATATTTTGCAAGTGGTTACAAACAACAAGAAGTTATTTTAAATATAGTACAGCACTGCGAGAAAGAAGCATCAATATTACTATTGAGCTTGGCACAGTGCTCATGCCCCTATTTCCAGGTACTTGGGAGGCTGAGGCAGGAGGATCAATTGAGCCCAATAGTTCAAGAGTAGCCTGGGCAAAATAGTAAGACTCCGACTTATGAAAATAAAATACCAAACTGTGATGATCTAACTTTCCCTTAAGTATTCCTCCGAGATGCTGCAGTGGGGTGGCAGAGAAAATTTGGTTAAAATGACACAGGGGTAGAATTAGGTAAACTAAGAAGCTTTTTTGTTAAAAAGTGGTTTCAAAGCAGGCTGCTGTCAGAGGCAACTGGAGTCTAAGAGAACTAAGGCAGTAATAGAGGTCAGAGAGTGTCTGGGCAAAAAAGTACATGTGCATACCTAATTTGTATTGTCTGCTCCTAGGGACAAGAAGGAATCCGATGGATAGTTCTTCCCCAACTCCTGGAATCCCCAAAGCCTATTTATCAACAAATATTTAGCTATTCAAATTTAACGCACTGACTATTGCATAATTTTATCATTAACTTTTCTTCCTATATTTCCCAATAAACTTCAGATGCATCAAGGTATCATCTCAAGACATTTAGTAGAAAGTTAAAAATAAAAACAGAAGTCATTGACAGAAGTTTTGTGAAGAAAATGACAGACAAGAACACCAGTTTTAGATTAGACTGAAAAAAAATGCAATCTCTGGAGTGGGCTTACAATGCTGATTGTAAAGAAAAATGAGTTAGATTTTATGGAAAACTTTATTAAATAAACAAACCAAGAGAAAATGTAAGCACATAGTTTTAGGGAAATAAATTTATATATCATGTATCTTGAAGTCTGATTGGGCGGGGAGCGAGGAAAGACCATAACTTAGAACTACTCTGTAAGCAATAAAAGCATTTTAACCACATAATTAAGAAGCTTTTCAGAAAGATAGCCTAGTACTTAAAATAGTCTTGTGACTTTTTATTGTGAAGATGGGACAATATTTCTGGTGTTAAGGAAGATGGAGATGTGAGAATTAAAAATGCCATAGATGTTTAAAACAAATAAACACTATTTTCAAAATTGGTTGGAAAATATACACTGACCCTATGTTGTCTATAGAGATTTGACTATGGCTATAACTTCATGTTTGACAATAAATAGTAGATGTGTTGATTTAAATGCCTTCAAATGTTTTTCAACTTTCCATGAATATAACTTAATTTTATTATTATTATTTATTTATTTCTTTATTTATTTATTTTGAGATGGAGTCTCACTCTGTCGCCCAGGTTGGAGTGCAATGCTGCAATCTTGGCTCACTGCAACCTCTGCCTCCCGGGTTCAAACAATTCTCCCGCCTCAGCCTTCTGAGTAGCTGGGATTACAGGTGTGCACCATCACGCCTGGCTAATTTTTGTATTTTTAGTAGAGACAGTTTCACCGTGTTGGCCAGGCTGGTTTCAAGCTCCTGACCTCAAGTGATCCACCTGCCTTGGCCTCCCAAGGTGCTGGAATTACACGTGTGAGCCACCGTGCCTGGCCAAATATAACTTTACTTTAAATAAGGAGTGGACATTTTATACTAATCTTGATTAATTTATCCTTTGTTCATCAGTCTTTCTAAAGTATTTCTGAAATATCTTACTGTTTAGTAGCTTATGGTACTCTAAACAAAATCTTCTTGTAGAAGTCAGATCAATTTTTGTTTTCAAGGTCAGAAGGGAGAAAAACGAACAGTGGCAGAGTTAAAAAAAAAAAGTTTATCAACTCACGCTTGCATTCTGCTATGGCTAAAGAGTTATTTGCTGTCTAAAGCCATGCTATTTAGTCAGGCACCCAGGTCCTGTGTGACAAATACAAAAGAACCGTGCTCCTGGAAAAGGCCAAAGGGAAAAGCATTGCCAGAAAGATCCTAACAAATACGCTCACCTGTTGCTCAATGCCTCACCTCTATTTATAAATTTTCGACACACTGATTTTCATAGTTATGCAAGGAAGATCCCTGACCTCTACTCATTTATACTCACTTGTCCAAATGACTAGAAAAAACACTCTACAGCCTTCTTGGTGTTTCACTCGTCTGAAAATAAAGGAACTTCTCTATTTTCCCAGGGGTACAGGAAGAAGAACTTACTGAAGAAGAAAGTTGAAGAACTGGTAAGTTGTGTGGCAGCCATACCATCCCTATTCACTCTATAAACTAACTTAAAGCTACACTAAGAAGATTACATTTAATTTTATAAAATTGAAACATCTTTCAAGCTTATAGCTTGTAATTGAACATATTGATGTTGGCACTGATTTCCAGCATAGACGGAAACTTAGGTGAAAACTCGCGGTGACTCTGACTCCTTGATCAATAGAAGCAGTTATTTTATTTTATTTTTTTAATTTTTATTTAGTTTTGATTTCATAATCATAAACTTAACTCTCCAATCCAGCTAGGCATGGAAGGGAACAAGGAAAACATGGAACCCAAAGGGAACTGCAGCGAGAGCACAAAGATGATAGGATACTGTGAGCAAACGGGGTGGAGGAGTGCTCTCCTGAGATACAGAAGAAATGGTCTGGTGGTTAAGATAAAACACAAGTCAAACTTATTAGAGTTGTCCACAGTCAGCAATGCTGATGATCTTCTTGCTGGTCTTGCCATTCCTGGACCCAAAGTGCTCCATGGCCTCCACAATATTCACGCCTTCTTTCACCTTGCCAAAGACCACATGCTTGCCATCCAACCACTCAGTCTTGGCAGTGCAGATGAAAAACTGGGAACCATTTGTGTTGGGTCCAGCATTTGCCATGGGCAAGACGCCAGGACCTGTATGCTTTAGGATGAAGTTCTCATCTTCAAATTTCTCCCCGTAGATGGACTTGCCACCAGTGCCATTATGGCGTGTGAAGTCACTACCCTGACACATAAACCCTGGAATATTTCTGTGAAAGCAGGAAGCCTTATAACCAAATCTTTTCTCTCCAGTGCTCGGAGCATGAAAGTTTTCTTCTGTCTTTGGAAACTTGTCTGCAAACAGCTTGAAGGAGATGCACCCCAAGGGCTAGCCGTCAAAGGCGATGTCGAAGAACACAGTGGGGTTGACCATGACTGATAGTACAGGGCTCCCAGCAGCGGCATCTGCAAAGCCAAAGCAGTTATTTTAAAAACAAAGACCTGCTAGTTTTTGCAAAGCAAGTTTATGCTGATTGCTATCAACTAGAGCTTACAACTTGTTTCTTTATTGTTTTGTTTGGTAAGTGGGTCTTGCCTCAATTATGATTCTGTATCTTTGTGCCAGGTTGGGATCAAGGAAAACCATGCTTTGTTTCTAGCTGTGTGTGCTCTTTATCTCTTTGTACTTCTGTTTCCTCATCCATAAAAACATTTCAACTTTTCATGGCGGTTAACCAATTTCAAACATCTCTCAGGGCTCAGACTAAAGGAATGATACACACTTTAAATTATTTGTATGGGCTTTGCCATTCGGCACTCTTTAATTTTAGCAATTTTCATGAGCACTTAAATGTAATAATGCATTTCATGTAATAATAACACTTAATTATTATTATCTATTGTTTATCCAATGATCTCATGGTAGCTTATAAACACTAATTAATTGAAGATTTACAAAACGCTGTGAGGTTCAAGTACAATGGCCATGTTACATTTACCCACTTATTTCTCTAAATGCTGCTTTGAAGTCTTTAAATATTTAATTAGTGATTATAACTCAAGCTGCTATTTGGGAAACCTAAAGTAGACACATTTTGAATCTTTTTGTGTGTGTGTGGTTTTCAAATAAAGTTAGTAATGATTTCTGGATACAAAAAAACCCAGAAATTTTACTAAGTAATTTTGACTTAGGGTTGAAACTACATTCTTAGAAATATTGAGATGAGAGAGAAAGCTATGCTGACAGTCTGCTGAAAACGATAATAGTGAAATAGCTCATTATTCCACTACAGCATTCTCCACAGCGGTCGGGGATGCACTGACTTCATAAAGATTTTATTATGAGCCTATTACCTATTTTTCACACTTTTCTCTGATTATCTTTTTTGACTTTTACCTCAAATTTTAAGAATAGACTGTTTTATAATGGGAAAAATCTATGGGCTGGTAATCCTGAGGTCTAGGCTCTTCTACATCTGTGATTTAAACCATTTATTTCACTTTGTTAATATGAAGTTTTTTTCTATAAAATTGAGGCAAAATAATACATACTCTACTATCTCAACATTGTAGCCATTATAAAGTGAGATAATATGTATAGTTCTTTCTCTGGGTCCCTACTTGGTTCATATTCAATCAACAAATATTTATTTAATGCTTATTATGTGCCAGTCTCTGTTCAAAGGGCTTGAAATATAGCAGTAAATACATAAATAAATGAAAGAAGGAATGAATGAATAACTTGTTCTCATGAAGCTTATAATCCAGTGGGTAGAGGGAGATAAATAAGTAAAAATACATAATGTATTAGATGGTGCTGTGGTTTGAATGTTTGTCCCTTCCAAAACTCATGTTGAAATTTAACTGCCATTGTAACAGTATTAAGAGGTGACCCCTTTAAGAGGTTGATTAGGCCATGAGGACTCTGCCCTCATGGGTGGGATTTATGACTTTATAAAAGGGTAAATTGGGCCCCCTTTTGTCTCTTCATTCTGCCTTCTGCCATGTGAAGACAAAGTGTTCCTCCCCTCCAGAGGAGGCATCATTTAAGGCACCATCTTGGAATCAGAATTGCCAAACCTGCTGGCACCTTGATATTAGAGTTCCCAGCCTCCAGAACTGTGAGCCAATAAATTTATGTTCATTATACATTACCCAGTCTGTGGCATTTTGTTATAATAGCACAAATGAACTAAGAAATAAGGTGATAAATATTATGGAAAATTCTGATTCAATAGAGGTTCTACCACTTATGAGCTATGTAGCCTTAAAAATACCTATACCTCAGTTTTCTAAGCTGTGATATGGGAAAAATTATACTACTAACATGTCAGAGTTTGTATCTATCTAATCACAAATAGTCCAGTTTGCTATTCTAGTAAGATTTAGTGAATTGCAATCAATGTATAGTCACTATGATAACAAGAAAGTAAAGGGAATTGCTATGACGTGCTGGTCTTCTCAGAAATAAGATTTCAACCCAGGCAGCCCGATTTATGGTTTCTGCACTTAACTACTGGCCTACATTACTTCCCACCAATAATTACAGTTAGAGCTTCACATGCATAATCTCATTTAATCTACATAAGAACCTTATAAAATAAGAAACATTAATGTCCCCACTTCACAGGCTCCTCCTTTGAGCTGCCGAGGCACCGTCACCATCCTTCTTCAGAGATCGTCCCAGCTCTGGAGGGCCTCTCCAAGTTTCAGGTGCTACTCTAACCTTTTATCTTTGTGGTTCTTTTATCACTGAGGTGGTAGGGCTTCACGCAGGTGCAAGCTATGTGTTATTTTAGTATCCTCTTCCCATTTTTCAAGATATTCTGTTCAATGGGCTTAGACAAAGCTATGTGTTACTTCAGTGTCCTCATTTTTCAATTTGCCAATACTATTTGATCAGTTCCTTTTAATAAAATTTGTCTGTTGAAATACCTACTGTGGTTTTTGTTTTCCTGCTTCAACCCAAAATGATTCTCTACTTAGTACTAAAAGTGATCCCTTGCTAAAAATACACCACAATGATGAACTATTGGGATTGGTTTAGTCATGTCCTTGGCCTTGAATGAAGCACTAAATGTATGCTGATTAGAAGGGGAGTACTAGTAATCCACAGCATGCAGTGCCAAGATGCATCACAATTGAGTTAAGCCCTGTAGTTGATTGTGATCAAGTGCTAACTCAAGCAAACAGCTCACACTTTCTAATGTAATAGTACTCTGTATAGATGGCTAATGATTTATTTAATCGGTCCTCTATGGATGGAGTAATTCTCAATTTTTCATTATGATAATGCCATTGTAAACATATATAATATATATATAACTAACTATTGCTTTAGGATAGTATTTAAAAAGTAATGTTTAATAATGTTGTGAGAAGTTATTTCCGGCAACTGAATTGTGGGTGATCTTTAGTTTCTTCTTTATAATATTCTGCATTTCTAATTTCTTTTCCAATAAGAATTTTTTACTTTTATGATAAGAAAAAATGAAGTTATCTCCTCTCCTCCAATTAATGACTATTCATTTTACCACTATGTCAACATAAGTGTACTTTGCTGTGATTTAATGAGATTTACAGCAACTGTGAACTCTGCAATAATGAGGATAAGTCACTAAGTCAGTTTAACTGATTGCTATAGCTCATGTTTGATCAATTCTTTTTCCTCAGGGTGAAAATAATTTTCAGTTAATCTGAAAATAATTCATGAAATCATAGAATCTCTAGGTTGAAAGACACTACAAATATCCTAAAGAAGACCATGAAAAATTGTCTCACTAAGTAAACTTTTAAGAGATAGACATAGACATTTAGAGATGGCTGGAAGAAACTTCAGGAGCCAGGTAGCTTATGACCTCTTCATCTGAGAACCAGAGAGGCTGACTGATCTTTAGTAACCAGGATAGTGGCTGAGACAAGACTAGAACTGAGGTACCAAATCCTGACTCCTGGCTCAATGTTCTTTCCATTTAACTATAAGCTCTACTCCCTCGTCCATATTGTTTAGTTTTCTACCATACTTTGGAAGTTACACATAGCACTGTTATTATAGTAGACCCTCTTATCCATGGTTTCACTTTCCACAGTTTCAGTTACTCATGGTCAACTATGGTCTGAAAACATTAAGATATTTTGAGAGAGAGAAAGACAGAGAGACCGCATTCACAACGTTAATTACAGTATATTGTTCTAATTGTTCTATTTTATTATTAGTTATTTTCGTTAATCTCATACTGTGCCTAACTTAGAAATTAAACTTTATCGAATGTAAGTATAGGTAAAAGCTTAGTGTAGATAAAATTTGGTTCTATCTGTGGTTTCAGGCATCCACTGGGGATCTTGGAACATAATGCCCGTGGATAAGGAGGGACTACGGTATCTTTGTTTTTAATTTTTCATTGCAATTATAATATAAAAATATATACAATGCCTATAATTTAATAAGTGAATATTTTACCTGTTAAATACTGGGAGATCCTCATGTCTCTCTAGTCTTCTCACTACAATTTTTCCTAGACAAATTCATACAAAACAAAAGCTTGAATTATCAACTATAAAGCCGGCACTACTCAAAATTTTATCTGCAGCCCATAATTCTCTGATTCCCCAGATAGGTGTTTGAAAAATCAAGAATAAAGGTATGAATTAGAGAGAGCAGGGCAAAGGTTTTATGTAATAGAACTGGACAAAGATTAGAGACCAAAAATACCACTTGAAGTTCAAGCCCCTGTAGAAGTAGAAGAGGATGCCTAGGTTGAGAGTAGAGCAGAGGTAGGGAACAGAGTGTGATTTCAGATGTGGTCAGGGCAATAGATCTAATTTAATATACATAATGATTGGGTGTGTGGTGGAGTATCAGATGAAGCGTTCTAGATAAGGACATTGCCTAACACATTGGTGAACAGCAACAGTAAGCCACTGGGAAGCCAAATCAAAGCACAGAAGCCAGTCAAATCCTGTGGACCAGCATCTACATTTAAGTAAGTCCTATGTATTTGTCAGGAGAAATCACATTGGCTGTTTCTTCTTCCCACTTTATAGAAGTCCAGGGTCCTCAAACACATGAAACCAGTAGTGAATATTGAAATGGAAAGCCCCAGCACCAGAACTTGAGGGGCAGGGATAGAGTGGGAAACCCTTCTCAGAATATTCCTCACTTCAGTAATTAAAATCTGGTTGGACAAGCCAAAAAATTAATAATCACCTTTTTAATTTTTAACTTTTGAAATAATTTCAGGCTAACAGAAAATTTGTAAGAATACTACAGGCCGGGTGCGGTGGCTCATGCCTGTAATCCCAGCACTTTAGGAGGCCGAGGTGGGCAGATCACCTTAGGTCAGGAGTTTGAGACCAGCCTGACCATCATGGTGAAATCCTATCTCTACTTAAAATACAAAATCAGTCGGGCATGGTGGCGCATGCCTGTAATCCCAACTGCTTGGGAGGCTGAGGCAGGATAATCACTTAAAGCCAGGAGGTGGAGGTTGCAGTGAACCGAGATGGCGCCATTGCACTCCAGCCTAGGCAACAAGAGTGAAACTCTTGTCTCAAAAAAAAAAAAAAAAGGCCAGGCGCAGTGGCACACGCCTGTCATCCCAGCACTTTGGGAGGCCAAAGCAGGTGGATCACTGGTCAGGAGTTCAAGACCAGCTTGGCCAATATGGAGAAACCCTGTCTCTACTGAAAATGCAAAAATTAGCCGGGTGTGGTGGCTGGCACCTGTAGTCCCTGCTACTCAGGAGGCTGAGGCAGGAGAATTGCTTGAACCTGGGAGGTGGAGGTTGCAGTGAGCCGAGATCACACCACTACACTCCAGCCTGGGCAACAGAGCGAGACTCCGTCTCAAAAAAAAAAAAAAAGAAAGAAAAAAAAAAGGCCAGGGGCAGTGGCTCATGCCTATAATCCCACCACTTTGGGAGGCCAGGGTGGGCAGATCACCTGAGGTCAAGAGTTCGAGACCAGCTTGACCAACACAGAGAAACCTCATCTCTACTAAAAAAAAAAAAGTACAAAACTAGCTGGGCATGGTGGCACATGCCTGTAATTCCAGCTACTTGGGAGGCTGAGGCAGGAGAATCACTTGAACCCGGGAGTTGGAGGTTGTGGTGAGCAGAGACAGTGCCATTGCACTCCAGCCTGGGCTACAAGAGTGATACTCGGTCTCAAAGAAAAAAAAAAAAAGAAAGAAAGAAAAGAAAAAAATACTACAAAAAACTTTCTGGATACCCATTACTCATATTCCCCAAATGTTAACAATTTATTTGCTCTATCTCTTTCCCTGTACACACACACACACACACACACACACACGAGTTTTGTGTGTGCGTGTATAATCTTTAAGGGTAAGTTGTAAATTGGATGCCTGTTTACTCCTAAATACTTTAGTCATTTTTTCCTAAAATTACAGAAATTCTTTCACATAAAAGTAGTATATTATCAAAATCAGGAAATCACCATTGATACAATATGCTTATCTAATCTACATGCCTTATTCAAATTTCCTCTAAGGCCTTAACAAAGTCCTTTGTAAAAAGAAAATCCAATATCATGCATTGTATTCAGTCGTCATTTCTCTTTAGTCTCCTTTATTCTGGAATACTTCTTGAGTCTTTCTTAGGATTTCATGACACTGAATTATTTATTTATGTATTTATTTACTTCTCATCACACTGAACTTTATTTATTTAAATTTTTAATTTTTAAAATTTCAATAGGTTCTTGGGGAATAAGTGGTGTTTTGTTGTATAGATAAGTACTTTTGGTGTAATTTCTGAGATTTTGGTGCACCCATCACCTGAGCAGTGTACACTGTACCCAGTGTGTAGTCTTTTATCCTTCACACCCCTCCCAACCTTCCCCTCAAGGCCCCAAAGTGCATTGTATCATTCTTATGCCTTTGCATCCTCATAGCTTAGGTCCCACTTATAAGTGAGAACATATGATGTTTGGTTTTCCATTCCTGAATTACTTCACTTAGAATAATGGTCTCCAACTCCATCCAGGTTGCTGTGAATGCCATTATTTTGTTCCTTTTTATGGCTGAGTAGTATTTCATGGTATATATACATACCACATTTTCTTTATCCGCTTGTTGATTGATGGGCATTTGGGCTGATTCCATATTTTTGCAATTGTGAATTGTGCTGCTATAAACATGCATGTGCAAGTGTCCTTTTCATATAATAATTTCTTGTCCTCTGGGTAGATATTCTGTTGTGGGATTGCTGGATTAAATGATAGTTCTACTTTTTGTTCTTTAAGGACTCTCTACACTGTTTTCCATAGTGGGTATACTAGTTTACATTCTCACTAGCAGTATAATAGTGTCCCCTTTTCACCATATCCATACCAACATCTACTGGTTTTTGATTTTTAAATTACAGTCATTCTTACAGGAGTAAAGTGTTATTATTGTATTGAGGTTTTGATTTGCATTTCCCTGATAATTAGTGATGTTGAGCATTTTTTCATATGTGTGTTGGCCATTTGTATATCTTCTTTTGAGAATTTGCTATTCATGTCATTTGCCCACTTTTTGATGGGATTATTTGTTTTTTTCTTGCTGGTTTGTTTGAGTTCCTTGCAGATTCTGGATATTACTCCTTTGTTGGATGTATGGTTTGCAAAGATTTTCTCCCTCTCTGTGGTTGTCTGTTTACTCTGCTGATTATTTCTTTCACTCTGCAGAAGCTTTTTAGTTTAATTAAGTCTCATCTATTCATCTTTGTTCTTGTTGCATTTTCTTTTGGGCTCTTGGTCATGAACTCTTTGCCTAAGCCAATTTCTAGGAGGGTTTTTCTGATGTTACCTTCTAGAATTTTTATAGTTTCAGGTCTTAGATTAAGTCTTTGATCCATCTTGAGTTGATTTTTGTATAAGGTGAGAGATGAGGATCCAGTTTCATTCTTCTACATGTGGCTTGCCATTTATCCCAGCACCATTTGTTGAACAGCATGTCCTTTCTTCACTATAGGTTTTTGTTTAATTTTTTGAAGATCACTTGACTGTAAGTATTTGGCTTTATTTCTGGGTTCTCTATTCTGTTCCATTAGTCTGTCTATTTATATACCGGTACCATGCAGTTTTGGTGACTATAGCCTTATATTAATAGTCTAGTTTGAAGTTGGGTAGTGTGATGCCTCCAGGTTTGTACTTTTTGCTTAATCTCGTTATGGTTTTTTTGGTTCCATGTAAATTTTACTATTTTTTTTTCTAGTTCTGTGAAGAATGATGGTGGTATTTTGATAGGAATTGCAATGAATTTGTAGATTGCTTTTGGCAGTATGATCATTTTCACAATATTGATTCTACCTATCCATGAGCATGGGATATGCTTTCTTTTTATTTATTTATTTATTTATTTATTTATTTATTATTATTATTATACTTTAAGTTTTAGGGTACATGTGCACAATGTGCAGGTTAGTTACATATGTATACATGTGCCATGCTGGTGCACTGCACCCACTAACTCGTCATCTAGCATTAGGTATATCTCCCAATGCTATCCCTCCCCCCTCCCCCCACCCCACAACAGTCCCCAGAGTGTGACGTTCCCCTTCCTGTGTCCATGTGTTCTCATTGTTCAATTCCCACCTATGAGTGAGAATATGTGGTGTTTGGTTTTTTGTTCTTGCGATAGTTTACTGAGAATGATGATTTCCAGTTTCATCCATGTCCCTACAAAGGACGTGAACTCATCATTTTTTATGGCTGCATAGTACTCCATGGTGTATATGTGCCACATTTTCTTAATCCAGTCTATCATTGTTGGACATTTGGGTTGGTTCCAAGTCTTTGCTATTGTGAATAATGCTGCAATAAACATACGTGTGCATGTGTCTTTATAGCAGCATGATTTATAGTCCTTTGGGTATATAGCCAGTAATGGGATGGCTGGGTCAAATGGTATTTCTAGTTCTAGATCCCTGAGGAATCGCCACACTGACTTCCACAATGGTTGAACTAGTTTACAGTCCCACCAACAGTGTAAAAGTGTTCCTATTTCTCCACATGCTCTCCAGCACCTCTTGTTTCCTGACTTTTTAATGATTGCCATTCTAACTGGTGTGAGATGGTATCTCGTTGTGGTTTTGATTTGCATTTCTCTGATGGCCAGTGATGGTGAGCATTTTTTCATGTGTTTTTTGGCTGCATAAATGTCTTCTTTTGAGAAGTGTCTGTTCATGTCCTTCGCCCACTTTTTGATGGGGTTGTTTGTTTTTTTCTTGTGAATTTGTTTGAGTTCATTGTAGATTCTGGATATTAGCCCTTTGTCAGATGAGTAGGTTGCAAAAATTTTCTCCCATTTTGTAGGTTGCCTGTTCACTCTGATGGTAGTTTCTTTTGCTGTGCAGAATCTCTTTAGTTTAATTAGATCCCATTTGTCAATTTTGGCTTTTGTTGCCATTGCTTCTGGTGTTTGGGCAAAGACATGAAGTCCTTGCCCATGCCTGTTTCCTGAATGGTAATGCCTAGGTATTCTTCTAGGGTTTTTATGGTTTTAGGTCTAAAGTTTAAGTCTTTAATCCATCTTGAATTGATTTTTGTATAAGGTGTAAGGAAGGGATCCAGTTTCAGCTTTCTACATATGGCTAGCCAGTTTTCCCAGCACCATTTATTAAATAGGGAATCCTTTCCCCATTGCTTGTTTTTGTCAGGTTTGTCAAAGATCAGATAGTTGTAGATATGCGGCATTATTTCTGAGGGCTCTGTTCTGTTCCATTGATCTATATCTCTGTTTTGGTACCAGTACCATGCTGTTTTGGTTACTGTAGCCTTGTAGTATAGTTTGAAGTCAGGTAGTGTGATGCCTCCAGCTTTGTTCTTTTGGCTTAGGATTGACTTGGCGATGTGGGCTCTTTTTTGGTTCCATATGAACTTTAAAGTACTATTTTCCAATTCTGTGAAGGAAGTGATTGGTAGCTTGATGGGCATGGCATTGAATCTGTAAATTACCTTGGGCAGTATGGCCATTTTCATGATATTGATTCTTCCTACCCATGAGCATGGAATGTTCTTCCATTTGTTTGTATCCTCTTTTATTTCCTTGAGCAGTGGTTTGCAGTTCTCCTTGAAGAGATCCTTCACATCCCTTGTAAGTTGGATTCCTAGGTATTTTATTCTCTTTGAAGCAATTGTGAATGGGAGTTTACTCATGATTTGGCTCTCTGTTTGTCTGTTTTTGGTGTATAAGAATGCTTGTGATTTTTGTACATTGATTTTGTATCCTGAGACTTTGCTGAAGTTGCTTATCAGCTTAAGGAGATTTTGGGCTGAGACAATGGGATTTTCTAGATATACGATCATGTCATCTGCAAACAGGGACAATTTGACTTCCTCTTTTCCTAATTGAATACCCTTTATTTCTTTCTCCTGCCTAATTTCCCTGGCCAGAACTTCCAACACTATGTTGAATAGGAGTGGTGAGAGAGGGCATCCCTGTCTTGTGCCAGTTTTCAAAGGGAATGCTTCCAGTTTTTGCCCATTCAGTATGATATTGGCTGTGGGTTTGTCATAGATAGCTTTTATTATTTTGAAATACGTTCCATCAATACCTAATTTATTGAGAGTTTTTAGCATGAAGCATTGTTGAATTTTGTCAAAGGACTTTTCTGCATCTATTGAGATAATCCTGTGGTTTTTGTCTTTGGTTCTGTTTATATGCTGGATTACATTTATTGTTTTGCGTATATTGAACCAGCCTTGCATCCCAGGGATGAAGCCCACTTGATCATGGTGGATAAGCTTTTTGATGTGCTGCTGGATTTGGTTTGTCAGTATTTTATTGAGGATTTTTGCAACAATGTTCATCAAGGATATTGGTCTAAAATTCTCTTTTTTGTTGTGTCTCTGCCCGGCTTTGGTATCAGGATGATGCTGGCCTCATAAAATGAGTTAGGGAGGATTCCCTCTTTTTCTATTGATTGGAATAGTTTCAGAAGGAATGGTACCAGTTCCTCCTTGTACCTCTGGTAGAATTTGGCTGTGAATCCATCTGGTCCTGGACTCTTTTTGGTCGGTAAGCTATTGATTATTGCCACAATTTCAGAGTCTGTTATTGGTCTATTCAGAGATTCAACTTCTTCCTGGTTTAGTCTTGGGAGGGTGTATGTGTCGAGGAATTTATCCATTTCTTCTAGATTTTCTAGTTTATTTGCATAGAGGTTTTTGTAGTATTCTCTGATGGTAGTTTGTATTTCTATGGGATTGGTGGTGATATCCCCTTTGTCATTTTTTATTGCGTCTATTTGATTCTTCTCTCTTTTTTTCTTTATTAGTCTTGCCAGCAGTCTATCAATTTTGTTGATCCTTCCAAAAACCAGCTCCTGGATTCATTAATTTTTTGAAGGGTTTTTTGTGTCTCTATTTCCTTCAGTTCTGCTCTGATTTTAGTTATTTCTTGCCTTCTGCTAGCTTTTGAATGTGTTTGCTCTTGCTTCTCTAGTTCTTTTAATTGTGATGTTAGGGTGTCAATTTTGGATCTTTCCTGCTTTCTCTTGTGGGCATTTAGTGCTATAAATTTCCCTCTACACACTGCTTTGAATGTGTCCCAGAGATTCTGGTATGTTGTGTCTTTGTTCTCGTTGGTTTCAAAGAACATCTTTATTTCTGCCTTCATATCGTTATGTACCCAGTAGTCATTCAGGATCAGGTTGTTCAGTTTCCATGTAGTTGAGCGGTTTTGAGTGAGATTCTTAATCTTGAGTTCTAGTTTGATTGCACTGTGGTCTGAGAGACAGTTTGTTGTAATTTCTGTTCTTTTACATTTGCTGAGGAGAGCTTTACTTCCAACTATGTGGTCAATTTTGGAATAGGTGTGGTGTGGTGCTGAAAAAAATGTATATTCTGTTGATTTGGGGTGGAGAGTTCTGTAGATGTCTATTAGGTCCACTTGGTGCAGAGCTGAGTTCAATTCCTGGGTATCTTTGTTGACTTTCTGTCTCGTTGATCTGTCTAATGTTGACAGTGGGTGTTAAAGTCTCCCATTATTAATGTGTGGGAGTCTAAGTCTCTTTGTAGGTCACTCAGGACTTGCTTTATGAATCTGGGTGCTCCTGTATTGGGTGCATATATATTTAGGATAGTTAGCTCTTCTTGTTGAATTGATCCCTTTACCATTATGTAATGGCCTTCTTTGTCTCTTTTGATCTTTGTTGGTTTAAAGTCTGTTTTATCAGAGACTAGGATTGCAACCCCTGCCTTTTTTTGTTTTCCATTTGCTTGGTAGATCTTCTTCCATCCTTTTATTTTGAGCCTATGTGTGTCTCTGCCCGTGAGATGGGTTTCCTGAATACAGCACACTGATGGGTCTTGACTCTTTATCCAATTTGCCAGTCTGTGTCTTTTAATTGGAGCATTTAGTCCATTTACATTTAAAGTTAATATTGTTATGTGTGAATTTGATCCTGTCATTATGATGTTAGCTGGTTATTTTGCTCTTTAGTTGATGCAGTTTCTTCCTAGTCTCGATGGTCTTTACATTTTGGCATGATTTTGCAGCGGCTGGTACCGGTTGTTCCTTTCCATGTTTAGCACTTCCTTCAGGAACTCTTTTAGAGCAGGCCTGGTGGTAACAAAATCTCTCAGCATTTGCTTGTCTGTAAAGTATTTTATTTCTCCTTCACTTATGAAGCTTAGTTTGGCTGGATATGAAATTCTGGGTTGAAAATTCTTTTCTTTAAGAATGTTGAATATTGGCCCCCACTCTCTTCTGGCTTGTAGGGTTTCTGCCGAGAGATCTGCTGTTAATCTGATGGGCTTCCCTTTGAGGGTAATCCGACCTTTCTCTCTGGCTGCCCTTAACATTTTTTCCTTCCTTTCAACTTTGGTGAATCTGACAATTATGTGTCTTGGAGTTGCTCTTCTCAAGGAGTATCTTTATGGCGTTCTCTGTATTTCCTGAATCTGAATGTTGGCCTGCCCTGCTAGATTGGGGAAGTTCTCCTGGATAATATCCTGCAGAGTGTTTTCGAACTTGGTTCCGTTCTCCCCGTCACTTTCAGGTACACAAATCAGACGTAGATTTGGTCTTTTCACATAGTCCCATATTTCTTGGAGGCTTTGCTCCTTTCTTTTTATTCTTTTTTCTCTAAACTTCCCTTCTCGCTTCATTTCATTCATTTCATCTTCCATCGCTGATACCCTTTCTTCCAGTTGATCGCATCGGCTCCTGAGGCTTCTGCATTCTTCACGTAGTTCTCGAGCCTTGGTTTTCAGCTCCATCAGCTCCTTTAAGCACTTCTCTGTATTGGTTATTCTAGTTATACATTCCTCTAAATTTTTTTCAAAGTTTTCAACTTCTTTGCCTTTGGTTTGAATGTCCTCCCATAGCTCGGAGTAATTTGATCGTCTGAAGCCTTCTTCTCTCAGCTCGTCAAAGTCATTCTCGGTCCAGCTTTGTTCCGCTGCTGGTGAGGAACTGTATTCCTTTGGAGGAGGAGAGGTGCTCTGCTTTTTAGAGTTTCCAGTTTTTCTGTTCTGTTTTTTCCCCATCTTTGTGGTTTTATCTACTTTTGGTCTTTGATGATGGTGATGTACAGATGGGTTTTTGGTGTGGATGTCCTTTCTGTTTGTTAGTTTTCCTTCTAACAGACAGGACCCTCACCTGCGGTTCTGTTGGAGTACCCGGCCGTGTGAGGTGTCAGTCTGCCCCTGCTGGGGGGTGCCTCCCAGTTAGGCTGCTCGGGGGTCAGGGGTCAGGGACCCACTTGAGGAGGCAGTCTGCCCGTTCTCAGATCTCCAGCTGCGTGCTGGGAGAACCACTGCTCTCTTCAAAGCTCAGATGGAAATGCAGAAATCACCCGTCTTCTGCGTCGCTCACGCTGGGAGGTGTAGACCGGAGCTGTTCCTATTCGGCCATCTTGGATCCTCTGTTATGCTTTCATTTGTTTGTGTCTTCTATGATTTATTTCAGCAGTGTTTTGTAGTTTTCCTTGCAGAGGTCTTTAACATCCTTGGTTAGGTATATTTCTAAGTTTTTGTTTGTTTGTTTGTTTTTTGGTGGCTATTGTAAAATGGGTTGCATTCTTAATTTGGTTCTCAGCTTGGTTGCTGTTGGTGTATGGCAGTGCTACTGATTTGTGTACATTTATTTTGTATCCTGAAATTTACTGAATTTATTTATCAAATCTAGGAGTCTTTGAGATGCATCTTTTGTGTTTTCCAGGTATGTGATCATCTCATCAGTGAATAGCGACAGTTTGACTTCCTCTTTACCTATTTGGATGCACTTGATTTCTCTCTCTTGTCTGACTGTTCTGGCTAGGACTTTAGTACTATTTTTAATAGAAGTGGTGAAAAGTGGGCATCCTTGTTTTGTTCCCGTTATCAGGGGGAATGCCTTCAACTTTTTCCTGTCCTGCATAATGTTGGTGGTGGGTATGTCCTAGATGGCTTTTATGACCACAAGGTGTGTCCCTTCAATGCCAATTGTTTTGAGGGTTTTAGTCATACAGGCATGCTGGATTTTGTCAAATGATTTTTCTGCATCTGTTGATATGATTATGTGAACTGTGTTTTTAGTTCTGTTTATGCAGTATATCACATGTATTGACTTGCATATGTTAAACCATCCCTGCATCCCTAATATAAAACCCACTTGATTATAGTGGATTATCTTTTTGATATGCTGTTGGATTCTGTTAGCTAGTATTTTGTTAAGAATTTTTGCATCTACTTTCATCAGGGATATCGGTCTGTAGTTTTATTTTTTGGTTATGTCCTTTCCTTGTTCTGGTATTAGGGTGATACTGGCTTCACAGAATAATTTAGGGAGGATTCCGTCTTTCTCTATCTTTTAGAATAGTGTCAAGAAGATTGGTATGAATTCTTCTTCGAATGTCTGATAGAATTCAGCTGTGAATCTAGCTGGTCCTAGACTTTTTTTGTTGTTGTTAGCAATCTTTTTATTGCCATTTCAATCTCACTGCTTCTTATTGGTCTATTCAGTGATTCTATTTCTTCCTGTTTTAATCTATGAGAGTTGTATATTTCCAGGAATTTATCCATCTCCTCTAGGTTTTCTAGTTTGTGTGTGTAAAGGTTTTCACAGTAGCCTTGAGTGTTCTTTTGTATTTCTGTGGAATTGGTTGTAATATCTCCCATTTCATTTCTAATTGAGATTATTTGGATCTTCTCTCTTCTTTTCTTGATTTATCTTGCTAATGGTCTATGAATTTTGCTTAGCTTTTTAAGGAACCAACTTTTTGTTTCATTTATCTTTTGTATTTTTTTTTGCTATTGTTGTTGTTTCAATTTCATTCAGTTCTGCTCTGATTTTTGTTATTTCTTTTCTTCTGCTGAATTTGGGTTTGGTTCTTTCCTGTTTCTCTGATTCCTTGAGATGTGACCTTAGATTGTCTGTTTGTGCTCTTTCAGACTTTTTGATATAGGCATTTAATGCTATGAACTTTCCTCTTAGTACTGCTTTCACTGCATTCCAGAAGTTTTGATAGGTTGTGTCACTATTATTGTTCAGCTCAAAGAATTTTTAAATTTCCATCTTGATTTCACTGTTGACTCCACAATCATTCAGGAGCAGATTATTTAATTTCCATGTATTTGCATCGTTTTGAGGCTTCCTTTTTGAGCTGATTTCCAATTTTCTTCCACTGTGATCTGAGATAGTACTTGATATAATAATTTTGATTTTCTTAAATTTACTGAGTCTTGTTTTGTTGCCTATCATATGGTTTATCTTGGAGAATGTTCCATGTGCTGATGAATGGAATATATACTCTGCAGTTGCTGGGTAGAATGTTCTATAAATAGCTTTCAAGTTAATTTATTCTAGGGTATAGTTTAAGTCCATTGTTTCTTTGTTGACTATCTGTCTTGATGACCTGTCTAGTGTTGTCAGTGGGGTATTGATGTCCCCCACTATTATTGTGTTGCCATCTGTCTCATTTCTTAGGCCTAGTAGTAATTGCTTTATAAATTTGGGAGCACCAGGGTTAGGTGCATATATATTTAGGACTGTGATAATTTCCTGTTGGACTAGTCCTTTTTCATTATATAATGTCCCTCTTTGTCTTTTTTAACAGTTGTTGCTTTAAAGTCTGTTTTGTCTAATATAAGAATAATTACTCCTGCTTTTGTTTATTTATTTAGAGATGGAGTCTGACTCTGTCACCCAGGCTAGAGTGCAGTGGCATGATCTCGGTTCACTGCAACATCTGCCTCCAGGGTTCAAGCAATTCTCATGTCTCAGCCTCCCAAGTAGGTGGGATTACAGATGCATGCCACCACACCCAGCTAATTTTTGTATTATTAGTAGAGATGGGGTTTCACCATATTGGCCAGGCTGGTCTTGAACTCCTGACATCAGGTGATCTGCCCTCCTCAGCCTCCCAAAGTGCCATGATTACAGGATGGACCATCATGCTCAGCCATCCTGCTTGCTTTTCGTTTCCATTTGCATGGAATATCTTTTCCCACTCCTTTACCTTAAGTTTACATGAGTCCTTATATGTTAGGTGAGTCTCTTGAAGACAGCAGATACTTGATTGGTGAATTCTTATCCATCCTGCCACTGTATAAGTGGAGCATTTAGGCTATTTACGTTCAATGTTAGTGTTGACATGTGAGGTACTATTCTATTCATTGTGCTAGTTGTTGCCTGAATATCTTGGTTTTTTTTTTTAATTGTGTTATTGTTTCATAGGCCCTGTGAGATTTATGCTTTAAGAAGGTTCTATTTTGGTGTATTTTGAGGTTTTCTTTCAAGGTTTAGAATTCCTTTTAGCATTTACTATAGTGATGGCTTGGTAGTGGTGAATTCTCTCAGCCTTTGTTTGTCTGTAAAAGACTACCTTCCCTTCATTTATGAGGCTTAGCTTCACTGGATAGAAAGTTCTTGGCTGATAATTGTTTTGCTTAAGGAGTCTAAAGGTAGAACCCCAGTCTCTTCTAGCTTGTGGGATTTCCGCTGACAAATCTGCTGTTAATCTGATAGATTTTCCTTTTTAGGTTACATGATGCTTTTGCCTCAGAGCTCTTAAGATTCTTTCCTTCATCTTGACTTTAGATAACCTGATGACTATGTGCCTAGATGATTATCTTTTTGTGATGAATTTCCAGGGTGTATTAGTCTGTTCTCATGCTGCTAATAAAGACATACCCGAGACTGGGTAATTTATAAATTTATAAAAAAGGTTTAATGGACTCAGTTTCACATGGCTGGGGAGGCCTAACAATCATGTCAGAAGATGAAGGAGGAGCAAAGGCACATCTTACATGGTGGAAGGCAAAGGAGCATGTGCAGGGGAACTTTATAAATCCACCAGATCTCTTGAGATTTATTCTCTATCACGAGAAGAGCACGGGAAAAACCCACCTGCATGATTCAATTACCCCTCACTGCGTCCCTCCCGTGACACATGGGGATTATGGAAGCTACAATTCAAGACGAGATTTTGGTAGGGACACAGCCAAAGCATATCACCAGGTGATCTTTGAGCTTCTTGTGTTTGGATGTCTAGATTTCTAGCAAAACTGGGAAAGTTTTCCTCAATTATTCCCTCAAATAAGTTTTCCAAACTTTTTTAGATTTCTCTTCTTCCTCTGGAACACCAATTATTCTTAGGTTTGGTTGATTAACATAATCCCAAGCTCCTTAGAGGATTTATTCACTTTTTAAAATTCTTTTTTCTTTGCTTTGTCTAATTGGGTTAAGCTGGAAGTCTTGTCTTCAAGTTCTGAAATTCTTTCTTCTACTTGCTCAATTCTATTGTGGAAACTTTCCAGTATATTTTGCATTTCTCTAAGTGTGTCTTTCATTTCCAGAAGTTGTGATTATTTTTTATTTGTGATTTTTTTTCTCTGGAGATCTTTTCATCCATATCCTGTATTATTTTTTGTTTCTTTACATTGGTTTTCACCTTTCCCTGGTGCCTCCTTGAGTAGCTTAATAATCGACCTTCTGAATTCTTTTTCTGGCAATTCAGAGATTTCTTCTTGGTTTGGATTCATTGCTGATGAGTTAGTGTGATCTTTTGGGGGTGACAGAGAACCTTTTTTTGTCATATTATCAGAATTGTTTTTCTGGTAATTTCTCATTCGGGTAGACGGTGTCAGAGGAAAGATTTGGGACTTGCTGTTCAGATTCTTTTGTCCCATGGGTTGCTCCCTTGATATGGTGTGCTCCCTCTTCCCCTAAAGATAGAGCTTCTTGAGAGCTGGACTGCAGTGATTGTTATTGTTCTTCTGGGTCTAGCCACCCAGCAGATCTACTGGGCTCCAGGCTGGTACTGGAGAGTACCTGCAGAGTCCTGTGATGTGATCCAACTTCAGGTCTCTCAATTGTGGATACGAGCATCTGCTCCAGTGGAATTAGCAGGGGAGTGAAGTGGACTCTGTGAGGGTCCTTGGTTGTAGTTTTAGTTAGTGTGCTGGCTTTCTCAAATACTGGTTGTGCTAGCAGTGAAGTTGTCAAGCGGACTGACTCAGGACCTCTGATTATCCAGAATGTTGCAGGTGTTGAAATTAGCTGTTGTTTTCTCCTTTTTTGGAGCAGGATTTTTCTTTTATGAATTGCTGTAATGGCTTGAGTTGTTTGGCCATCAATGAAGACTGCACTTTCAAGAGAGCATCAGCTGCAGTAGTATACCGGTGGCTACAAGCTTGCCCTAAGGTCATTTGGATAAGTATTTGGGTTTCCTAGGCAGTGAGTGGGGCCATAGAGCTCCCAGGGGATTATATCTTTTGGGCAGTTAGAGAAAGACCATGGGGTGGGGGGCAGGGTTGGGCGTGTCTGAACTCAGACTCTTCTTGGGCGGGGCTTGCTGCAGCCCCTGTGGGGGATGGGGGTGCGGTTCTCAGGCCAATGGACTTCTGTTCTCAGGAGGATTATGGCTGCCTCTGCTGTGTTATACAGGTCTCCAGGGAAGTGGGGGAAAGCCAGCAGTGACAGGCTTCACTCAGCTCCCACACAGCTAGCAAAGGCAGTCTCGCTCCTACCATGCCCCACCAACAACACCAAATTTATATCAAGGCAGCCAGTAAGCAGGGCTGAGATCTTGCCCCAGGCAACAAGCCTTGTGATTGTGAAAGCAAACAGGGGTTTCAGGCTTTGTCCCTCCTCACTTTGTGTAGCTTCTGTGCTGGTATCTGCAATTCCTATTTGTCCCTACCACCAGATTCTGCCCTGGATAATTTGCACTTGATCAAAATTATTACAAAGTTTGGCTGGAAGTTTCCTTCTCCCTGTAATCTTTCCCCCATTTTACTGGCAGCCCTCCCCAGGACCCCTGTGAAATAAAGTTAGAAATAGCTTCCCTGGGGTCTGGCAGTGCCTACAGGGCTCTTCCCCTTGGTTCTTCTACCTTTATATTTTGCTTGGTTCTCTAAATTCACTTCAGCTCTTGGTAAGGTTAAATCCTTATCCCATGATTTGGATTTCAGGTTCTGTAGTGAGGATGTGTGTTCAGGGTGGACTTTACCCCTCTCACACTTTGGGCACTCACAGTTTTTCACCTGTTTCATTGAGTTTGCAATGGCAAACCACTTCTTTCAAAGGGTCTGTGAATTCTTTTGGTTTCCCTGTTACGTTCCTGTGGTAGTTCTTGGAGCAAAAGTTCATGATGCCAGTCTCCACACGCTGTTCTGTCCATCCAAGTGGGAGCTACAAGTTAGTTCAAGTCGACATTAATATTTTGGAAGACTGTTGATCAACTATTTTTTTTTTTTTTTTGAAATAGAGTCTTGCTCTGTTGCCCAGGCTGGCGTGCAGTGGCACGATCTCGGCTCACTGCAAGCTCCGCCTCCCGGGTTCGCACCATTCTCCTGCCTCAGCCTCCCAAGTAGCTGGGACTACAGGTGCCCACCACTGCGCCCAGCTAATTTTTTGTATTTTTAGTAGAGACAGGGTTTCACCATGTTAGTCAGGATGGTCTCGATCTCCTGACCTCGTGATCTGCCCACCTCAGCCCCTCAAAGTGCTGGGATTACAGGCGTGTGCCACAGTGCCTGGCCAGATCAGCTATTTTTTAAATTTTTGTAAAAATCTCATAATATAAAATTTACCATTTAAAAGTGTACAGTTCAGTAGTGTTAAGAATATTCACATTATAATGCAACTCATCTCTAGAAATTTTTCATCTTGTAAACAGACTCTGTATACCCATAAACCACTAATTTCCCCTCTCTCTAGCTCCTGGAAACCACTGTTTTACTTTCTGTTTCTATGATTTTGATTATAGTAGGTACTTTATATGCATGGAATCATATAGTGTTTGTCTTTTTGTGAGTGGCTTATCTCGCTTCCTATAATGTCCTCAAGGTTTATCCATGTTGTATAGTATGTGATAGGATTTCTTTCTTTTTCAAGGAGGCATAATTTTCCATTATAGGTATACCCCAAATTTTCTTTCTTTTCCTTCCTCCCTCCCTCCCTTCTTTCCTTCCTTCCTACCTTCCTTCCTTCCTTCTTTCCTTCCTTCTTTCCTTCCTTCTTTCCTTCCTTCCTTCCTTCCTTCCTTCCTTCCTTCCTTCCTTCCCTCCTTCCTTCCTTTTCTTTCTTTTTCTTTCTTTGTGATAGGGATACAGGCTGGAATGCAGTAGCAAGAACACAGCTCACGGTAGCCTCGACCTTCTGGCCTTAAGTGATCCTCCTACTTCAGTGTCCTGAGTAGCTGGGACCACAGGCATGTGCCACTATGCTCGGCTAATTTGTATTTTTTCTTTTGTAGAGACAAGGTCTCACTGTGTTGCCCAGGCTGGTCTCAGACCCTTGGGCTCAAGTGATCTTCTTGCCTCAGCCTACTAAAGTGTGGAATTACAGATGTGAGCCACCATGTCCAGCCATACCACATTTTCTTTATCCATTCATTTATTATCAATGGACATTTGACTGCTTCTATCTCTTGCCTATTGTGAACAATGCTGCAATGAACATGGGTGTGCAAATATTTCTTTGAGATCCTGCTTTGAATTCTTTTGGCAATATATCTAGAAATGGAGTTCCTGGATTATATAGTAGTTCTATTTTTAATTGTTTCAAGAACCTCCATACTGTTTTCCAGAATGGCCACACTAATCAACATTCCCACCAACAGTGCACAAGCATTCCCTTTTCTCCATATCCTCCTTAACACTTGTTATTTTTTGTTCTTTTGATAGCGGGCATCCTAATGAAGGTGAGGTGATATCTTATTGTGGCATTGACTTGCATTTCTCTTATGATTTATATGATATTGAGCATATTTTCATATGCTTGTTGGCAATTTGTATATCTTTGCAAAATTGCCTATTCAAAATAAAGTCGTATGCCCATTTTTTAATCGGGTTGTTTTCTGTTGTCATGTTGTTTTCTGTTGTCAAGTTGTAGAAATTCCATATATATTGTGGATATTAACCTCTTATCAGCAATATAATTTGCAGATATCTTCTGACATTCTGCATGTTGAATTTTCACTCTTTTGATTGTTTCTTTTGATGTACAAAAATTTTCAAGTTTGATGTAGTCTCATATTTCTGTTTTTGAATTTTTGCTTGTGCTTTTGGTATCATATCCAAGAAATCATTGCCAAATCAAATGTCCTGAAGTTTTTCTCTATGTTTTCTTCTAGAAGTTTTATAGTTTCAGTCTTTAATCCATTTGGAGTTGATTTTTTGCATATGGTCTAAGGTAATGGTCCAAATCCATTCTTTTGCATATGAATATCAAGTTTTCTCAACACCATTTGTTGAAAAGACTGCTGTTTCCTCATTGTGTAGCCTTGGCATCCTTGTCAAAGATTATTTGACCAAAAACATAGCATTTACTTCTGGCCTCTCTCTTCTGTTCCATTGTTCTATACATGGATCATTTTGCCAGAACTACACCATCTTAATTACTGTTGCTTTGCAGTATGCTTTGAAATCAGTAAGTGTGTGGTTTCCCATTTTACTCCTTTTCAAGATCGTTTTGACTATTCAGTAGATATGGATTTTGTAGGCTGTCCTTCTGTTCAGGATTGTTTGATATCTTCTCATGATTAGATTCTAGTTATGCACTTTCAGGAGAAATGACAGAGAAGTGATGTTGGCTTCTTGTCAGTGCATCACATGCTGTCAGTTAGTTCATTTCTGATGGTGTTAAGTTTGATCATTTGATTAAGGCAGTGTCTGCCAGGTTTTAGGAGTCATCATTTCTCAATATATTTTCTTTTTCCATTCTTATCCAATCATGACTTCTTCTTGTGGATTTTATTAGCTAAATATTTCTCAAATCCATCTGCTTTTCTTCTGTGTCTTTGATCTAGTCTTGCTGACCTTTCACTGCCCCAAACATGCTGTTCTCTTGTTGGGAACACTTTCTCACCCTCTTGGTTTTCTGACTCTTACTCTTTTTTCCAATCTCAGCTCAAACATCACCTCCTCCAGGAGGCCTCCTCTGACCTTTTAGAAAAACCCAAGTCCCTTGTTTCACCTTCTCGCAGCACTGCGTATCTTTCATTCCTGGGACTAACTACTGTGGTAAATTTGGATTTTTTTGTGTGATTTTTGGATCAACATCTACCACCTCAGTAAAGGGCAAGCTGTATGGGAGCAAAAATTATTGTCTGCATTTGTGCTAACCCAAAGTTTTCAGCTCAAAGCATTCATAAATAATTGTCTAAAAATAGTACTAATAATAACAGCATGAATTATGAGTGCTTACTATTTGCTGGTAACTCTCCTAAGTTCTTATTATCTTTGTATTACCTCAGAAAAGCAAGTATGAATGAAATATAGTTTATGAAAACAATTTTTTTTATGTCATTGAATTTTCCATTTGTGCAATCTTTTGCAAATTATTTAATTGCATATTTGCTTTTGGTAATTTATTGCCTAAAATATATTATTAACTGCAATAAGGAATCTACTATAAAAAATAGATGTATCTTTACAAAGAAGACCTTATAAGTAGTAGCCAATAACTCTTTTAAAAAATCTTTGTGTCAAGACACATTCTTTCTGCATTTGTAAGCTTACTAAACTCAAATTGCATGAATAACTCATTTTACAGAGTGATCTGGCACTGTTAGAAAAAAAGTACACAAACAGAATTGTATAAATTCACAATTAAAGCACACCAGGCTCCATAGCTTTAAATGAATGGAGTTGGAGAAAGAAAAAACCATTACCATTTGACACCATGGTTCAAATGTCATTTTTTTCTTTCAAAAATGACCTACCGGTAGTTATTGGCCAAACCCTCTTTTGAAGTCTTTGACTCCCATCACCAGTAGCAGACATACTCTGGTTTTAACTGTTTTGACTATGGTTTTGTCTTCTAAAGGTCAATAGGAGAATTTTTGCTTTGGACAAGCTTTAAAAAGATCAGCAGACTAGATTTGCTTCATCTGCCTTTTAATTACTAATTGTATACATATAAGTTTGAGATCTTCAAGAGCATCCACAGTGGCTCCCAGAAGAAGGGCATGTCGTTTTCCTACTTTAGAATTTGTTTGCAGTAGTTGTCACTAAACTGCAATTTAATTAATGGTGTGTTTTGCCTGGGTTGAGGGAGTAAGGAGTTAATTTTTTAGTATAAGTTGTGATATGAGGATGAACAGTTAAAATTTGCTCAAATACCTATAACTCACATATCTATCTGTATCATATCATGTATCAATGAATCAATCAATCAATTAAGAGGTATTGTAAAGTTCAAATGTCTAAACATCAGGGTATTTATAAGATCCTGTTGATAGAATTTTTTCATTACTAGAAAAAAAGAAGGCAATCCACTTTTTAGAGACACAGAGTATAGTTTGGCTGTCTACATAAACTAAGAGCTGCCTGAATTTGGATAGTCTCAAAATAAGGCATGATTTTGGAATTTGATTTAACCTCCTCATCCTCCTTAAAAAAAAGGATGAGAAGACCTTGGAAATACTAGGCACAGCCCCAAGCTCTGGGAACCAAACTTTCCTTTAGGATGTGTGTATAAACTAGCTTATGACATGAAGGGGAAAATATTCTTTTATTTATAAACCCCACTGCATAAAATTGTATAATTAGCCAGACCATGAAGGAGAATGCTGAAGTGCAGTTATTTGGTTCAAAATAGAAGTAGTGCTGTAGCTCAGTTCCTGAGAGTAGTAAACTATCTAAGAAGATTCTCTATAGTATACAAAAGATAACTTTAAAAAAAAGAAGCATAGTGTGCTATATGTTTGAATTACAGAGTTAAGAAAAAGTTGAAACCTTATTTTTTTCTCATCATAAAAGTAGAGTGGTAAATATGTTACACAAAATACAGAGAAGAAAAAACCCACATACGTATCTGTCATATATTTTTCCAGTTCTTTTACATACCACACACTCATACCCCTTCTTTTAATAAACAAAGTGAGATCCAACTGCATGCTTGAAATTGCTTTAGTTATTTAACATTATGTCACTAATTTCTTTCCACAATTTAAGTATTCAGCTACAAGATTTGTCTTAAAACTAATTTTTAAAAGCAGTATAAACCTCTTACCCATTATGTAGTCAGATTTTGCATCATATTTTGAAAAATGCATAAGTGTTCTGATTCTATTGTGGCAGCACTATAGCTCCACGGCACTCATGCAAGTTCCTACAGCACATTCCCCACATCATTTCAAATGGCTGCAGATCCTACAATATTCCAACATCACAATTTATCTAACAGCTGGTGTGGGAGTCCACACCTGTAATCCCAGGTACTCAGGAGGCTGAAGCAGGAGGATCACCTGAGTCCAGAAGTTCTAGGCTGTGGTGCACTATACCAATCAGGTGTCCGCACTAAAATTGACATCAACATGGCATCCTCCCAGGAGCAGGGGACCACAGGATTGCCTAAAGAAGGGTGAACCAGCCCAGGTCAACAATGGAGCACATCGAAACTCTTGTGCTGGTCAGTATTGGGATTGCTCCTGTGAAAATCCACCGCACTCCATCTTGAGCAACATAGTGAGACCACCGTCTCTGGAAAAAAAAAATTACTTACCATATCCACTGTTGTTGAGAATCATGTTGTGTGAATATTTTCTTATCATGTACAGCACTGCAAATAATATCTTTGCAGGCCAATTTGAGAACACATCTATGATTGCTTCTTTGGGGTAATTTCCTGAAAGTGAATTCTTGGATGAAACGTTATATATTTTTAAAAAGTTTTAAATATGAATTGCCAAATTGTCCCCCAGAATGGACTTACTAAAAATCATTATACTGTCCCAAACATAATGTTGGAGAGCTCAGTTTTGCCAGAACATTGTCAAAACTTCACTAGAGCTACAAAAAGGAATGAGGTGCTGATACATGGTACAACACGGACAAACATCGAAAACACCAGGCTTGGTGAAAGAAGTTAGTCACAAAAGACCATCTGTTGTATGATTTCATTTATATGAAATGTCCAAAATAGTTAAATTTATAGAGACAGTAGATTAGTGGTTACCAGGGGCAGTGTGGCGGGTGGCGGGGGGGAATGGAAAGTGACTGCTAATGGAAATGGGGTTTCTTTTGGGGAATACAAACATATTTTAAAATTAGATAGTGGTGAGGGTTGCACAATAACAGATATTTAATATATCTGTTAATATATTAAACCACTTTTATATCAACAAAGCTGTTACAAAAGCACTTTATTGGAAAACTTGACCACTGAAAGGAAAATTAGTAGCTATAGTAATTTGCCTTTAATTAATAGTGATACTGCACTTTTCTTGTTCCATATGTATTGGTCATTTCTGTTTCCTTAATGAGGTATACTTGTCTTTCTCTCACTCTTTTGAAGAATATTCATCCATTTCTTAATGATTTGTATATTTCCTTATCAAAGGATAATGATACCTCTTAATATGTGTCTTTCTACACACAAAGGCAAAAAAAAATCTTTAAAAACTACTTCCAATATTTTAATTCAATATTCTAGGCAACATAAGAACTTTTTATGCCAGTAAGAAGCTAGAACAGAATCTTAATACCTTAATTTAATTGTAGAATACCAATAATTATGATAATTCTCTGGAGAATAAGAAGCAGAGGATACTGACTCTAGCTAAATTAGTTGCAATGTTACAGGCAGTCGTAGCCTGCAGCTGCTGGCATTTGTTCAACCCCTAGATTAAATAACATGTTAAGTGTAGCTCTGAAAGGAATTCAACCTGGCAAGTGCCCTAACAATATATGTTAGTTTATAGCACACTTTTAAAAATTAGAAAATGCAGAACACAATTGGTGACACTGAACAAATGATGTGCCACTGGTTATTTTATGATGTATTGACATGTAATTCAAGAGTTTAGGGTAAATTAATCAAGGACTAAGATTCATGATTGTTTCTGTTACTGGGTAAAACATTCACTGGATAGAGTGAAAAACAAAAAAAGTAGCATTTTTTCAAAATACTATTTTGACATACAGAAATCCAAATTTTATATCAATTTGTTGATGCTACAACCCCATTGATTGCAGGAAACACCACTAATGCTTGAGGAAAAAAGTCAGCACTTCCACATTAAATGTATGCATCAATTATAAAATTTATCACAATTTTAGAATGCTAAACAGTGAAAAGTATGTCTTAGTATTGTGGTTATATGGTAATTTGATATCGTTTAATTTCAAGGGAACTGTGAGCATCCAACTACTGGGAGACTTCGGTTCCCTAAACAAACTTTAGATTCTTTCATCTCTTAGTGTATAAAAGTTTATTTTTAGTAGTGGAGCCCAGAAAATGGTTCATCACATAAAAATATTGGTTATAACTGAGGAAAGAGCCCAACCATAAGGATCAGATTATAATCTATATTGTGACATTAATTGGGAACTTCATTATCTGGCCAAACCAATGACTCCAAATTCAATCCAAGAGCTAATTAAACATAAGTTACTGCTTGCAAATCACTGGGGGAAGGGTTTCTGAGATGTAAAGCTGAACAATATCTTATTCATTGTTTCGCCCCAGAGGAGCTTGATGAAATTGTTTTTTCTTTTAGTTTGCGAGGCTGGGGCCAGCTGGGGAGATTAGAGAAGAATGGGAGAGACTAGGGGGACTTAATTTCCACTCATTTTGACAGGTGAGAAGAGAGGTAATCTCTTGATAGCATAATTAAAATTAGAGATTTAGTGTACAACATGACAACGATAATTATAACATTATATTGTACACTGGAAACCTTCTAAGAGAGTAGTAGATTTTGGGTGCTCTTTCCACACTCACAAAAAGAGTAACTATGCGAGATGATGGTCATATAAATTTGCTTCACTGTAGTAACAATTTCACTACGTATATAGAAAAATCATGTTGTATACCTTAAATATATACAATAAAAAATAAAGGTGAATCAAGCAGAGAGACAAACAGTAGGGAGGTTTGGGACTAAAGAAAGAGTACAGGGGAGGAAGGAGGCAAGACAGGAAGTCAAAGAAAACAGAAGAGCAAATGCTGCAGTTAGGAGAAGCTGGGGAGGGGGCCGTGTGCGGACCTCTAGGTCAGAGCAGTCCAGCGATCTCTGATTCACATGAGAGCAGAGCCGCCTTGGCAGTGGGAAAATGGATGATGCACTGCAGCATAAACAAACAAGCTTCTCAAAGAATGGGTCACATGTCAAGAGAACTGAAAAACAAGAGCGGGCAGGCTCTGAAGCAAGTCCTGTGAAGAATTTTCTAATGAAGAGAGAGGCTACTTCCTGGAAAGCCGTCAGGGTTGTATAGAAAGTTTGTAAGTAAACAAATTTTTCAGGCTCAGCTGAAAACGTGTTTATGTAACACCTCTCATCTAAGGTCCGAGGAATGTTTCACTGACGTTTACATTTCTAGCTTGCTCTTTTTCCATGAGACAGGAATAAAATAGAAATGTGTTTGTGATCTGTTCCTTGTCCTGCAACTCCTATGAATTTATTTCCCTGAAGAGAGAGGTAATCTGGACTCAAGGGTTATGTTAACAATAGAGAGAATGGAATTTTAGATTCTTTGTAATCCCCAGTTCCAGAAGATGTTAGGCCATGACCAGGTTGGATGACTTTTAGCTAGTAGCACATCTAAGATGGGGAGAACAACCCTGTGTATGGGGACTCCATGAGGTTAAGGTTATGCTGAAGGTTAGTGACATCGTGCCCTACACTGCACTTTGCATTTCTCAAATGTGGTTTAGAGTGTTCTTGCACAATTACTGCATAGTTTTAGTTTCTTACAGAACTAAAATAAATATGAAATAAAATGAGGCATGTATTTCTAAGATCAAAATTTGATCCATTCTTTCTGGACACAATTTATCCAAGATTTCTCACATTTCCTCTACCTGTTGGTTTGCTTTTTATTTTTCACTCTTCTTGTTACTTCTCAGAAACAAATCTTACAATTAATAAGGGAGTTTTAACAAATTTCTTAGCAATTGGGATGTGAAAATAAACAATAAATAGTTAATAATATGTATGAGTCTGGGAAAATATACACAAAGTTTTTTTTTTTCTGCTTATGTACAACTCTTAACTGTGACTGTTTACTTCTAATATCATAAACACCATAAAGAGGAAGTACTGAGATTATCAGAATACTACCTTGATGGAAGAATACATTTGCAACTTTTTTTCTTTTTTGAGACGGAGTCTCTCTCTGTCGCCAGGCTGGAGTGCAGTGGTGCGATCTCAGCTCACTGCAACCTCCACCTCCTGGGTTCAAGCGATTCTCCTGCCTCAGCCTCCCGAGTTGCTGGGACTATAGGTGCCCACCACCATGCCCAGCTAATTTTTGTATTTTTAGTAGGGACGGGGTTTCACCATGTAGGCCGTGATGGTCTCCATCTCCTGACCTCATAATCTGCCTGTCTCGGCCTCCCAAAGTGCTGGGATTACGGGCGTGAACCACTGTGCCCGGCCATTTGTGACTTTTTTTTATTAGCAAAACATCCTTCCTATGGAGGGCTTAATCTCATATAGGAGAAACTTCCCATGTTAAAACACATTCTTGAGCTATCAGGACATCTGAAAACAACAGATGGTGCCAGAACAGTGGGAGCGAACAGATGGGATAAAGCAGAGGGAGAGGAGGAGTAGGAAAGCACAAACATGAGAAACTCAGCTGGCAGCCGGCGAGCAGAGAGGTCCAAGTGCATGCCCGCAGGAGGCAATGAGGACGTGGAACCTGATGGGATTTCAGAGACAATTCCGTTCAAACCCTGACTTTTTTTTGTGAGGAAACTGCAGGCCAAAGAGTTAAGAGATTTGACCAAATCACGGAGCAGAGCTTGCTCTGTGTTTCAGCGTTCAGTCTTCTAATTCCCAGTCCTGCAATTGTTCTCATGCATCATGTGGGTCTCTGCTGATCTAAACTTGTAACAGGACCCCTTCCCTATTCTAGCATTAAATAACAATCCTGAACTACACTCTTTTCTTTTTCTGAAACAATTGAGAAGGAACACATGTCTAGAAAACCTATAAATGACAAAATCCCAAATATGGAAGATGGGTATCCTATACAGCTTCATCTCCCTTCTTTATTTCTCTTGTGCCTGATGCTTCAGCCCTTAGCTCATTGTTTATCTCATTTTGTTTCTTCATTAGAAGGAAGCATTGCACTGTGATTCAGTGTGTGGACTTTCATTACCTGGGTTTGAATCCTGGACCCTAGAAATTACATATGTGACCTTGAGTGTGTTACTTAATACCTTTGTGTCTCAATTTCTCCATCTGCAAAACTAAAATAGTACTGACCTCCTGTTCTAGTCAGTCAGTTTCTATAAGAGTACCACAGACAGGGTGGCTTATAAGCAACAGAATTTTATTCCTCACAGTTTGGGAGGCTGGAAGTCTGAGATCAGGGTGCCAGTGTGGAGGGCCCTTTCTGGTTTGCAGACTGCCATCTACAGAAAGAACAAAAGAGCACTCTGGAGTCTCTTTTATAAGGGCACTAATCCCATTCATGAAGGCACCACCCTTATGATTTAATTACCTCCCAAAGGCCCCATCTCCTAATACAATTATACTGGGGGTCAGTATTTCAATGTACAAATTTCAGAGGGACATAAACATTCAGTACATTGCATTTCTCCTGGTGGCTGAGAGGATTAAAAGGTTTTAACTCAAGGAAAATGCTTACAGCAGGGCTGATATTCGGAATGCTCAAAATGTAGTCATGGTTATTATTCTTATGTGAACCCAAACCCTTGAAATACTCTTGCCTCTGCCACAAAAGGCCAATTCACCATTCATATCCTAGCTCCTCTGGAAGTTTTTCCAGACCCCAACGGGACGACTTGAATAACTTCTTTATGCTCCCTTGAACATACACTTTTGTCCATAAGAGCTGTTATACATAGTAGTATAATAGAAAAAATACAAGAAACTTATTATTTAAAACCTAAAATGTTTTAGAGCCACTTCTGCTTAAGGACTTTTTTTTTTTTTTTTTTTTTGGTGGAGTTTTGCTCTTGTTGCCCAGGCTGGAGTGCAATGGTACGATCTCGCCTCACCACAACCTCCGCCTCCTGGGTTTAAGCGATTCTCCTGCCTCAGCCTCCCGAGTAGCTGGGATTACAGGCATGCGCCACCATGCCCGGCTAATTTTGTACTTTTAGTAGAGACAAGGTTTCTCCACGTTGGTCAGGCTGGTCTCGAACTCCCAACCTCAGGTGACCCACCCGTCTCAGCCTCCCAAAGTTCCGGGATTACAGGCATGAGCTACCATGCCCGGCCTGCTTAAGGACTTTTACTAAGTTTACTAGATCAAATGAGTAAATAAATATCCATGCTATTTTTCTCTTGTAAAGAAGCTTAGGACAAAAATGTTAAGACCTTCAGCAGATTTTCTGGACTGTTAAAGGGCAGAGGTCCATAGTTCAGCAGGGCTCTTAATTACAGGGTCCCTGGATTTGCAAAGGTAGACCCTGAGACAGGAGATAGTGGTTGTGGTGGCAGGGAGGGGTTAGAGAGTCACATTGCTTTGCTTTTGGTGGCCAAATTGAGTATGAGGGGAGGAGCCTGTCTGCAAGAGTCCAGGATAAGGGAGAAATCAACGACTTTTAAGATGAGTGGGATCTGAGCAGTATTATGACATAAAATACAAACCTAGTGATGTCAGCTATAGATATAAACACCATGTATTAATGATGTGTGCTTGTGAATGAAGGAAAAGGTCTCAGTTCTATGGCTGGATTGGTGCTGTTGAATGCTGGGTCCCCACATATCACTAACACAACCTTTTAATAAGACATGATGTATCACTTACCTCGGTGAGGGAGCCCACCACCTCAATAGAACTTTGGTACTATCTTGGAGTGGGGAAAGCCAGATCAGAATTAATTGAGAGTTGAAAGTTTGGTTCAGTGTGAGGTATGCACAGGACAATGAAAATATCTATAAATTGAACTAATTCAACCTAAGTGGGACCTCAGGGCTAGAAGTTACTAGGAAACACGTAAGCCACCCTCAGAACTCTGGAAGGACTGGAAGAAACATAGGGTTGAGCATATGGTATGGAATTTAAGTCATTTAATCTTCAGCCGTCAGCAATAAGTCTTTCACTTTGCCACTGGCAAAGGTCAACAATGACTCGGCAATTTTTACCCCCACTGGGCTCTTTTCAGGGGTCCTCTGATTGCTACCCTTATTGCTGTTGCTCTGGCAGTCTTAGGAGACCCTCCACTCTCACCTGAATTCCTGATGCAGTTGTTACTTGGTGACCCTTGGCCCTTACTTTTCTCTCCAGCCTCCTCAGTTGGTGAGCTCTGTTCCTTGACATTGTGTTTCAGCTGCAAAGAACACCTCCAGACCCTCTGCTTGGAAAGTGCCCTTCTAGACCTTCCTCATGCCTGGCTGATGACACTGAGCAGTCAGCACTCTGCTTGGGTGTTCCTTCTCTGACACCTTTCCTGACACATGCAAGTGAAATCAGGGTGATACTGAAAATAGTAAATACAACAACTAGTACAGCATAGGCATTAGCCGATCAGAACACACACGAGGATGAAGCAACCTGATGTTCAATGTAACACGTTAGTTCTGAGTAGATTTGACCATCCTTGAGTGATGTGGCCACTGGTGCCAGCACACAATTTCTTGCACTTGCCTGTACCCAAGACCATCTTTCTCTGAGAGTGTAAGCCTCATGAGAGCATGGACCATATTTATTCATCTCTTTATCTCTAAAATGTAGACATAATATAGGCATACCGTTTCTTAACACTTATTAATATTAAATGTAAGAAATCTCAGAAAGAGCTGTTAGCAGGCTTGGCAGAAATAAAAATAGAGGAGGATATTTAAACATTTTACCAGCTAAGGAAACTGAGTATGACAGAGGTTAAGTAATTTGCCTATATTCCCACAGCTAGTATGTAGATTCAGAACCCAGAGTGCTTATCTCACTTTTGGGTCTTGGAGTCTCCATCCACTCTTGCATTGGGTGGAGTTAAGGGAGTGTGGCTGGGAGGAGTATGGGTTGCCACTGTCTCCTGTCCCCAACACACCGTGGCATTTTGACTAAATAATCTGGATCCTTCACTTACAGGTTCAGCCCACTCATTTCATCCTTTGTTCATTGTTCTTTCATTCCTTTGTCCATTGTTCTTTCATTCCTTCATCCCTCCTATCTTTTCTTTTTTCAATTCTTAACTGTTGTTTGAAACAAATTTACATAAAATAATGCTTGGAGATATGTTAAAGAAAAAAGTGAATGTAGGAATTCAAACAAATACTTAGGCACCAGTGTTCATAGCATTATTCACAGTAGCTAAAAGCTGGAAATAACCCAAATGTGTATCAACAGATGAATAAACAAAATGTATACATTCAATGGAATGTTATTCAGCCATAAAAGGCATGAAATTCTGATGTATACTACAATATGGATGATCCCCGAAAACATTATGCTAAGAGAAAGAAACCAAACACAAAGGGACAAATACTGTATAATTCCACTTACATGAGGTGCCTAGAATAGGCAAATTCACAGAGACAGAAGTAAATAGACGTTACCAAGAACTGGGGAAAGGCAGGTGTGGAGAGTTATTTAATGGGTGCAGTATAGAGCTTCTGTTTAGTTTGATGAAAAAGTTCTGGAAACAGATAGTGGTGATGATTGCATAGGAATATGAATGTATTTCACACCACTGAATCGTACTTAAAATGGTAAATTCTATGTTGTGTATATTTGGCCACAATTAAAATATAGTACTATAAGGCATATAATAAAACTAGCAGCCTCCCTGCAAACATCTTCTAGTTTCACTCTCTAGAGGTAACTAATTTTTGTTCTGTTTCCTTCTGGTATTCATCTTTGTATTTCTAAGTATTTTTATTTCGAATTCTTGATCACTCTTTGACAATATCTAATTATTTTCTGTTACTAAAAACAAGCACTTGGCTCCTCCTCTCCCCATTTCTGAGCCCCGTCCTCTCAATATTGTTTCTCTGTGTTTCTTTTTTCCGGTGTGATTTGGCCATTCTTCTTATGTTGGAACTTAAATTCTGCTGTTCAAGGACCAGTGTCACATGTTCTTGAGGTGACAGTCAGCCCCAGGTGCCCACTAAGTGGATGTGGCCCAGGCTACTTTGTTTTCTACTGGGTACATTTGTCCCTGGTTGGAATGCAACACTGCCCTAAATATCAACACACTTATCCGGGGCCCTGGCAGAATGCCAAGCTCAGAGAAATTCTCCGTCTTTCATAGCTAGACTCTAATGTGTGTATTTCCAACTGCTGGTTCTGGCTGGAGTCCTGCTTCCAACAGACTGATCTCTGAAACTCTCATGCTGCAGCCATGTGACTTCAATTGGTCTCACTACCTCGCCTGCTGCTGCAGTCTCCTCCCTGGAATGAGTCCTCACGGATATGGACAGTAGATAGAATCAAGGACAAGTTCACCATGTCTCTTTGTACTCTGTAATTAGGTTTATTGCTTTTCCAGCCTTCACTTCCCTAGTGCTTTCTGCCTTTCCTTTGGACTATGACACTGAAGTTCCAAAATAGCTCATCGCCAAGCCTTCCAATGTTTATGACAGAGAAACCTTTGGAACCAAGCCAAAATAAAGCAAAACAAAACAAAACAAAACTCCATCTTTTTCCAGAGATCCAAAGGGCAAAACTGAGAACTTGGATGAGGCTTGGGAGAGAAAATCATACATTCTCAAGAAAACACCGTGCCCTGAAGGTTAGGCTCTTGGAGGAAGTAGTTGACCAGAGCAGGACAAAATTATGTGCTAGCTAGAAGAAAAAGTGGGCAAAAATTCTGGATTTGAATCCTTGTCCTAAACTCTTTGGACTTCAGTTTTTTCCTCTGTAAAATAGTGATAATAATAACGTCCACTATACTTTTCTCACAGGGTTACTATAAAGAGCAAATGAAATAATATATGTGAAAGTATAGTAGCAGATGTGAATCTCAGTCCCAAATGTCAGGGGGCAAAGAAATACAACTTCATTTATTCATTGCAAGCTCCATTCTCTCCAATAGCAAAAACTTAATCTTAGTCACTTTAGAGTTCTTCTTCCTCCATTCCTTTGGTTGTACCTGAGTTCTTTGGAACTTATGTAATGAAATGCTTTCGGTATCTGGCTTGTTTGGTTCACTTCACAAATATCTGAAGACCTATTATGTGCAAGGCACTTAAACAAAAGATTTGCTCTTTTTCACAAGGAAGTATAGAATCCAGAGCTTTGCTCCTCTTTTTTGACTATACCTTAAATCCTTTAAGGCTCATCAAGACATCCAATTTCCTCTTGTAGAAAATTTCCCATGTTTTATCTTGCAGGCTATGCACTTCATAAGTATTTACTTCATACATAAAATGGGATGTGAATGGGGATTCAGACTTGTTCACTTCCTACTTTTATCGCTCATATGTGGTCAATCTGTTTGAGACCCATTTTATTTTTTAATGATCATTATGCCCCTTATGCATCTCAACAGAGGTGCAATCTTTTGGTATATATGGGAGAATTTCACAAATATATTTGTGATTTGTTAAGGCTGCCGTTATAAAGAAAGGAATATACATTAACAAATAAAGTTATACAGAAGCACGATTTCCAGGCAGTGCTCAAATTTTAGCAGTTTCCTATGGCTAGCAAGGGGCTTGTGTTCTGGGGTGACATTAAATATTCAATAAATGTACATTGAATGCAAGAATGAATAAAAGAAAAAGATAAAAAAGGAGGTGAGGTGAAATTCATATCAGCTAACTTGGCTATTTGCTAGTTTGATGGCAAGTGCCACTTTTAAATGATCCATCTTATGCCTGCCATCTTCCTACTCACCCCTCATGAAAAGTTGGCTCTCTTCAGAGTATCTGCTGAGTTCATTGTCTGAGACATAGTACTATTTTCTCCCTCTTCTGATCTGTTTTCCAGCCTGGACCACCTGCCTAGAACACCTTCCTGTCTTCTGCTCCACAGACAGCCTGCCCCATTCCTCAGCGAGCTCTTGGAATTGCACTGCACTAGAGGGGTGAAAACGCCTGCAGTGGCATTTCAGAAAGGGGAGGGTCCTGGAGTCCTAGGGGACAGCAAGGAGACCTTAATTTCATGCCTAAGATGAGTAGAGAGAGGAGCACTGGGGATTTGAGGGGAAGAGAGAGTGTGGCGGGCAAGTTACTGAATGTCCTTAAGCAGATCAAGAGGCTTTATCATTTAATCCACAGGTGACTGGGAATTTCCTGTAAGTTCCTCATGGAAACAGTCTAGTTGTGTGGGTTATTGTCTGCTTTATCTCTCACATGAGAAACAGAAGCCTGGCTACAGCTGCTCTCTCTTTTTCTCTTGTTGTTTATTATCCCACTGACCTTCTCATTTGTACATGTCACTGTCTGGATCAAAACATCTGTAGTAGCCCTCCATTCCCTAAATGCTATGTGTGTTGCGCATTCATGGCTCTGCTGAACCTGGACATTCCTAACCAGTGTGTCTTTAACTACCTACAGAACATGTGGGTGCTGCCAACTGACACAGTGAACCTTTGGCCTACCAGGCAGAACCTTGCCTCTGCGCCCTGATTCCTGCTATTTAAACTACTGAACACTTTCTCTTCTCAGTTTTCCACTTGCTAAGTTTTCCCTTCCCTTAAAAATTTCTCTCAAATTTGCCTATTCCCCAAATCTTGGTGATTTGTTTTCTGGGCTGGGTCATCTGCTTGGAACACCTTCAAACCAAATATCCCTGCACCTACCCTATTTAATTACCTGAGTCCTGATACCTATTGTAATGGCTTCCAAATTTTTTGAGTAAAACATTTTTTCCTTATTATAATAGTATCATATGCTTATTTTAGAAAAATTAGAAAATGAAGACAAGTGAAAAGAAGAAAATTGTAACACCTTTAATTTCATTATTTTATAACCTTCCTTCTCATGTCAGAACATTTCATGGATTCTCCAGAAAACAGTTGCACTTTTAGCATTTTGATTTAAAAATTGCATAATAAACACAAAGATACTGTGGTATCAGTAATTCTTTTAAATGAATTTATACTTTATTGTCATGATAATATCACCCTACTTTTGAAAAATATTATAGGAATTCATATATGACAAGGTAGATTGTCTAGATTGCATTTGAGTTTGGTAACACCCATTGCCAGGGCTCTCTTTGTGTTCTGAGTAGACAAGCTTCCTTCTTTTTTAATGGAACATTGTCATTCAGCTAGAAATCTGTAAATTCAAAAAGAAATAGATATTTAAATATACACATCTGTATAACATTTGCATAGCCATGCTTATATTTATAAACTTTTTATGGCTTATAATGTATATTATATATGCCATACTTATGTTATCTGTGTACAAGCCATGAGATCATCTGTTAACTTTTTTACATGCCCAGCCATAGAGTAGCAGAAGATGGTTAAAAAAAATTTAATATTTTTGCAAGGAATGTCTTGCATACTAAAAAGTGTTTATTCTGTTTTCCCTTGTCTCTGGCAGGCTGTGAAGCACTGTTCAAAATGCTCTTTTTTGGTGAAGTTGGGCCTATAGTCAGCTTATTCTCTCCATGGCAACCCACTGGGGACAGGCTGGGTCAGAGGTAGGCACCCAGACGTCATGTCCATCTGAGTCATCCAAGGGAGCTGAGAGGCAAAGAAGACAGAGCTATGGCTCTGGTGCTTTACCTTGGAGTGAAGGGGACACCCAGTGGAATAGCAAAGATGTGGCTCCAGTGAAAATTCAATCCAAACTTTGACTTTGGGGACATCATGACCACACTACCAAAAGTCAATCTGTGTTGCCTCAGGTTCTTCATGTTTGACCACTTTTTGGAGTTGTGTAGATTAATTTGAATGTCAGTAGGATAATAGAATAGTTACAGATATTAAAATAAAAATCTGTTATAATAGCAACCGAATGTCTCTCCATCTAGTGCCTATTGGGTTGTGGATAACAGTAAGAAAAAGCAAGTGAGAAAGTAAGAGAAGATGAATGTTAAACAGTGCTCTTAGCTCTGGGAAGGTAATCTGTAAAGCAGATAATAGAGAGTCTAATCCCTTACAGAGCTGCCTTCTTTCAGGTTTTCCCATTGCACGAATCGCTCAACAGGATTAAACTAATCACTTTTACAGTTCTATTAACATATTCAATCTGTGAAGTTACTATTGAAGCCCTAAGGAATAGCCTACTCAATCATTAAGTGCTCATGGCAGAAAAATCAATAATGAAGTTACCAAAAGCCCTTAACATTGTCATAAATAGCACATGATTATGTTCAGATGATCTGTTTAATTAATGCCAGTTTACCTTCTCTAACAGAAATAATTTTGGGTTTTTGAGACACATGGAGACCACCAAGAACAAGCTATTCTTTTCATTGGAAAAATTCTTCTCCCTTCTCTCTCCGGTCACAATATTATTTTGGTTCTCTTGAGTAACTCAGTGTCTTCAAAAGAAATTTATTCCATAGAAAATTAATTCCACAAGGTGATCCTTGAAAAATATTTTCTTTATCAAATGAATTTGGGAAATGCTGCATACTATATCCCTGTCTTAGAAATTTACAATGTATATGAATCTTAAATTTTTTCTAAGTTGAAGAAATCTGTTTAACTTTGTTCAGTAGCTCATTTCCAAAACTTACGTAATGAGATCATATTAAAAATATTTTACAGATTTTCCTACACCTGACCTGTAAATATGGTTGCCCCAGGGTTCCCACCTTTTTGTTTCTTTATTTTTTTATTTTATTTTATTTTATTTTTTTTTGAGATGGAATCTCTCTGTCACCCAGGCTGGAGTGCAGTGGCACAATCTTGGCTCACTGCAACCTCCACCTTCCAGGTTCAAGCAATTCTCCTGCCTCAGCCTCCCAAGTATCTGGGATTACAGGCACCCACCACCACACACAGCTGATTTTTGTATTTTTAGTACAGATGGGGTTTCACCATGTTGGCCAGGCTGGTCTCGAACTCCTGACCTCATGATCCGCCTGCCTCAGCCTCCCAAAGTGCTGAGATTACAAGCATGAGCTACCACACCCGGCCAGGGTTCCCACCTTTTGAAGCAATGAGTTTTGGTGCGTTAAGGGAAGGGTGGTGCAAATTAGAATGATAAAGACATTACTCTGTTTTGACTGTTAAATAATATTTTATTTTGGCCCCTAGGAAGGCAATAGTCTTGAGCAGCAGGCTTTGTTGAAAGTTAAGATTACTATAGGCCATAGTAGAGATATCTAAAGAGATGGTGGAACGTAGTCTTTGCCTTATGAAGGAAAGCCTGACCCTTCTGGATGGAGGAGTGGGAAGAAGATAGTTAAAGGGAAGAGGACAGATGGCCAGATATGTGTGGAATGGCTTCACTTTTAGGCTTAGAGCTTGTGGCGAAGGATTAGTAGATCGATAGGATGTGAGGAAAAGCCAAAGGAGAGGGTCTTTTGCCTCATTTTCTGGTCAGAACTCTGCGAGACCACCAATATGCTACAGTACCGACTAGAGGAGGGGTGGCATCAGAGTGAAAATCACAGTGTGGAGTGTTGGGGCAGACAGAGACTAAGTTAGTAGTTTTGAACCTCTTTTAGTTTCCAAATGGCATAGACAAGTCCTAGGAATTTTTATAAGACCTATGGGAGAGGAGGGAAATAGAAGAATAGATAGCCAGCAGGCCTCCTGCTGAAGATGAGTGAAGCAGGTCACTGCAGAAGGCAGAGGCAGGAGACTCTCCAGCCAGAGGTCCTAGTGAGGACATTGTAGGGGGGTCTCAGAGTTATCTTTACTACTGATGAGAGTAAGGTGAGGCTGAGTCAGCAAGAAAAGACCCCTGGGCTCTGCCTAAGCCAAGAGACTGGGTCTTGCACTGACCAGCTGCAGACATTCTCAGTGGCTGTTAGCAAGCTGACCAGTGCCCAGGCAGATGACGGACATATCTGAGATCAGAGAACCTAAAGGATAGTAAGAGAATCTCATGTTGCTCACTGCCATTAGGCATATAAAGTGTGGTGTCCTGCTAAATGTGTAGCCAGCTCTCTTTCTCTCTTTCTTTCTCTCCTCCTCTCGCAAAACAAAGTTCTGACTTACAGCATATGATAATTGCTGTGGAGTCAATACTGACACCATGCTTGATTTCCGGTTATCAGCATGTTAGTGAACACAGAGTTGGGAAGAGATGTGCATAAATGTCTCAGACTTCATGTAAACCCCAGTTTTTCACAAAACTTTTACCTGGCTGTCAAATTAAGAAGGGATGAGGGAGGAAGAAAAAGCCCAAAAGACTCAGATACATACTAGTTAATGTTACTCTTTCTGTCCCTACTCCTCCCAATGTAGTTAGTTTAATGGAAGCTTACAAAAAAGTTATATTGGAAAAACAAGTCTACATTAACTTTGCATATCTCTATGTAAAATTTTTTAACCCACTCCATTATTTAAGTACAGAACTGTTTTCCCCTCTGGGTTATCAATTTATGAATTATGACTTTAATAACTCTTTATCCTTCATTGATTTCTCTTCTGCTTACAAATTTGGGAACTCTTCAAGGCTCTGATTTTCTTTCTTTTTTTTCTGTTTTCCTTGGGTCTCTGTTATTGGTCTTCAACTATATGTTTTATTTTTTCTAAATTTGTGAGCCTATATCTCCAGTCTGACATCACCTTAAACGCTCAAATTCTCTCTTGTATATTTCTGTACAATTCTCTGTCTTATACATTTCTTATACAATTCTCTGTCATCCAATTAAACCAATATGTTCAGAATCAAATCTAGTTACTACTCTCAAATCAGTTCCCACTTTCCTAACTTAACCTTTTCACTATTCTTGGAATCATCCTTGTTCCCTCCTTTCACACTCACTTCTAAGCAATGTGTCTCTCACATTTTACCCTTATTTTCCATTTTCATTGCCTCAGCTGCAGTTTAAACATTCATGACCCCATTTCTAAATAACCATCCTAGACTCTGTGTATAATAATTTTTATTTTATTTATGTCTGCCGGGCGCAGTGGCTCATGCCTGTAATCCCAGCACTTTGGGAGGCCGAGGCAGGCGGATCACCTGAGGTTGGGAGTTCGAGCCCAGCCTGACCAACATGGATAAACCCTGTCTCTACTAAAAATACAAAATTAGCTGGCCATGGTGGCACATGCCTGTAATCCCAGCTACTCTGGAGGCGGAGGCAGGAGAGTCGCTCGAACTGGGGAGGCGGAGGTCGCAGTGAGTTGAGATCGTGCCACTGCACACCAGCCCTGGTGACAGAGCAAGACTCCATCTCAAAAATAAATAGATAAATAAAAATAAAAGGATATCTATCTTTTGTAAATAATAAAAATAGTTTATTACAAAAAATAGAAAATAGAGTTAGGACAAAGCCAAAAGCAACCAAACAAAAAAGCCAAAAATAAACAGAAATCCCACTGCCCACACATAACACTACTGTTAACCTCTTAGTCAATCTTAGTCCAGATATTCTGAGTGTGTGTGTGTGTGTGTGTGTGTATATGTGTGTGAGAGAGAGAGAGAAGAAGGGAGAGAGAGAAGGAGAGAGTGTATAAGAGTATATATTAATCACTTATAAAATATAATCCACATAGCACAACCATGGGATTATATTGCACATACTACAGTTAACCAGCTTTTACATTTAACAGGATAATGTGTCTGTTTTTCATGTTAAATATGCATTTAACAAACATGGGAACATATTATGCATATTATATTTAACCTTTTAAATTTAATAATATGTGAATATTTTTCATATCAAATTTACATTTAAGATTTTAACATCATATTCCACTAAATGGCCATACCATATACCATATTACATTTACTAATCCTTCATTAATGAATACTTAGCTGTTTTCAGTTTTGCACTGTGAGAAACATACATGCATATATATACACATCTTTTTGGGTGATGGAATTTTATACATACATAAACATATATACATACATTACATATATACATATATTACATATATACATACATTACATATATACACATATTACATATATACACATATTACATATATACACATATTACATATATACATATATTACATATATACACATATTACATATATACACATATTACATATATACACATATTACATATATACACATATTACATATATACATATATTACATATATACACACACATCTTTTTCGGTGATGGAATTTTTTATGCTTAGGTAAAATTTTCAATATTGAACACACATATACAAAGTCCCACATAGTGTGGGATGTAGTCAAGGGTGGGGTGAAAAGACAGTGAGGGCAAGCCCTGAGCTGCAGATCTGAGTGTGGGAGCTCGGTGTCAGGTTTCATGCGGCTGCGTTCCAGCACAGACCACAGAGGGGAATGAGAATTTGAAATTACAACTTTGCCTTTTAGGTCCCCAGAAGGTTATATTTTAAAAGGTTAAAAAGAAGAAGAAGGAGGAGGAGAAAGAAAACAACACCAGCCTAGAGGTTGCCTAATCTGTTCTTGAACACTTGGAATAGCAAGGAGTTCACAATTTTTCCAAAATTTTCCATTCTGTTTGTGCCTGTCCTTAACATTTGCAGGGCCCAGGTCAAGAGGCCCACATACCCACATACTATGTGCCTAAATATTTACAATACATTCTTCAAGCTAAAAATAAAGTTATGCTTTCTTTCAACTCTTGGCTCCATCCCATACTAGAAATTACCTTGAACATATGTGTGTGGCTATCTTGGCCCATAAGTCTGGGCTTTGTATATTCCTCTGTTGGGGACCCCCAGGCCTGGATGCCCATGTGTATTAGAAAGGATACTTGGAGACATGATTTGGGGGTTCGTACAAGGATAAAACTGTTTCTAACTGGTGGGATAGTTTCATGAAAGAAGGGCATTTAAAGTAATGACTCCCACAGGTGATAATGGGGAAGAAGGGAGAAAGTTTGTGTGAGGTGTGGGCAGAAGCAAAGAAACAAATACGTTCTGGTATGAATGAGAGCATTGTGAGAGTGATGAGAAAGCTGGTAGGAATTTTATGAGACAAGGATCATGTATTAGTCCATTTTCACACTGCTCTAAAGAACTGAGACTGGGTAATTTATAAAGTAAAGAGGTTTGACTCACAGTTCTGTATGGCTGGGGAGGCCTCAGGAAACTTACAATTATGGCAGAAAGGGAAGTAAGCACCTTCTTCACAAGGCAACAGGAGAGAGAGAGAGAAGCCATTAGATCTCATGAAAACTCAGTCACTATCAAGAGAACAGCATGGACTGGGGAATTGCCCCCATGATCCAATCACCTCCCACCAGGTCCCTCCCTCAAGACCTGGGGATTACAATTCTAGATGAGATTTGGGTTGGGATATAGAGCCAAACCATATCAGACCATAAGGACCATGATTGGCCAGGAGGATCTAAAATGATGTGTAAGGAGGTGGAAAATTATTCTTCAAGTAATGGTGAGTAATTGAAAGTTTTTGAGCATAAAAAAAATGATTGATTACATCTATGTTTTAGGCAGCTAAATATGGTAGCAAAATTAAAGGCGAATTGTAGGTGGTTGTGGACTGGTGAAGAAACAGAATAGTCCTTCAAATTTCCTGCTGCCAAGACCAGCTTGGTTGGGGAGACCCTAACCCAATGGTGCTAGAGGAATTAAAGACACACACACAGAAATATAGAGGTGTGAAGTGGGAAATCAGGGGTCTCACAGCCTTCGGAGCCAACAGCCCCCAACACAGATTTACCCACATATTTATTAACAGCAAACCAGTCATTAGCATTGTTTCTATAGATATTAAATTAACTAAAAGTATCTCTTAAGGGAAACGAAGGGATGGGCTGAATTATTTGCAGCAGGAACACGCCCTTAAGACACAGATCACTCATGCTTTTGTTTGTGGCTTAAGAATGTCTTCAAGTGGTTTTCCACCCTGGGCGGGCCAGGTGTTCCTTTCCCTCATTCCTGTAAAGCCACAACCTTCCAGCTTGGATGTAGGGTCATTATGGACATATCACAGTGCTGCAGAGATTTTGTTTATGGCCAGTTTTGGGGCCAGTTTATGGCCAGTCTTTGTGGGGCTTGCTCCCAACATCCTGCCTCTAAACTTTTCCTTACAATGTTCTCTCACAGTGCTGGGATGGAAGCTATTAGTTCCCAGGCACTCTGTAATGCACTGTGGGAAGACAGTGCATTATAGATGAGTTCAATGTTGGCTCCTAGATCTACCATCTTATAGCACATGTAGCAGAGAATTAGCAGTGAAATCACCAAAGACACTTGAAAGATGTCCAGTGTTTGTTAGCGTAGAACTCAAACAATATCTTAAACAATTTTCAGTTTTAAGTAATCTTGGCAATAGACTTGTTAGCAAATGTTTATGTATGTGTGTATGTGTGTGTGACATTGAGTACACAGATTTTGAAAATCTGAACTCTGTTTGCTATTTACCATATTTGCAGGGGGCAAGGAACACTTTTTTATTTTTCTGGGTCCTGTAGGAGCTGATTGAAAGCAGAAAGAGAGATTGCCTTTGGGATCTGATGTAGTTTGGGTATGTGTTGAAATGTTGAAATGAAATCCCCAATGTTGGAGGTGGGGCCTGGTAGGATCATGAGGGTGGATCCCTCATAGCTGGGTGCTGTCTTTGTGATAGTGACTGCGTCCTTGTGAGATCTTGTTGTTTAGAGTGTGTGGCATCTCCCCCTACACTCTCTCTCTCTTGCTCCCACTCCCATCATCTGAGACACCTGCTCTCCCTTTGCCTTCCACCATGGTTGTAGGCTTCCTGATGCCTCCCTAGAAGCTGAGAAGATGCCGGTGCTCTGTTTCCTATACAAGCTGCAGAACTGTGAGCCAATTAAACATCTTTTTTTATATAAATTACCCAGTCTCAGGTATTCCTTTATAGCAATGCAAGAATGACCTAATACAGAAAATTGGTACCAGGAGTGGGGTATTGCTATAAAGATACCTGAAAATGTGAAAGCAACTTTGGAACTGGGTAACTGGTAGAAGTTGGAAGAGTTTGGAGGGCTCAGAAGAAGATGGGAAGATGAGACAAAGGCTGGAACTTCTTAGAGAGTAATTGAATGGTTGTGACCAAAATGCTAATAGTAATATGGACAGTGAAGTTCAGGGTGATGAGATGTTAGATGCAAATGTGGAAATTATTGGGAACTGGAGCAAAGGTCACACAAGTTATCATGCATGTTATGCCTTAGCAAAGAGCTTGGCTGCATTCAGTTCGTGCCTTAGGGATCTGTGGAAGTTTGAACTTCAGATGATTTAGGGTGTCTGGTGGAAAAAATGTCTAAGCAACAAAGCATTCATTAAGTGGCATGGCTGCTTCTGGCAATCTTCCCTCACTTGTAGGAGCAAAGCAATGACTTAAAGTTGGAAGTTATATTTAAAAGAGAAGCAGATTTTAAAGTTTGGAAAATTTGCAGCCTGGCCATGTGGCAGAAAAGAAAAACCCCTGTTTTCAGGGAAAGAATCCAAGCAGGCTTTGGTGCAACTACTTGCTAGAGAAATTTGCATAACTAAAAGACCCAAGTGCTGATAGCCAAAACTATGAGAAAAAGTCCTCCAAGGCATTTCAGAGAGCTTCCAGGAAGTTCCTCCTATCAAAGACTCAGAGGCCCAGGAGGACTGAATGGTTTCCAGTGCAAAGCCCAGGGTGCCACTGCCCTGCACCACCCCAAGAGGCTGCTCCTCACATGCAGGTTGTTCTGGCTCCACCTTTAGCTCAAAAAAGCCCAGGTACAGCTTTGGCAGCCACTTCAAAAGGTGCACACCATAAGCCACCATGTGGTGGCTTCTACATGGTATTAAGCCTGCACCGCAGGCACACGGAATGCAAGAATGAGGGAAGCTTGGCAGCCTCCACATTGATTTCAGAGGATGTAGAGAAAAGCCTGGGTGCCCAGGCAGAAGCTTGCTGCAGGGAAAGAGCTCCTACAGAGAACCTCAACTACAATGTGCAGAAGTGAAATTGTGGGTTGGAGGCCTCACACAAAGTTCCCAACTGGGGTACAGTCTAGTGGAGCTGTAGGAAGGCAACCACTGCCCCCCAGAACCCAGAATATTAGATCCTCTGGAGGCTTGCAACCTGTGCCTGGAAATGCTGCAGACACTCAACTCCAACCACTTGAGAGCAACCACAGGGGCTGTACCCTTCAGAGACACAGGAATAGAGCTGCCCAAGGCCTTGGGAACCCACCCCTTGCAACAGGGTATCCTGGATGTGGGACATGGAATCAAAGGAGATTATATTGGAGCTTTAAGATTTAATGACTGCCCTGCTGGGCTTTGAACTTGCATGGGGCCTGTAGCTTCTTTCTTTTGGCCAATTTCTCCCTTTTAGAATGAGAATGTTTACCCAAGGCTTGTACCCCCATTGTATCTTGGAAGAAATAACTTGTTTTGGTTTTACAGGCTCATAGGGGGAAGGAACTCTTTTCCGGATGAGACTTGGAACTCTGGACTTTTGAGTGATGCTGAAACAAGTTGAGGCTTTTGGGGGACTATTGAGAAGGGATGATTGCATTTTGAAATGTGAGAAGAACAGGAGATTTGAGGAGCCAGGGAGGAATGATGTAGTTTGCATATTTGTCCCCTCTAAATCTCTTATTGAAATGTAATCCCCAATGTTAAAGGTGGAGCCTGGTGGGAGGTGATTGGATCATAAGGACAGACCCCTCATGATTTGGTGCTGTCCTTGTGATAGTGAGTGAGTTCTTGTGAGATGTGGTTATTTAAAGTGTGTGGCACCTTCCCTCTACTATCTCTCTTTCACTCCCACTCCTGACATGTGAGGTTTCTGCTCCCTTTCACCTTCTGCCATGATTGTAAGCTTCCTGAGGCCTCCCCATAAACTGATGCCAGAGATACACTTCCTGTACAGCTTGTAGAATGGAGCCAATGAAACCTCTTTAAAAAAAATTGGCTGGGCGCAGTGGCTCATGCCTGTAATCCCAGCACTTTGGGAGGCTGAGGCGGGTGGATCACGAGGTCAGGAGATCGAAACAATCCTGGTTAACACAGTGAAACCCTGTTTCTACTAAAAATGCAAAAAAAAAAAAAAAAAAAAAAATTAGCTGGGCGTGGTGGTAGGTGCCTGTAGTCCCAGTTACTCGGGAGGCTGAGGCAGGAGAATGGTGTGAACCTGGGAGGTGGAGCTTGCAGCGAGCCAAGATCGCGCCACTGCACTCAGCCTGGGCAACAGAGCGAGACTCTGTCTCAAAAAAAAAAAAATAAATAAAAAATAAATTACCTGGTCTTAGGTATTCCTTTATAGCAGTGAAAGAATGGCCCAATACTGGATCTAATTTGGGAATCAGATGAACTTTGCAAAACAAAGCCTCTATACACATGGGGAAAGTAAAACAAAATATCTAGCGATTATATTGTGTTACTGTAGGCATAATAGTGAACTTCAAAATGTATATATCATTTATAATGAACACTATAATATTTCCATGAAATACATTATTTCCTGGGCTACCTCTAATAGTCCCTTTGAGGTCATATGTGAAATCTCAAATTATTGATCTAATTTTGGTCTATTGGTCACAGAACAAAGCTAAGGATCAGTAGCAGTTATCGCTGGTTGTCAGATATGCACTGCCACATGCCATGAAGAAATAAATATCTAGGCATTTTTAGGGTGAAGTTTACATATTGCATATAAAGCTTTTTAAATTTAAAAAAAGGCATATTATTTGGATTTTTTTTTTTCCTATTTACTTTGTGAAATTGTGTGCAGAGCTGTTGGAAATTTGATATTGCCCTCCCTGAAATTCTATTCTTATACTTGACCTAAGTGACACCATTTCCTTTCTTCTCGTTCTAACTCTCTGGCCCTTAACTCTGTCTCAGCATTTCCTGCTGAGCTGTCCCGCATACCTCTCTGTTCTCCATCATTTGTCATGCTTCCTGCCTGCTCTCAGAGGAAGAACAAGAAAGCAGAAGGTTGAGAGTCCAGAGATTTGGGTTTTCACATCTCCTGCTTTGTCACTAACTAGCTGCATAACTTTGAGAAAGCCTTTTTCACCTTTCTTGGCCTCAGTTTTCTTCATCAGTGGAGTAGGTAATAGATGACCTCCAAGGTACTCTTCAACACTAACATTTGTGACTCTAACAAATGAGCAATATAATTATTATAACAGTAGTGAGAGATATAATTAAAGGAAAGCTGCCCCAAAATATGGTAATGCTACAGTGATGTCATGAATGCTGAATACAATCCATGTGAATGGTTTCTTACATTTTTTAGGAGGCTCTTTTCGCTCCATCTCTCCTAAAGCTGTTGTCAATGGAGTGATTTAATCTTTTTTTCTTCTTTAATCACCATGCACTGCTATATTTAGAGTTCAGTCTGCTCTGGCCACAAGCAATATGTGTTAACACTTCTTGTGAAGGGATATTCTGCGATCTAGTTGGTATTGCAGTTACTAAATCCCCATGAATGGGATCCAAGACAAATTTGCTTTATACCAGACTCTGTTCTGTGTCAAATAATAGAAGAATCAGGAGGAGTTATCTTAAAATCAAATATTTAGCAGGACATAGCTTACTGCAAAGATACTGGGATTTTGAACAAGAGACCTATATTTCAGTCCTGGATCCAACAATTAATAGTTCATACCCAATTCCAATGAACTTGTGACCCAGAATCTTAGCATTGTATTTATTACCTTCCCCCAAAAAATTCTTAAAGAAAAGCGTGATGTAATTTCTAGCTGAGAAATAGAGTAATAGTAATATTCATGAAAAGCAAAAAGTATTTTAGAAAAATGTTGAAGCAAAAATATAAAGGACAAATTGGATTTGTAGTCAGGGAGTTATATTTGACAAAGACAACTCCTAGTTAATGAGGCTTAGGCCTGAACGATTGGTACAGAAATAAAAAAGTCAGAAGTCATTTGCAGGCGGTAAAAGGAATAATGGGCATCGTATTAGAATACATACTGACTTTGAAGTAGTAGCCAAAAAATTGGTGGACATGCCTAATAGTCAACTGAAAATAAGGCCTGGAGGTACAGGCTTAGGGATCATTTGTGAAGAAACTGTAACTGAAGCCTCATTAGTTTATCTCTGAGAGAGGGCATGGAGTACAGATTTTTAGACTTTAGTGTGAAAGGGAGTATCTTGCAGTGGCTGGCTCTGACCTTAGAGACTCTAATGAAATGAGTTTAGGATGGGGCCCAAGAATTTGTATATTCCACCAGCACTCCAGTGATTTTGATGCAGGTGGTCTGTGCTTCATACGTTAGAACAGTAATTCTCAGTACTCAACATGCATTACAATCACCTGGAGGACTGGTTAAAACACAGATGGCTGGGCCCCACACCCAGGGTTTTTGGTGCTGTAGGTCTGATGTTGGGCCAGATCATTTTTTTTCTAATAAGGCAAGTACTAATGCTGCTTGTCTGGGGACCACACTTTGAAAAGCCCTGCCTTGGGACACATTGACTTCACAGACACAAAGACACTAGGAAAGATTCAAGGACAGATGCCTAGAGGAAAATCACATTCAGAAGAGCAGAAAAAAGAAGAACCAGTGACAGCCACAAAGAAGCAATTACAAGGGTAAAAGAAGAATCAGTATGGTGATATGATTGAAGGGAATTAAATATGTTTAAAGAGAAATTTTTCTTTTTATAAAAGGCAGAATGAAAAAAGTCACCTCTTATCTCACCACTACTGGGATGAAATAAAAATAATAATACTATTCTTATAGGATTGTCAAGGAATTAACTGAGATACAGTGTCTAAACTGCTTATTGAAGTTTGTAGTAAGTGCCCAATACATATCACTAATATTATTTTAGTGACAAAAGTCACAAAAGTAGTAAGTAGCAGAGATAAGGCTCCTCCATATTAAGCTCCTAAGGGAGAGAGGATTTAGAGGAGAAAGAGATAGCAACAATACCGAGGGTCGGTCCACCTCCCAATTCAAAGTAAGGCAAAAATAGAAAAGAAGTCCTTGGGTTTGATGATCATGTAGGATAATTAGGGCAGAATCAGATTGTAAAAGGATCTCACGCTCAGGTGGAGAAAACAGGTGTTGCAGATTCATTTGAGAAACCTGACAATAAAGGAAAGGTGTGGAATAAGATGGTGGATAGAGAAGGCAACAAGGTAAATGCTTTTTGTTTTCACTGGGATGGCGAAAAGCTGCACACATTTATAAACCCAGAGAAATGCACCATAAGAGCTGGCTGGCTGAAATATGCAAAAGAGTGAAAGGGTAACAAAGTGTGGTCTGTGCAGTGGTATGGAGCAGGCTCAAAGGATGAGGCTAAGTCACAGGATGGGTGAGCCTTTGAAACGAAAACATATCTACTTAGCAGAATGTCAAAAAAGAGGGTAAATCTGGGTAAGAGGTTTGTTAAAAAGACAAGGGAGAAAACTTCAGCTACTCATTTAATTGCTAACTCCTTGCTTTCTTAACTTTTTCTGTTGCATTAGCCGTGCAAAATCCTATTGCATGTTTGCTTAGTTTCTATACATGGCTGTTTAGTGCAGCAAATTAACTTAAATATTATCAGAATAAATATACTAAACACCATATGTAGTCCTTCTACTTTTCCATGCTGAGCTCTCTCTCACGTTGCTCATGTTCTCCAAAACCCATTTTCAACTTGTCCAGTTTCCTTGGGCCTTCTCTTCCACCACATCTCCTACATACTCTCAGCAGATAACTTGACTCCCTCTTTTGATGTTTAAAATCTCAGTTCTTTCCTTTTACCAGTGTACAGAATAATTATTTTCCTGTGATTCTCCAAAAGTGAGCACTGAAGTTGTATTTAGTATGATTATGAACTCATCGATTTAAAAATATTTGATTATGTTTTAATCCATTAAAATTATTTTTGATGTTCAAATTTTCCCATTTCAGCCAGTAGAAAATGCTTCAAGTGGAACTCTTATACTGCTGCTATAACCCTAGTTATCACTAATAGCGTGTTTTGTTTTGTTTTTTTTCCGACACAGAGTCTCACTCTGTCACTCAGGCTGGAGTGCAGTGGTGCATTATTGGCTTACTGCTACCTCCACCTCCCGGGTTCAAGCGATTCTCCTGCCTCAGCCTCCTGAGTAGCTGAGACTACAGGTCCGCACCACCACGTCTGGGTAATTTTTTTATTTTTAGTAGAGACAGGGTTTCACCATGTTGGCCAGGCTGGTCTTGAACTCCTGACCTCAGGTGATCTGCCCACTTCGGCCTCCCAAAGTGCTAGAAACTGATAGCTTTCTTGGTTTCCAATGAAACAAAACATTCCAGGTCCATACCGTACATTCCTTGTCTGAGATCTGCATTTAGGCATTTGTCCAAGAAGACTTTACTAATTTTTATTTTTACATTTTTTTTAGAGGTTGCAGTCCTGGGATTACAGGATGTACAGAATTAGAGGGCGCTTTTCTATTCTGTTCTTGAAGTACTCTCCTTTGGTTTCTAATACATGAACTTCTTTTGAATTTTTTTTTTTTTTTCTAATTTCTCTGGATGTTTCTTCTCAGTCTTTATAAATGCTGATTTCCCCTACAATCTCAATTTTTACACTTTCTCTGGGTGAACATATCCATTTCCCTGGGATTAACTACATCCATATGCCAATGTCTCCCAATCTAAGTTACCAGCAGAGGTTGTTCCTATAAGCTCTATAATCCTGATCATGCCTCTTATTTCTCTTATATTTATTTATTTAAATAGTTTTGGGGAACAGGTGGTTTTTGGTTACATGGATAAGTTCTTTAACGGTAATTACTAAGATTTTGGTGCACCCATCACCCGAGAGTGTACGCTACTGAATTTGTAGTCTTTTATCCCTCACACTCCTTTCTTCTGACTTCCCAGAGTCAATTATATCATTCTTATGCCTTCACGTCCTCATAGCTTAGCTCCCACTTATAAGTGAGGACATAGGATATTTGGTTTTCCATTTCTGAGTTACTTCCCTTAGAATAATGGTCTTCAACTCCATCCAGGTTGCTGTGAATGGCATTATTTCATTTCTTTTCATGGCTGAGTAGTATTCCATGGTGTATATACACCAACTTTTCTTTATTCACTCATTGGTCAATGGGCATTTAGGCTGCTTCCATATTTTTGTAATTGCTAATTGTGCTACTATCAATATGCATGTGCAAGTATTTCTAATAGCTGTCTTAGCAGTTTTTCCCATTCATATGGAATTTATTGCAAATGTTTTCTAAATGAGGGAATGAATAGTAGATAAAGCTGAATAAATTAATTTGCTTATTCCTCAACTTGTTGATACAGGAATGAAGGTAATAACCAGGAGTAAATGGAGGGGAAAGACAATGGGAGGACTTGAAGGTTGAGAATGCTTAGCATAATTACCATAGTTTGAGTGCTAGGAAATGCAGGGAAGATTATCTAGAAAAGACCTGGCATGCTCTCTGTCAGTCTTACACAAATATCAAACTTCATTTGTTGATTTATATTTATTTATGCATTATTATTTTTTCTTTAGGGATAGGGTCTCCATCTGTTCCCCAGGCAGGAGTGCAATGGTGCAATCACAGCTCACTGTAACCCTAAACTCCTGGGCTCAACTAGTCCTCCTGTCTCAGCCTCTGAATTAGTTGGGACTACAGGCATGCCTCACCATGGCCAGCTAATTTTGTAAAACATTTTTTGTACAGATGGGGGAGTGGGTCTCACTATGTTGCCCAGGCTGGTCTTGAACTCCTGGCCTCTAGGGATCCTCCTGCCTCAGCCTCCCAAAGTACTGGGATTACAAGTGTGAGCCACCACATCTGGTGATATTAAACTTTAAATTGTTGGCAATAATAGGAACATATGTATTTGGAAGCTGTAGCTCAGGCAGTTTTGAATGATGTGGAGAAATGCTACAAAAATGCCTATGCTCCTAAAAGTGTGTCAGATTTTCACTTGTATATTTCTGTGATGTGAGATCTGAAAATTTATGAAAAGAAATATTAGAAATACCATGTCATTTATATGGGTGATACTGTGTTGATAACATAAATAATCGATTTTTCTTGGCTAACATCACGACAGTGTTTTCAGTTATTTTTCCAGCACTGAAAGATTTTGTTTTATTGTCTTTGGGTCTCCATTGTCTCTGATGAGAAATTAATAGATATTCAAATTCTTGTCCCCAAAATGTAATTTCTAGATGTGTTCATGATATTCTCTTTATTGTTTATTTTAATGTTTTTTTTTTTATCAGTTTGACTATGATGTGCCTGAGCATTTGGTTTTCTTTGCATTTATTCTACTTGATAGCTTTCTTGGTTTCCAATGAAACAAAACATTCCAGGTCCATACCGTACATTCCTTGTCTGAGATCTGCATTTAGGCATTTGTCCAAGAAGACTTTACTAATTTTTTTTTTACATATATTTTTTAGAGGTTACATTCTTCCTGAATCTATAAATGTATATCATTATCATTTACCAAATTTATTTATTTATTTTTTGAGACAGAGTCTCACTCTGTCTCCCAGACTGGAGTGCACTTATGTGATCTTGGCTCACTGCAACCTCTGCCTCCTGGTTTCAAGAAATTCTTGTGCCTCAGGCTCCTGAAAAGCTGGGACTACAGGTGTGTGCCATCATGCCCAGCTAATTTTTATATGTTTAGTAGAGACATTGTTTTGTCATGTTGGCCAGGCTGGTCTCTAACTCCTGGCCTCAAGTGATCTGCCTGCCTCAGCCTCCCAAAGTACCGGGATTACGGGCAGTACTGGGATTACAGGCTGAAAATTTTTTAGTCATTTGTTCCTCTCCTCTTCTTTTGGGGCTTCAGTTACTTGTATGTTAGACCCTTTGCTATTTTCCCACATATTCCTGTTCATTTCATTTCAATCTCATTTCTGTCTCTTATTCAGATTGGATAATTTCCATTTATCTATCTTCAAGTTCATTGACTCTTTCCTCTATATTTCCATTTTGCTTTTATCTCACCTAGTATTTTTTTCAGATATTGCATTCTTTCTTTATTTATTTATAGATATTGCATTTTTCAGATATTGCATTTTCTCTGCTGAGATTTTTTGTTTTCTTATTCATCACGAGCATATTTTCTTTTATGTCATTGAGCAGAGTTATAACAGTGGCTATAAAATCTTTGTCTACTAATTCCAACACCTAGATTATCTTGGGGTTGGTCTCTGTTGATTGTCTTTTCTGTTGAGAAAGAGTCCTATTTTCCTGGTTCCTTGTATATGGAGTATATTTGTATTATATTCTGGACATTTTGAACATTATGTTGTGAAAATTCTGGATTCTGTTATATTCTTCTACACTTGATATTAGCCAAAAGGTTATGAAGTGATTAGATTCTGTTACATTCTTCTGAAGAATATTAGTTATTTTGTTTAAGCCAACACTTAACTTGTTTGAACTAACACTAAAAATTTTTCTCAGGTGCAAGTTCAAATCTCAATTCTGTTCTCTGATCCCTTGCTGCAGTTTTTTTGGTTGCATGGTTCTGGAGTCAGCCAGAGATTTGGGCATAGTTTATACACAAAAGCCGAAGTTCTTCTCTAGTACTTCTCTTTTCTGGAATTCCCCCTCACTTTGCAGTTGCTATAGTTTCTCAAACTTCCTCTTCTTCAGTTTAGAAGGACCATATATAGGCTTTCTATAAAAAGTTTTAGCAATTCCACTAGGCATTGCCTGCCTGCAGCCTCAGGCTAAAAGCCATAAAAACAGAAAACATGTTCCTGAAGTTTCCTTTTCCTTTATCCAAATGTTGACTTCCCTCTTTCTTTTCGTTACTCTCTAGTAACTTGAGGGAACTTTTTGTCTTTTTTGTTTTGTTTTGTATTTTGTGCAGAGTTTAAAGTTGGTATCTGCAGGAGACTCAATGTAATAGAGACTTATCTAGCTATACTGGAAGGTGAATTACAAGGAATATTCTTTTGGGAATAAAGTTTAAATAAAATTGAAGTTTTCTTGCTATGTAAGTACTAAAAATATTTTGATAACAGAAAATAAATAATGTTTATTGTTATCCAGAATCAAAGTTTTTTAATCCTTTAACACTTTGCTTGGATGTTTTAAAAATTAAAGATTATAGGATAGCTTCATAGTTTATTCTTTTCTGCAACTTATTAAATACACTGTTCATTAAACTGGTTTATTAAAGTATTATTCAGTGACTCCTATATATAGGTATACTTTTGCCTCTGGAGATACACTGATGGGTAAACTGGAATATGTGCCCTTAAAAAGTTCTGTCTTACAGAGGAGACAGACACATAAATAAGTATTGTATCACAGATACGGTCCGTTTTGGTGCGTGTTACAATGGGTGCTTGAAAAGAACGTGTTTGCTTTTGTTGGGTGCAGCAACAACACATTAGATCCTGTTAGCTGATGGCATTGTTGAGTATTTCTATATCCTTGTTGATTCTGTCTAGTTTTTCTATAAGTTGTTGAGTGAGGGGTGTTGAAGTCCCTAACTATAATTGTGATTTTTCTATTTCTTTCAGTTGTATCAGTGTTTGCTTTACATATTTTACCACTGTGCCATTTGGTGCATACACATTCAGGATTGCTATGTCTTCTTGATGTATTGACTCTTTTATCATTAGGCAATATCTCTGTTTTTGGTAATTTCCTTTGCTTTGAAATATACTTTATCTGATATTAGTATAGCCACTCCTGATTTTTTTTGGTTAATGTTGGCATAGTATATCATTTTCCATTCTTAACTTTCAACCCATATATATATATATATATATATATATATATATATATATATATATATATATAATTATATGAAGTAACTTTTGTAGACAGTTTGTAATTGTGTCATGTTATTCTTATCCACTTTCCCAATTTCTTTTAATTGGCCTATTTAGACTATTTATGTTTAATGTAGTTATTGATATGTTCAATGCAGATCTCCCATTTTATTTTTATTTTCCGTTTGTTCTTTCCAGTTTTTGTTCCTCTGTTTACTTTTGTTTCCATCTTCCTGTGGGCTACTTGAACATTGTTTTTAGAATTCCATTTTGATTGACCTATGGTGTTTAGAATGTATCTTATTGTATATCATTTTAGTTCTTTCTCTGGGTATTATGTTATACAAACATAACTTAGCCAAGTCTACCAGTGTTGGCATTTTACCAATTTTAAAGTATAGAAATCATACTTTTATTCTTATTCCCTCAATCCTTTAATATAATAGTCTTAAATATTTTGGTAGTAACTGTTATATTTTTTGTTTCAAATATCACACATAATGTCAAAAACTCCCGAAGATAATGAGAGTATATTGAATTTACCCATATTTTTGCTTTTTGTGTGTTCTTTTTCCTTTCTTGATATTCTAAGATTCTTACTTTTATACCTTTGTTTCTGTTTAGAGAACTTCCTTAGGATGTTCATTTAGGATAGTTCTGCTGGTGACAAAGAGAGTTTTCTTTCATCTGAGAATGCCCTGATTTTTCTTTCATTTTTAAGAGATAGTTGAATTAGATATAGAATTCTAGGTTGCCAGTCCTTTTCTTTCAGCACTTAAAAAACTGCTGTGACATAGCTTTCAGGGACCCATGGTTACTAGTGAAAACATTCACTAGAATGTTTTCCCCGTATCCCCTTATGTTATGATGCATTGTTTCTCTTTTTCTGCTTTCAAAGTTTTTATTTATTCATTTATTTATTTATTTGATTTTAGTTTTCAGAAGATTGACTTTGATGTATTTTGGAATGGATTTACTTAGGTTTGATTCTATATGAGATTTGTTCAGCCTCTTGAATCTGTAGGTTTATGTCTCTTGCCAAATTTGGAAAAATTTTTGTCATTATTTCTTTGAATACTTTTTTAGCACTACTTTCTTTCTCTTCTTTTTCTTGAACTTGATGACATAAATGTTAAATCTTTTCTTATAGTCCCACACATTTCTGAGGTTCTTATTATTTATTTTTCAGCTCATTTTCTTTCTGTTTTTTTTTTTTTTACATTGGACAATTTCTGTTGTTTTATCTTTAATTTCACTGATTTTCATTTCCTCTCCATTATGCTGTTGAGCTCATCTATTGTGTGTGTGATTTTTTAACTGTATTACGGTATTTGTTACCTTTACAATTTCCATTTTGTTCTTTTAAAATGTATTTTATTTCTTTTCCAGCACTTTCTATGTTTAAACTCATTTTTTTCCTTTGTTTCAAGCATGCTTATGACTGCTCCTAAAGCATATTTATGATGTCTGCTTTAAAATGCTTACCAGATAATTCTAACATTACCATCATCATGGTGTTGGTGTCTTTTGGTCGTTTTTTCCAATTCACTTTGTGATCTTCCTGGTTTTTGGTGTGATGAGTAATTTTCAATTGACATATGTATATTTGAGGTGTTATGTTTTACATCTCAGTATCTTATTTTATTTTTTATTTCCTACTTTTATTTTAAGTTCAGAGGTACATGTGCAGAATGTGCAGAGTTCTTGCATAGGTAAATGTGTGCCATGGTGATTTGCTACACAGATCATTCCATCACCTAGGTATCAAGCCCATCATCCAATAACTATTCTTCTTGATCCCCTCTCTCCTCCTACCCCTTCCCTCCAACAGGCCCCAGTGGGTGTTGTTCCCCCCAATGTGCCCGTGTGTTCTTATCATTTAGCACCCACTTATAAGTGAGAACATGCAATATTTGATTTTCTATTTCTGCATTAGTTTGCTAAGGACAATGGCCTCCAACTCCCACCATGTTTGTGCAAAGGACATGATCTTATTGCTGTTTATGGCTGCGTAGTTTTCCATGGTTTAGATGTACCACATTTTCTTTATCCAGTCTATCATTGATGGGCATTCAGGTTGATTCCATATCTTTACTATTGTGAATAGTGCTGCAAATGAACATATGCATGCATGTGTCTTTATAGCAGAACAATTTATATTCCTTTCAGTACATACCCAGTAATGGAATTGCTGGGTCGAATGGTATTTCTGCCTCTAGCTCTTTGAGGAATTGCCACACTGTCTTCCACATGGTTGAACTAATCTATCCTCCCACCAACAGTGTAAAAGTGTTCCTTGTTCTCTACAACCTCACCAGCATCTGTTGTTTTTTGACTTTTTAATAGTAGCCATTCTGACTGGTGTGAGATGGTATCTGATTGTAGTTTTGATTTGCATTTCTCCCATGATCAGTGATGTTGAGTTCTTTTTCATATGTTTGTTGGCCTCATGTATATGTTCATGTTCTTTGCCCACTTTTTAATGAGGTTGTTTGTCTATTTTCTTGTAAATTTGCTTAAGTTCCTTATAAATGCTGGATATTAGATCTTTGTCAGATGCATAGATTGTGAAATTTTCTCTGGTTGTCTGTTTACTCTGTTGATAGTTTCTTTTGCCATGCAGAAGTTGTTGAGTTTAATTAGATCCCATTTGTCAATTTTTGCTTTTGTTGCAATTGCTTCTGGTGTCTTCATCATGATATTTTTGCCTGTGCCTATGTCCTGAATAGTATTGCCTAAGTTTTCTTCTAGGGTTTTTATAGTTTTGGGTTTCACATTTAAGTCTTAAACCATTCTGAGTTGATTTTTGGGTGTGGGGTAAGCAAGGGATCCAGTTTCGATTTTCTGCATGTGGCTAGCCAGTTCTCCCACTGCCATTTATTAAATAGGGATTTTTTCCCCATTGCTTGTTTTTGTCAGGTTTGTTGAAGATCAGACAGTTGTAGGTGTGTGGTCTTATTTCTGGGTTCTCTATTCTGTTCCATTGGTCTATGTGTCTGTTCTTATACCAGTACCAAGCTATTTGGTTACTGTAGCCCTGCATTATAGTTTGAAGTCAGGTAGCATGATGCCTCCAGCTTTGTTCCTTTTCCTTAGGATAGCCTTAGCTATTCAGACTTGTTTTTGGTGCTATATAAATTTTGAAATAGTTTTTTCTAATTCTATTCAACAATGTCAGTAGTAGTTTAATGGGAATAGCATTGAATTTATAAACTGCTTTGGGTAGTATGGCCATTTTCATGATATTGATTCTTTTTATCCACGAGCATGGAATGTTTTTCCATTTGTATGTGTCACCTCTGATTTCTTTGAGCAGTGGTTTGTACTTCTCTTTGAAGAGTTCCTTCCCTTCCCTTGTTAGCTGTATTCCTAAGTATTTTATTCTTTTTCTGGTAATCATGAATGGGAGTTCATTTGAGATTTGGCTCTCGGCTTACCTGTTGTTGATTTATGGGAATGCTAGCAATTTTTGCACATTGCTTTTGTGTCGTGGGACTTTGCTGAAGTTGCTTATCAGCTTAAGAAGCTTGTGGGCTTAGACTAGGGGGTTTTCTGGATACAGGATCATGTCATCTGCAAACAAAGGCAGTTTGACTTCCTCTCTTCCTATACAGATGCCCTTTACTTCTTTCTCTTGCCTGATTGCCCTGACCAGAACTTCCAATACTATGTTGAATAGGAGTGGTAATAGAGGGCATCCTTGTCTTGTGCTGATTTTCAAGGAGAATGCTTCCAGCTATTGCCCATTCAGTATAATACTGACTGTGGGTTTGCTATATATGGCTCTTATTATTTTGAGATATGTTACTTCAATAGCTAGTTTATTGAGAGTTTTTAGCTTGAAGGGATGTTGAATTTTATCAAAGGCCTTTTCTGTATCTATGGAGATAATCATGTGGGTTTTGTCTTCAGTTCTGTTTATGTGATGAATCCCATTTATTGATTTGCAGATGATGAACCAACCTTGCATCCCAGGAATGAAGCCAACTTGATTGTGGTGGATAAGCTTTTTGATGTGCTGCTGGATTCAGTTTGCCAGTATTTTGTTGAGAATTTTTACATCAATGGTCATCAAGGATATTGGCCTGAAGTTTTCATTTTTGGTTGTATCTCTGCCAGTTTTGGGTATCAGGATAATGCTGGCCTTATAGAATGAGTTAGAGAGGAGTCCCCCTTTTTAATTTTTTTTGGAATAGTTTCAGTATTAATGGTAACAGCTCTTCTTTGTATGTCTGGCAGAATTCAGCTGTGATTCCATCTGGTCCTGGGCTTTTTTTGGTTGGCAGGCTATTATTGCCTCAATTTCAGAACTCATTATTGGTCTATTCAGGGATTCTATTTCTTCCTGGTTCAATCTTAGAAGAGTGTATGTGTCCAGTAATTTATCTATTTCTTCTAGATTTTCTAGTTTATGTGTATAGAAGTGTTGATAATATTCTCTGATGCTTGTTTGCATTTCTGTGGGGTCAATGGTCATATCCCCTTTAACATTTCTGCTTGTGGTTTGTTGTTGTTGTTGTTGCTGCTGTTGTTTTTTGAGACAGAGTCTTGCTCTGTCACCCAGGCTGGAGTTCAGTGTCCCAATCTCTGCTCATTTCAACCTCTGCCTCCTGAGTTCAAACAATTCTTCCACCTCAGCCTCCCAAGTAGCTGGGATTATAGGCGCGTACCACCACACCAAGCTAATTTTTGTATTTTTAGTAGAGATGGGGTTTCACCATGTTGGCCAGGCTGGTCTCAAACTCCTGACCTCAGGTGACCCAGCCACCTCAGCCTCCCAAAGTGCTGGGATTACAGGCGTAAGCCACCACACCCAGCCTTAATTTCATTATTTACCCCAAAGTCACTCAGGAGCAGGTCATTGAATTTCCATGTAATTGCATGGTTTTCAGTGAATTTCTTAATCTTGAGTTCTAATTTGATTGCACTGTGGTCTGAGAGACTGTTAAGATTTCAGTTTTTTTGCATTTGTTGAAGAGTGTTTACTTCTGATTATGCGATCAAGTTTAGAGTAAGTGCCATGTGGTGATAAGAAAAATGTATATTCTATTGTTCTGGAGTGGGGACTTCTGTAGATATCTATCAGGTTCATTTGATCCAGAGCTGAGTTCAGGTCCTGAATATCTTTGTTAATTCTCTGTCTTGATGATCTGTCTAATATTGTCAATGGGGTGTTAAAGTCTCCCACTATTATTGTTTGGGAGTCTAAGTCTCTTTGATGGTCTCTAAGAGCTTGCTGTATGAATCTGGGTGCTCTTGTATTGGCTGCATGTATATTTAGGATAGTTATCTGTTCTTGTTGAATTGAACCCTTTACCATTATGTAATGCCCTTCTTTGTCTATTTTGATCTTTGTTGGTTTAAAGTCTTTTTTTTTGGTCAGAAACTAGGATCAAAACGCCTGCTGTTTTCTGTTTTCCATTTTCTTGGTATATTTTCCTCCATCCCTTTATTTAGAGTATGTGTGTCTTTGCATGTGAGATGGGTCTCTTGAAGACAACGTACCAATGGATTTTGGGTTTTTATCCAACTTGCCATTCTGTGTTTTTTTAATTGGGACATTTAGCTCATTTACGTTTAGGGTTAGCACTGTTATGTGTGGATATGATCCTGTCATCATGATGCTAGCTGGTCATCATGATGCTAGCTGGTTATTTTGCAGACTTGCTCATGTGGTTACTTCGTAGTTTCACTGGTCTGTGTACTTCAGTGTGTTTTTGTAGTGGATGGTAATGGTTTTTCCTTTTTTTTCCGAGACTGAGTCTTGCTCTGTTGCCCAGGCTGGAGTGCAGTGGTGTGATCTCGGCTCACTGTAAGCTCCACCTCTCGGGATTAAGCCATTCTCCTGCCTCAACCTCTCGAGTAGCTTGTACTATAGGTGCCTGCCACCGTGCCCGCCTAATTTTTTGTATTTTTAGTAGAGACGGGGTTTCACTGTGTTAGCCAGGATGGTTTCGATCTGCTGACCTCATGATCTGCCCGCCTTGGCCTCCCAATGTGCTGGGATTACAGGCGTGAGCCACTGCGCCCAGCCGGTTTTTCCTTTCTGTATTTAGTGCTTCTTTCAGGATCTCTTGTAAGGTAGGTCTGGTGGTAACAAATTCCCTCAGCATTTGCTTGTCTGAAATGGATCTTATTTCTCCTATGCTTATGAAGCTTAGTTTGGCTGGATACAAAATTCTGACTTGGAATTTTTTTTTTCTTAAGAACGTTGAATATTGGCCCTCAATCTCTTCTGGCTTGTAGGGTTTCCACGAGAAGTCCACTGTTAACCTGACGGGCTTCACTTTGTAGGCAAACTGGCCTTTCTCTTGGACTGCCCTTATTTTTTCTTTCTTTTTGACCTTGAAGAATCTGATGATTATGTGTCTTGGATATGACCTTCTTGTGGAGTATCTCACTGGGTTCTCTGGATTTCCTGAATTTGAATGTTGGCCTGTCTAGCTAGGTTGGGGAAGTTTTCCTGCATAATACCCTGAAATATATTTTCTAAATTAGTTCCATTCTCCCTGTCTCTTTCTGGTACCCCAATCAGTCGTAGCTTCGGTATCTTTACATAATCCCATATTTCTTGTAGGTTTTCTTTTTCATTTTTTTTTCTATATTCTTGTCTGCCTGTCTTATTTCAGAAAGACAGTCTTTAAGCTCTGAGATTCTTTCCTCTGCTTGGTCTATTCTGCTATTAATAGTAGTGATTGCACTGTGAAGATCTCGTAGTGTGTTTTTTAGCTCTATCAGGTTGGTTATGTTCCTGTCTATACTGGCTATTTTGGCTGTCAGCTCCTGTATTGTTTTATCACGATTCTTAGCTCCCTTGCCTGAGGTAACAATGTGCTCTTTTAGCTCAGCAAAGTTCATTTTTATCCACGTTCTGAAGACTACCTCTGTCATCGCAGCCATCTCAGCTTCAGCACAGTTCTATGTCCTTGCTGGAGAGGTGTTGCGGTCATTTGGAGGAAAGGGGGCATGCTAGCGTTTTGAGTTTTCAGTGTTTTTGTGCGATTATTTCTCATATTTCTGGGCTAATCTACCTTCAGTCTTTGAGGTTGCTTACCTTTGGATGGGGTTCTTGTGTTTTTGTTGTTGTTTGTTTGTTTTTTCTTTTGATACTCTGGCCACTCTTTAGTATGGCTGCTGCAGTTTGCTGGGTGTCCGCTGCAGACCCTAGTCACCTCAGTTTTTCTAATACCTGTAGGAATCAGCAGTGTAGCCTACAAAACAGCAAAGATGGCAGCCTGCCTCTTCCTCTAGAAGGTCTGTCTCAGGGGATGCTGACCTGTTGTTGGCCCTAAGGCACCTGTAGGAGGAGGCTGGAGACCCCAATTGGGAGATCTCACCCATCAGAAAGAACTGGATCACAGACCTCTTTAAAGAAGCATTCTGGCTGCATTTTGGTAGAGCAGCTGTCCGGTATTGGGGATCCCTTCAGCCCCTGATCGGTTTGGGCACTCCAAGGCTCGCAGGCTAGACTGGCTGAGATGCCCAAACAGCAAAGGTGGTGGCACTCTGTCCCAGGGAGAAATTAAAACTCTGATGGCCCTAAGATACAGGCAGGGGTGGCCAGGTGCCTCAGGTGGGAGGACCCGCCCAGTGAGAAGAAATGGATCAGGGTCCCACTTAAAGAAGCAGCCTGGCCACAACTTGACAAAAGAGCTGTGCCATATTGGGGAACCACCTCTGCCTGGGTTGGCTTGGACTCCCCAGATCCTGCAGGCTAGAGCAGCTGAGTGAGTTATCTAAACAACAAAGGTGGCAGCTTGCCCCTCCCACTAGGCACTTCATCCCAGGGAGAAATCAGAACTCTGTTCGTAGAATACAGGTAGGGGTGGCTGGAGGCCCCAGCCAGGAGGACCTGCTCTAAGCGGAGGACTGGATCAGGGTCCCATTTAAAGAGGCAGTCTGGCCACACCTCGATAAAAAAAAAATCACGCTGTACTGGGAAACTGCCTCTGTCCCTGTTGGCTTGGACTGTCCAAAGCCTGCAGGCTGCAACAGCTGAGTTGTCCAGACAAGAAAGCTGGTGGCCAGTCCCTGGAACCCAGCACTCTGTCCCAAGGCAAGATCAGAGCTCTGGTGGGTGGGGGCACCTGGAGGCCCCAGCTGGGAGGTCCTGCCCAGTTAGGAGGAATGGATAGGGGTCCTGCTTAAAGAAGCAGTCTGGCCACTTTCTGGCAAAGTAGCTGGGGAGACCCATCTTTGTCTGGACCATTTGGACTCTCCAAAGCCTGGAGGCTGGAACGCCTGATTTGACCAAACAGCAAAGACGGTGGCCCACCCTTTCCCCCAGGGGCTTTGTCCCTTCTCAGGCAGGCTCCACCCTGTTGCTGGTGGCTTGCTGGAATTCCAAGCCAGTGGGTCTTGCCTTGTGAGCTGCTGTGGAGGTGGGACCTGCAGACAGATGCTGCTTGGCTCTCTGGATTCAACCCCCTTCCTAGGGGTATGTGCAGACCTCCTGCCCTGCCTGAGTTGCAGTTACTTTTGTTAGGAATCCTGGGACTGGAGTACGTAAAGCTCTTGGGTCTCTATTGTGCGCCAGTAGCTGCTCTTTGGGAGAGCTGTGTGGAGTCACCCAAGGCCCAGGTGCAGTGGGCTCATGAGGGCATCTCCTGACCCAAAGGTTGCAAAGATCCATGGGAGAAGCATGGTTTTCCCAGGGTTGCACATTGACTCACTGCTTACCTTGGCTGGGGGTGGGGGTTCTCTTGGCTCTGTGTGGCTCCTGGGGAGTCATTGCCCACCCTGCATTTCTTGGTTCTCTGTGAGTCAGGTTGTTTCCCTGATCAGTTCCAATGCAAGTATCTGGATATTTCAGTGAAAGGTGCTGTGTTGACTCCTTTTTATTCCTTTGGAAGAGTGTCACACACTGCAGCTGCTTCTAATTAACCATCTTGGCCCCATCTCTGGATCTTATTTTAGATCTTGTGTTACAGCAAGTTTTTCTGACACTCCTCTGGTAGGAGGATGATATCCTGTTATTGCCAGGTGGGGGTAGAAGTCTAGGTCTTTATTGACACAGGGGAGGAGGAACTTTTTGTTATTGCTGAATGGGTATGGTAGTTCAAGCTTCTCATTAGGTCATTGCTGATTTCACCCTAGCTTGGAGGAAGAGAGGCATCTCATCACTACTCACTACAAATCATCCATTGCACACAAAGGGTGGTGAGGAGGAATGCAGTTTTGTTACCACGAATTGCTGATTAAAGTCCTAACTCTTCACCCTGCCTCCTCTGACACCACCCCAGCAAGGAGGGGTGGGGGTGCCCTGTTTCCATTAGGTGGGTTTAGAAGTCCAGGTTTTCCGATGGCCTCCACCTTAACTGACGTGCCTTCTCTCCCTTTCCAGAGTTGTTTTAGAATGTCCAGAGTTTTCATTTGTACTTAATAGGAGGAATTGCGAAAAGCACATTTACTCTATTTTTGTAGAAGCTGGATTCTGAGAATTTTCAAATTCATTTTTGAATAGACAGTACATTTACATGATATAAAATCCAGCAAAATATACAAGCTATATAGCAACATGTCATTCATTTTTTCTTGTTCATCTTCTGCCCTGTTTCTACCATGTCCCTCACCCCTAGTTTCTTTCTTTCTTTCTTTCTTTTTTTTTTTTTTGAGACAGAGTGTCACTCTGTCACCCAGGCAGGAGTGCAGTGGTATGATCTTGGCTCACTGCAACCTCTGCCTCCCAGGTTCACGCCATTCTCCTGCCTCAGCCTCCCGAGTAGCTGGGACTACAGGCGCCCGCCACCACGCCCGGCTAATTTTTTTTTGTATTTTTAGTAGAGACAGGGTTTCACCATGTTAGCAGGATGGTCTCCATCTCCTGACCTAGTGATCTGCCCGCCTCGGCCTCACAAAGTGCTGGGATTACAGGCTTGAGCCACCATGCCTGGCCCCCTTTTTTTTTTTAATCCCTTCTGAGTTATTTTATACATATATAAGAAAATGATGAACACAGATAATGTTTTACAAATGGTGTCATAATATACACACTGTACTGATCTCCCTTTCTCTATTTGCTATATATTTAGAGACCTTACTATGTCAAGGACATAAAGAGCTTTCTTGGTTTTTGTTTTTTCAAAATAGCTCTATAGGTTTTCGCTGTATGAATAGAAGACAGCATTTTAATGGTATTTTATAAGTTGTGTTGCTGAATTGTAAATTTCCTCAGAAGTACTAGTATCTTTTTACAATATATAGTCTATCAATGGTTACCCTCACTTAAACTGTAAGATGTTTGGGGAAACTTGGATCCAGCTTGCGTGTTTTTCCTTCTCAGATGGTTTACATGTAATATGTTTATTCTGAAGATAAAGAACATTTGTCATATTCTTTTTGTGTATTGTTTTCCAGATGATCTCAGGAATTCCACAATTCTGACATTTTATGAGAAAAAGAAACATGCCAAGTCTAATTATAGGAGTTAGAGATGTGTTGTGTGTTTTTAATTGCAAGAAATAGCTACGCAATACACTTTTGGATGGTCTCTTTCCACTTGCAAAAGAATGCTTGTAAACATAGGCTTTTTCTAGACTCCTGCCTTAATAATCCTGTTCTCTCTTCCCTGTTCCAAGGGCATGTCTCATGAAACCTGCAGTCAAATGCTATGATTTGTCTAAGCTTTCTGGCAAAAAATATTTTATGAGATTTGCCAGCCTGCATAAATTAATCCAACCTAACCAGCTGATGATAACAGATTGGAAACTTTTGGTTCAAACACAGAAAAAGTAGTTCACTTGCCACAGATGGAAAGCCTGCAAAGAAAGAAAGTCAAAGATGTTTCGAGTTTTTTTAGAAGACAAGAAAAAGCTGTTTGTATCTTCCTTGACATCATTATTGAATAGAGACTTTCTTGAGATTTCTGCATGTGAAACCAGCTACCTGGTACAAGAAAGGGAGGAATCAAGATTGTAATCTTTCCTTCTATTTCTATATGTGATCATAAGGAATTTATGGTATAACTGGAAGTAGTTGAATTAGAGAATACGGACTTGGTTTATTTTAATGCTATGATATTGTTAGGTAAAGTGGTTAGTAGAGAGTATGACACAAAGTAGGCTTTTAGTAAACAGTAGTAAATAACTAATATCAAGGAAATCAACCAAGCTGCTCTGAAAGTCTCATCTTCCTAAATCTTGATTGGCTCAATTGATCTGTCAAGACGCTTGTAGCTGACACATATCCTTTTTTCACTTTTGTTGTTGTTGTTAATGAAATCAATAGTTTGCTCAGAGAAGGTGCTCATATCCCCAACTCAGGAATAAATCCTAGTTAGCCTAAGTCAGTTTGCTACTCTCATTCCCCTTGCTAGTGTTTGTTTTAGGAATTGGTAGGTGATACAGTTTTGGCCAGTGAGATATATAAAAAAGGAGCATTGTTGGCTTTTTATTTTCAAAAGATGTTTTCACATAAAAGAAACCCTGAGGAAGAAACAGGCTTTTCCTTTCCTGAAAATGTGGTAGCTAACTTGACTGGGCTTGACTGAGGACAGGGCCAATTTTCTGAGGATGGCAAAATGGAAAATGGGAAGAACTTAAGTTATTGATGATAATATGAAGCCCAGAAATTACTAACTCTAGAGCCTTGGTATATATCGTTTATGTGACATAATAAATTCTCTGTATTGTTTAAGTTGTTGTGATTTGGGTTTTCTTTCATTTGCAGACAAAAGTTTCTGATACAATATGTTAACATGCTAGGTTTGAAAAAAAATTGAAAGCACCAATAATTTATTGACAAACATCCATATATTCAAACATACTTTGGATACGTATATTTGAAAAAAATGGCAGTTAGAGACTATATTTAATTTTCATTTGATAAGTCCCCCAGGCTGAGTAGAAATATAAATTTGTAACTAGTGTAGAATAATTCAATCAATATAATGTTTTAATTTTAGAAATCATTCACAGATTTTAGGCTGGGTGCGGTGGCTCATGCCTGTAATCCCAGCACTTTGGAAGGCCAAGGCGGGTGGATCACTTGAGCTCAGGAGTTCGAGACCAGCCTGAACAACATAGTGAAACCCCGTCTCTACCAAAAAATACAAAAATTAGCCAGGCATGGTGGCGTGTGCCTGTAATAATCCCAGCTACTCGGGAGCTGAGACACGAGTATCGCATGAACCTGGGAGGCGGAGGTTGCAGTGAGCTGAGATCATGCCACTGCACCCCAGCTTTGAAGAATGCAAGGTATACCACTAGATTATTTTGCATCTTCGAGATATTTATGAATTACCGTGCACCTTTACAAACAAGAAAAACTTTCAAGGAGAGCTGGAAGAGTTGAAGGAAAGAACTCTGTTCATCAAGCAGAGGCAGCTTCCATAAAATTTTAGGGCCAAGTTTATGAATTCATGGACAAAACTGGAATTTATGACTGTGTGATAAAATTCTGAGATATGTTTGGGCTAATTTGCTCTGGAAAAGCATATAGGTACTTTTTGGCATGACGGGGTTATAAACCCAGCATAAGTTGAAAATATCATTAAATTGAAAATACATTTAATATGTCTAACCTATCAAACATGACAGCTTAGTTTGGGCTACTTTAAACATACTTAGAACACTTTCAATATGGTATTCAATAAATTATATGAGATAGGCAACACTTTGTTATAAAATGGGCTTCATGTTAGATAATTTAGTGCAGCCTAATGAAATCATATTGCATATCACTAGCCCAGGAAAAGATAAAAAAAGGAAAATTTGAAGTTTGATTTCTACTGAATGATTATGGCTTTCAGACCATTGTAATTTGTTGAAAAATGGTAAGCCAAACTCATTGTAAGTTGAAGAGCATCTTTATTCTTTGAATTTACAGAACTTAAAGCTGAGAGTTTATTTCTACTGATGTAAATCTATAGTCAGAATTTAATTCTGACCCATGAACACTTGCATAGTTCTTCAGAAGAATTTAGTTCAGTCTGTTAAATATCACCATTCTTATTGATTAATCACAAGTGACCAGTAATTAGCACTAGGCCTGTAAGTGTGGCAACAATTCTTTCTTGATTGGACAAGTTGTCCCAGTTGGAATTTTAACATATTACTTTTATGTTAATATGCCTTTTCATCAGCCTTGAAAAATTTACTTCTATTGTAATTGAATTACGATTTTCTCCTAAAGGCGATTATTTTGAAAAGCTAAAATTGAGGACGCATCAGCCGAATCCAAGATATAGAATTGGGCAGGCAATAGACATTTGCATGGAGGGCCAGAGACAGGAAATAATGCCTCTTAGTCATGATATTATTTGTTTTAAAATGCAATAAACTTACAAGCATGTTATTGGTATTGGAAAGAGAACTTTGTAAAATTTCTTGCTAACAATAGGATGATAAACATTAATTTTGCTATTTTTATTGTTAGTAATTATGTCTAAAACATCAATATTTTATTCAATATATTGTCTGTATTAATTTATTTGAATAAATAATATCATATTTGCATGTTTATAAGTCACAAAATGAGTTTTGATTTCAGTTTCTTTAACTCTGTTTTTTCATCAGTTTTTGTCTTCTTAAAAATTGAGGTTTTCAGAAATCTGAGTTTTCTAATTTGGAAGTTTCTGCTCTATCTGAACATTTTTGGGGGTAAGTTTTTGTAATAGTGCCAAAAATTTATGTTTTTGAATAGTTTTAAGCAAGAAAAATATCCATGGAGTATGTACGTATACATACGTTCCACACTGAAAAACCTGGATTCCTCCTCTGTCTTTTTGCCTTCAGAGATCTCACCACATCCGAGACTTTGCATATTATCTCTTAGCAAATGCCATCTAAATACCTATCTCTGACATTTTTACCTGAATGATTTTTTTTCTATTGCCGAAGCCACCCCTGTATAGCCAAAACCACCCTTTCTAGAGCTGAAAACCACCCCCTCTCATATTTCTCTTTGTGTCAGTATCCTTCTCATGGTGATTCAGGTTTGAAACTTCAAAACCGTTTTTGAATTTATTTTCTCCTTTCCCTCCAGTGTATATAATCTGCTGCCAAAACACATTTTCTGCTTCAGGTGGTACTAGAAGACAATCAGATGCTAAGCATTTGTTAGCCCCCTCCATATGCTCATTACCATGCTAGCTACCGGTGGGGACACAGAAGAAACTTTACATTTGATGCAAGAAAAGCACAGAAGATCATGCCTAGGTGGTCTCTCCAATTTCCTTGTCTGTCAAAATAAAAAGTACCAACACTAGCTTGTTCAGCAAGTAGTTAACGTATACATACATATGATGTTATTTCTATTCAGTAGGGCCTATGAAGTAGATGCCTAATTTGTAGAAGAAAACTAGTGCCAGAATCTCAGCAGTTTGAAATGGGCATAAAGGATAATAACAAGACATCACAGATCCAGGTAACTCATACAGGATGATCCATTACTACTTGAAATATGTACTAATTTTATGGTAAAGTCTAAATCTTAGATCAGGTCTTCTTTGCTCTCCTGAAAAGATAATCATAGATATGGGTATGAGTACTATCTCTCTCCTTCCCTGCCTGAAAGAGCTTGGATTGGGTAGATGGAACAGCTTAATTTTTACACCTCGTACCAATTACAGGCCATGATTTCAAAATGATCACTCACCAAATCTCCTTTCTAAAATTTTTTTAGAAACAGGGTCTCACTCTGTTACTCAGGCTAGTGTGCAGTGGTCTGATCATAGCTCACTGCAGTCTCAAACTCCTGGCTTAAGTAATCCTCCTGCTTACACTCTTGAGTAGTTAGGACTACTGGCAAAAGCCACCATGCCCAGCTAATAATTTAAATTTTTTGTGTGTGAGAAGATGGAATCTCACTGTGTTGCCCAGGCTAGTTTTGATCTCCTAGCTTCAAATGATCTTCCCGCCAATGCTTTGCAAAGTGCTGGGATTGCAAAATCTCTTTTAAAATTAAGTTTTGGGGCCAGGCACGGTGGCTCACATTTGTAATCCCAGCACTTTGGGAGGCTGAGATGAGATCAGGAGTTCGAGTCCAGCTTGGTCAAAATGGTAAACCCCATCTCTACTAAAATTACAAAAGAAAAATAAAAAAGCTGGGCATGGTGGCGCATGCCTGTAATCCCAGCTACTTGGGAGGTTGAGGCAGGAGAATTGCTTGAACCGAGGAGGTGGAAGTTGCAGTGAGCCCAGATCACACCACTGCATTCCAGCCTGGGCAACAGAGTGAGACTACATCTCAAAAAATATTAATTTTTCTCATGCTTACAAATTACTGATGCCACTGACTGCCAGAACTTGGGGGGTGTAGGATATGATGATTCCTAGAATTACAATATCCTGTGAGATCCATGAAAGTACACAGTACAGCCATCTCCCCTTTGAGGCTCTGGGATCATGGGGTGGTGGTTTGACAGAACAACTTGAACTCACTCTTACAGACAAGTATGAATCACCCAGTGGAAAGAAATTGTAGAGAGAAATTCAGATAGAGAAAATAGAATGTGTAAAGTCTTGGAGATATGAGAGAGTATGGTCCTTTCAGATAACTATAAATTCAGACATGGAGCACAGTATATGAAGTGTTGGAAGGAGAATATAAATTAGACTGAACTGAACTAGGTGTCATGGACCAGAACACAAAGTTCCTGTTTTGCCATCCTTAAGAGTTCCTGAGGTCTATGGGAAATATAGAATTTCTAAAGGATTTAATGGAGGGATATGACATGATCCTATATATATTTTCCAAAGAATATTGCAGCAGTCTTTAAGATAATGGATTATCAGAGGTGAAGACAAGAAGCTGAAGTGCAGTTAGGAGGCTGTTACAATAATGTAAGCAAAAAAATGAGTATTAAATAACTGTAGTGTTATCGAGAATGGAGGTTTTCAAAAAACAGGAAGCCCATTCATAGGATCAACAGATTTTGATGGTTCAAGGACTATAAGGAGTGAGAGATAGCAGGTTTCTGGCTTAGGCAACTGAGAAAATAGTGTCACAGCTCAGACTACAAATAACTGATCACGAGCCCTGCTCAATTCAGCCTGGTCAGATTTTCACAGGGGCAACCAAGGAAAATGATGATGTAAAGCCCCTGGATTTGGTGGCCACTAGAGAATTTCGAGAGTAATCTCAGTGAGAAATGTAGGCCAAATTAGAAGGACTTTAAGAAGCAAGAGTGAGGAATTGAAAAAATTAGGTTTAGACCAGTTTTATTTTTAGACTTTTGATAGAGGAAGGTGGAATATGATGGCTGATGGAAAAAATAACAAGGTAAAGGGAATTTGTAAATGTACTTTATATAATAAAATAAATACGATTTTATTTTAATAACATTAACATGATCATAAATTTTAAAAATTATAAATGAGACTTAGGATATTTGTAGACTAAGAGGAAGTAGAAAGGGAGAGATTGGGGACCAAAGAGGAATTAGAACAATTAAAGATACAGGCCCAGCAGAGCTAGGAAGGGATAAAGGTAATCATTAAAGTGGTAGGTTTAGACTTGGGAAAAATGACTATGAATGAACCCATTGCTCTAACACAAGAGGGAAGGAAAAGATCGTGTGAGAAGAATGAGAAGGATTTTATATGGAAAGGAGGGTATGGCTACACAAGGGTTCTGAGGTAGAGAGACAAGATATCAAAGCAGTTCATGTGAACAGTGTCCAACCCCCAGAAATAATGATTTTATGCTCATAGAAGTGGTTTGGATTAGCAGTTGAGGGTATATGATAAGGAATCAGTAATTGATGACTGACAGTATTTTTGCCCGCGATTGGGTGGATTGCTTGAGGTCAGGAGTTTGAGACCAGCCTGGCCAACATAGTGAAACCCTATCTCTACTAAAAATACAAAAAATTAGCCAAGTGTGGTGGTGGGCACCTGTAATCCTAGCTACTTGGGATGCTGAGGTGGGAGAATTGCCTGAACCTGGGAGGTGGAGGTTGCAATGAGCTGAGATCATGCTACTGCACTCCAGCCCAGGTGACAGAGCAAGACTCTGTCTTGGCGGGGAGTGGGGGAAGGAAAAAAAAGGTTCACTGGGGACCATTTATTATGAATTCTTGGATGATCTCTTAGCATAATTAAAACCTTTTTCAGGTTTCACTTACCTGTTAGAAACTCTCAAGAAAGACAAAGGGAAGACCAAGAGAGTGGTGTGACTATAGTCTCCTTACCTCCCATTTCTTAGGGTTTGTATCTACCCTACATGATGTCTGTGTTTCAACTCATTTATGTTTTCCAAGTTTATCAGCAGCTATGTCTCCGTGCTTACCAGTTGAGTGCATTTGTGAAACACACACACACACACACACACACACACAGCAGCAGCAGAGTGGTAGTAGGTGAGCCCAGATAGTGCCAGATAAGAAATCTTCTTCCACATTCCAGCCACACCAATGCCTTGCTGCTTCCTGAATGGAAAACGTTTGCTTTTTCCTGCCTCTGCACTTTTGCCTATGGCTGTACGAGAATTTTCTTCTTTTCACTATCTGAACATACAAGACTCAGCTCAAATGCTACCTCTTGGGAGGCTTCCCTTGTCACTTCCCCAAGAATAGATCTCTTTCACTTCTGAATGTCTCCAGTACTATCTATGCACAGCTTTTTATGGGCTTCATCATATTTTAAATTATTTTATTGCTTGTTTGTATGTCTACCATCCTTGTTTAAATTGTGTAATCCTTGGTGATAGGAACCATGTTTTAAATTTCTTTGTATCTTAAACTAGAGACCATCACGTAGCAAATGGTCAATAATACTTGACAAACAATATACAAAATAAACAATGGAGAACTTTATTTTGATAAACAATGATAAATTTGGTTTGTTTTGATAAACCAAATGATAAGTATCTTTACGAGGCAATGATAGGGTGAAAAAACCCATGGGCTTTGAAGTTAGCAGCAACCGTGAATTCAAATCCTAGCTTGTAATCAGATTACTAGATGTTTGATCTTCGACTAGCTAATTAACTTCTCTAAGCTCCCATTTCCTTAATTATATAATGGGAATAATTATAATTACTTTGCAGATTATAATTAGGAAGATTAGAAATAATATGAATTATTTAGAAAAAAGCTTGGCAGGTAATAAATTCTCAATAAAAAATAGCAATTATTATTATTTGCTTTATCTTCTTTTATACTTAAAATGTAGCAGACTTACAAAAACACAAATATGCGTCATATAGCTTAAATAGTAATGAGAAGAGGCCAAAACCAAACTATTGACATGCTTTAAACTGTACTGGGAGAAACCCAAGACATTCTGTTTATACTTTGGCCTTGGATCCAGTAAGCAACTGACCACAAGCTGCTGGATGAATGAACCGTGAGGATGTCAGGTGCTACTACACTGCTCAATGCAAATGCTTATCCAGGGGTCTCTGCAGTACTAACCACTTAGAAATGGCTCCATGCACAGATGGTCTGGGTTTCACTTCATTCAGTTTGTATAGTTTAGCATGGCCAATCTGTCACAGGGAATAATCCTACCCTAACCAGATGGAGGGATCAGTTCACCAAGTATTGTCTCATTCCCATTTCTAATGACTATAATTACATGAAACAATTTTTTTTTATCAAGCAAACATCTTTTACACTAAAAATAAAGCTCATGGTTAATTTGAAGGAATTCTTTGCCCAGGAGTTCTGGAATTAGTGAATGTCTTGTTGAGTGGGCAGCAGGGAACTGAGGGCCTGCCACCCAAAGTGAAAACAGGCCACAGTGCAATAGCAACCACTTGGGTAATTGGATGTGTATTCAGGGAAACCACAAGGTTGCCAAGGAGAAGTGCACTGCGATGCGCTGTTTAGAATAGAGCAAGTATTTTAGGGAGAGTAAAAAATATCCAATTCTATGTTGCCAGACATCATTTGTAAATATCTTTCTATCCTGGGAAGAAAGATGATATGCAAGCAAGTATGCCAATAACTCTTTTCAAAAAACACTTGTCAAAACTTGGCTAAGAAACCTAACATTGTCAGGGAAGCTGCTGCAAATGACGTGCTTCACTTTGTTAATATCCAACAGTTCTAGGGTTGCTAAACCGTGCTCTCCTCAGAGCCACTTTCTTGGAAGGCGTGTGAGTATTGATGTGGGTGCAACAAGTCCTGTGACTAGATTACCAGAGCTGGTTGTAATAACCTGGAAGACATAGGTGTAGCAGGTGCTGAAGGTGTTTTAGGCATGGGCAGCCGGTCATCCCCTAGGCTCCCTCCTTCCTATGTTCATCTCTTGACCCTTCCCTTTGCACACTCTCTGCTTCAGTTATTCTCTGCTGCTTGCAGTATCTACAACAGGTCATGTTCCCTGTTTTTCATTTCCGGCTGCCTTCTGCATGTTCTTTCCTCTGCCTGCTGGCAACACACCTGCTGAACTTTCCTCCTAGGTAATTCCTAGTTTCCCTTCAGGTCTCATTTTTCCTGAACACATCCTAAGATGCCTCCCCTCTGTTCTTCCATACCACCTGGTATTCCTACAGATAATCACTTGTCATATCGTCTATTACCTGCTCATTTTTCTGTCTCCCTATTAGCCTGAAACTCCTTGGAGGAAGGTGCTGGATTTTTTTTTTTTCAGTTAGATCCTTAATGCAGCAAGTTACTTAGGACCTAATGAGTGATCAATAAGTGTTTGTTTAATAGATGAATGAATAGATAAATAAGGGTGTTTCCTTGCAGCCTAAGAATACAAAAAAATTGACATGTTGTGTCAGCATGATACTAAAGAAATCAGACATGCTGGAAGTCAGACAAAAAGACTGGGTGGAAAAGGTTCACTCTAAGAAATCATATGTTTTAAAAGAATCTTAATGTATAAAGTGTTTCAAGAGTAATATAAAGAACTTTTAGTTCTTGAGCCATGTGGGACTAAGTTTCTGACAGGATGTCTCATCACCTCCAAATACTTTATTGTGTATTTCCAAAAAGCAAGAGTCTTTTCCAGTATGACACAATCCAGAGAATCAGAAAGTTAAATTGGATCACTATCTAATCCACAGGCCCAATTCCAGTTTTGCCAGTTTTACCAATAAAAGTCATTTATAGGAAATAGTCCAGCCCAGAATCAGGAATTGCATTTAGTTACCATCTTTCCTTAGTCGCCTTCAATCTGGAACAGCTCTGTAATCTTTGCTTGACTTCCATGACCTCGACACTTTTGACAGGCTCTTGTTTTTGTAGAATATTCCTTATTCTAGATTTGTCAGATTTTGTCATGATTAGGTTAAGATTAGACTAAATTGGAACATCACAGAAATGATGTTGAATTTTATCTTTGCATCATATTAGATGGCACATCATTTTGATTTGCTTTATTATTGTTTCTGTTAGCATTCATTACTTGAGCAAGGTGATATCTGCCAACCTTCTCCGCTGCAAAGTTACTCTTTTGTTCCTCTGTCTTAGAATGTTCTTGCTACTATAAAAAATACCTTGAACTTGGCAATTTATAAACAACAGAAATTCATTGCTTACAATGCAAGATTAAGGCGCCAGTATGTCACATGCAAAGACACACAGGCTCAAAGACAAGGGATGGAGGAAAATGTACCAAGAAAATGGAAAACAAAAAAAGCAGGGGTTGCAATCCTAGTTTTTGACAAAACAGACTTTAGACCAACAAAGATCCAAAGAGACAAAGAAGGGCATTGTATAATGGTAAAGCGTTCAATTCAACAAGAAGATCTAACTATCATAAATATATATATGCAGCCAATACAGGAACACCCAGATTCATAAAGCAAGTTCTTAGAGACCTTCAAAGAGACTTAGACCCTCACGCAATAATGGTGGGAGACTTTAATACCCCACTGACAATATTAGACAGATCACTGAGACAAAAAATTAACAAAGATATTCAGGACCTGAACTCAGCTCTCATCAGGCGGACCTAATAGATATCTACTGAACTCTCCACCCCCAAGCAACAGAATATACATTCTTCTGATTGCCACATGGTACTTACTGTAAAATTGATCACACAATTGGAAGTTAGACACTCCTCAGCAAATGCAAGAGAACTGAAATTATAACAAACAGACTCTCAGACCACAGTGCAATCAAATTAGAATTCAAGATTAAAAAGTTCACTCAAAATCATACAACTACATGAAATTGAACAACATGCTCCTGAGTGTCTTTTGGGTAAATGATGAAATTAAGACAGAAATCAAGAAGTTCTTTGAAACTAATGAGAACAAAGTTACAGTGTACCAGAATCTCTGGGATGCAGCTAAAGCAGTGTTAAGAGGGAGAATTTATAGCATTAAATGCCGACATTAAAGAGCTGGAAAGATCCCAAGTTAACAAGCTAACATCACAAGTAAAAGAACTAGAGAACCAAGAGCACACCAATCCCAAAACTAGCAGAAGACAAGACATAACCAAGATCAGAGATGAGCTAAAGGAAATGGAGACGTGAGAAACCCTTCAAAAGATCAACAAATCCAGGAGCTGTTTGTTTTTTTTTGAAAAAGCTAATAAAATAGATAGATCGCTAGCTAACTAATAAAGAAGAAAAGAGAGAAGATTCAAATAAACACAATCAGAAATATTGAGGGGGATATTACCACTGATCCCACAGTAATGCAAACAAGCATCAGAGAATACTATCAACACCTATATGCACATAAACTAGAAAATCTAGAGGAAATGAATAAATTCCTTGACACATACACCCTTCCAAGACTGAATAAGAAAGATTGAATCCTTGAATAGACCAATAATGTGTTCTGAAATCGAGGCAGTAATAAATAGCCTACCAACCAAAATAAGCCCAGGACCAGATGGATTAACAGCAGAATTCTGCCAGATGTACAAAGAAGAGCTGGTACCATTAATACTGAAACTATTCCAAAAAATTAAAAAAGAGGGAATCTTCATGCTAAAAACTCTCAATAAGCTAGGTATTGATGGAACATATCTCAAAATAATAAGAGCTATTTATGACAGACCCACAGCCAATATCACACTGAATGGGCAAAAACTGGAAGCATTCCCTTTGAAAACTGGCACAAGACAGGGATGCCCTCCCTCACCACTCCTACTCAACATAGTATTGGAAGTTCTGGCCAGGGCAATCAGACAAGAGAAAGAAATAAAGGTATTCAATTAGGAAAAGAGGAAGTCAAATTGTCCCTGTTTGCAGATGACATGATTATATATTTAGAAAACCCCATCGTCTCAGCCCCAAATCTCCTTAAGCTGATAAGCAACTTCAGCAAAGTCTCAGGATACAAAATCAATGTGCAAAAATCACAAGCATTCTTATACACCAATAAGAGACAAACAGAGAGCCAAATCATGAATGAACTCCTATTCACAATTGCCACTAAGAAAATAAAATACCTAGGAATCCAACTTACAAGGGATGTGAAGGACCTCTTCAAGGAGAACCACAAACCACTGCTCAACAAAATAAAAGAGGACACAAACAAATGGAAAAACATTCCATGCTCATGGATAGGAAGAATCAATATCGTGAAAATGGCCATACTGCCCAAGGTAATTTATAGATTCAATGCCATCCCCATCAAGCTACCAATGACTTTCTTCAACGAATTGGAAAAAGCTACTTTAAATTTCACATGGAACCAAAAAAGAGCCCACATTGCCAAGACAATCTTAAGCTAAAAGAACAAAGCTGGAGTCATCACGCTACCTCACTTCCTGACCTCAGGTGATTTGCCTGCCTTGGCCTCCCAAAGTGCTGGGATTACAGGCATGAGCCACCGTGCCCGACCAGGTTTAAGGAATTTAAAACATTTTATTTATATTTACATATATTGAACACCATGGCATCAGAGTGATATCTCCAATTTCAGTCTAACACCCTAGGGTTTAATGTCATTTTTTTCATTTCCATATTTGTAACTTTCTTTACAATACTGGCTCCCTTTATCCTGAATATGTTTAATAATTTTATCATTTTTTGCCTGTATATAACCAATCTCCCATTCCTGACACCACATCCTTCCTGTACAAACACCTTCCTTACTGTAAAAATGATTCTAGAAACTGGCTACAGAACTAGGCTAAGGCTCTGCCAGTAAATTCCAACACAAGTATTGCTGCATCCCTGCACTAAGGGGGAAATCTTGCATCAATTCATGGACCCCAAAAGAATCTGAAAACATGGGGTTTTTAATGTAACTTCTGCTTGGCTGAAAAAGATTTAGGTCCTAATCTTAGTGCTTGATCTTTTTCTTTCTCTCCCTAATCTACGTGGAATTTTCTAAAAGTACAAGTGAACAATCCCGACCACCTGTCATTTAAACGAAAGGAGATTTATTACTTTTATCCAAAAAAGCAAAATGTTACCTAGCTTAGCAGAAGTTTTGTTATGAAATTGCTGAAATTGCCTTGTGTTTTTATTAGTCCTGAGGTGTATTGCTTTTTTGTGTTTTACTCCCTACACACTTTAGTTATAAATTTGTAGGGGGCTTATGACTGTGTTGTGATTATGATGGGACAGAATGTTTTGTGACTTAAGACTGTCACTGTCCAGACCTCTAGTAGAAAAAGCTTTCTTCCTTTCCCTTCTCTTCCTTTCTTTTCTTCCCTTCCTTTTCTTTTTACTTCTTTTGTTTTTTCTTTTGTTTTCTTTCTCTCTCTTTCCTTTTTTAATTCATTCTTTCTTTAGTTCTTTCTCTCTCTCTCTCTCCTTCCTTTCTTCCTTCCTTTTTCTTTCTTTCTCTCTCTCTCTCCCTTACTTTTCCCCCCTCCTTCCCGTCTCTCCTTCCTGTCTCTCTCATCTTTTTTTTCTGTTTCTCTCTTTCTCTCTCTCTACTGCTATTTTTTGAGGAAGTAAGTAAGTCCATATATATATATATGGACAAAAAGAGGAAGATCTTTCAAAAAGGGAGTGGAATGAGATCTTTTCTTTTCAGAGAGGTCAAAGCAATCTCATTAGCCCCTAGAAATCCAAGGAATTGCAAAGATAGACAGTAGCTGAGGGTTCCATGAGGAACATCAGGTCCCTGTGGAATCTGAGTACAGAACACAGGGGTCCTCAGAGGAGAAAAGCTGTATGAGGGGCTAAGAGGAAGAGGAATCTCACGAAAGCCCCCATCAGGTAGTAATTATGGGGAGTAGTGTTTTGACAAAGTCAATTTCTCTGAAGTTGGCTACATGGAGACCTCAGGCAATGCACTGGTGCTGTGTGTGCTTCAGCAGTTCTAGTCTAATAGTCAGCAGTAGTTCTGAAAAGCCTGGCAGAGGGGAGACAGCCATAGCAGTACCTGGTGAGACTCCAGAGTTTTTACCAGTTTGGGACTAGACCTTTACTGGACTTTCTGTATGCGTTGGATTAAGTCCTTCTGAGGTTCCATGTGATACAAGAGACTGGGGCAGACACAAGCAGGTAAAAGTGAATCTTCTGATGTGGTGGTTTTAAAATACGTCAATATTGGGAGGCCGAGAAGGTGGATCATGAGGTCAGGAGATTGAGACCGTAATGGATAACATGGTAAAACCCCATCTCTACTAAAAATACACACAAAAAAATAGCCAGGCGTGGTGGCATGTGCCCGTAGTCCAAGGTACTTAGGAGGCTGAGGCAGGAGAATGGCTTGAACCCGGGAGGTGGAGGTTGTAGTGAGCCAAGTTCGTGCCACTGCACTCCAGCCTGGGCAACAGAGTGAGACGCCATCTCAAAGAAAAAAAAAAAAGTCAGTAAATTCTCCAACAGTATTCAAAAAGTGGAGACTATCTCCTCTCACCTTGGGTGTGGGCTGAACATAGTGACTTGCTTCTCATGAATAGAATATGGTGGAAGTGGTGATGTGTGATTTCTGAGACTACAAAATAATAGGCACTGTGGCCTTCTCCTAGCCGTTGTGTTTAGATCACTGGTTCTTGAGTCATGAGGACACTCAAGCAGCCTATGGAGGGGTCCACATGGCAAGGAACAGAGCTCACATGCCAACAGCCAGCAAGCATCTGAGGCCTCCTGTCAACATGTGACTGAGCCACCTTGGAAGCAGATCTTCCAGTTGCAGTCAAGCCTTCAGATAACTGCAGCTCTGACCAACATCTTGGCTGCAACCTCATGAGAGGTTCTGATACAGAACCCCACAGTTAAGTTGCTCTCAAATTCCTGACCCCGAGAAACTGTGAAATAATGTTTTTTTTTAAGTCACTAAATTTTGGGGTAATTTGTTCTACAGCAATAGATAACAAGTGTGCCTGCCAATCCAGAGATGGAATCTGTCATTTGGAATGCTGAGTAGATGTATGAGTTTTGCACTTTTGGAGATCTGGGTGGGATGGAAGAACACAGAGGCATGTGGGGTTTGGCAAAACCTCTCAAATTATTTTTTCAAACACTTTAGGTTTGGCAAAGGCAGATTGAATTTTGCCAAATGCTGTTTTCCTTACTTTAGAACCCTAGCATACTTCAAGGAAAATTTGATACATATGCTTTTGATTTACTTATTCTTAAGTCATCAAATTATTGTCTTGAAACAATTGATTAATGCCAAAGGAAGTCTTTTGAACCATTTAATGAAATTGTTGTAAAGTCCTCCCTGCATCTCATTCTACTTCCTTTGCCCCTAATGTCAAAGTCATATGATGCCAATATTAAATCGAGCCAAGATTTTGGAAATGTTGCATTTTGTTTCCTGTTTAGAACTTTGTGAGAAGGAGGTGGTTCAAAGATTAGCTAAAAATATAGTCTATTGTTATTGGATAATATGATCATAAGATCATAAAATGTTTTATTTCTATCTTTTCTTCAGCATAGGATTCCTCTTTTCATCCTTCTGGGCTGTCACCTACTCTCACCTATCAGCAAGTAGCAGGAAATGCTTCCCTTCATTACTGAATAACGCTAATAGGTTTTCCCCTAAGTTGTGATTAAGTTCACAGTAGGAAATGTGGTTATTATCCAGGGACATTATGCAATGGTGTCCTGGAAAAGGTCAGCCCTCTTTGGAGTCACCTCTCAAGGCTAATTGCTAGGCTTTTTGCTTGTTTTGGACATCCCAGGGTCATTGCAAATCCCAAATGCTGTAAACTGATTTCATCATTTCCATATCCAAACCTACTTTTTATTCCTGTCCTTTCTAACTCGGAGAATGGTACTGGACCCCCTCACCCTCTCATCTGAACCTTCCTCCTGAAAACCTACCCTCCACATTGTATATCCGGGGATCTACTTATTCAACAAACATTTACTGAGTGCCTAATCTCATTAGCAAATAAAAAGTGCTGAAGCCCTACCCCCCATGCAAAAAAAAGGCAGAAGTCAAATGGATATTGAATGGTTATACCAAGTTATGATTTTATTCTGGGCTTAAATGATAAAGTGAGATAGTATAGAACTGTGTGGTAGGGTTACTTCCTGGTGCTTGCCTTTGGCCAAGCAGAGGCAGAGAGAGGATGGCCACAGATAGAAACCCTTGGATAAGAACAGTGTCAGGATGGTGATGAGTTCATGCCCTCCACTGACCCAGAGGCCCCCAGGGAGCAGAAACTTCTTGGAATGTACGAAAATGACTCCTCCTTCAGGAAAGTGCCATTTGTAAATTGACTACACGTGTAGGGGGATAGCAAAGAGTTGTAGGGGGACTGACTTGGGATGGAGCCACTGGCCTAATTTGGGGACTGGCACAAGGTAGGGGTGAATGGGCAAGTGGGGTGAAGAGCGCCAGGACGTGAGGCTGGTTCATCTGCTGGCTGTTCAGAAGAGACACCTCTAGTCATGAAATCAAGACTCTTGCATAAGCATACAACAGACAGTTTAAAAATAAACCTGTCCTCATGCTTGCATTTAAGAGCTTTCTATTATTTTCTACAATACCCAGATGTCTAGGTCAACCACTATGTTATGGGACCTTGGTGGTAAGAACTATGTGACAGGTGTGTGTATCTTTATAATTTTCTCTAAAACATTAAAGAAAGCAGATGATATAAAAATCCTTGCAGTATAAGCATGGACAGAATAGAATGGATCCTCCCAGCAGAGGTGATGGAGATTAGAATAACTGGGCAAGTCTTCCCAGAGGAAATGGCAGCTGATTTGAGTTTGAAAAGACAGCTGGCAGTCATCCTAGTGAGGAAATGGAGTGGGGTAGAAAGGAAGGGCATTTCTGGCAGAAGTATCACCATGGGTCATGGAGACAAGAAAGCAGGGCTCATTCAAAAAACTACTGAGTTCATTGTAGAATATGGGGAAGGAATGGTGAGAGATGATTTAAGCGGGTTTTGTATTTCATGTTAAGGAATTTGGGCTTTATCTTGTAGATAATGGGGTATTATTAAAGACTCCAAGCTGGGGAGTTACATGATTAGATTTACTCTTTAGAAAAATTACGAGGCTGGCTGTTTGGCTGTTTAGAGGGGCAGTCTGGAGATAATAAGATCAGCTTGGAGGTGGTTTTAGTGATTCAGTAAAGGCATTTTGTGAGGCTTAAGAGAAGGAACTATGTATCTGAGAGCAAAGTAGACACAATTTGATGACTAATGATATATAGTTGGTGAAGGACAGGGAAGGGCTGAGAGTGACTCTTAAGTTTCTGTAACTGAAACATGGTGTTGCCATTTACTGAGAAGGGGAATTCAGTGTAAGGGAAGAGAGTATGTTAAATTTTGGACATTCTAGACCGTGGAACATCCAAATGGAAACATCCTGATACAGGTCTCCAGTTCAGAACATAGACATTTAGGTCTAGGAATTACCAACACACAAGAGGCTGTTGCAGTCATAAAAACAGATGTCCTCTTTCTAGAAGACTTTATATAATGGGAAGAGGGCTGAGGACATAGCTCAACGGCAGAGCTTTCTGCCTGGTATAACATGGTACCAATTTTCTGTGAGATAGTAATTCCTTCACATTTAGGAAAGTTGGATAGGAGAAGCAGTGTCCAGCATCCCTAGGCAGATTGCCTGCAGATGTGGCAGCCATTTCCAGGGGTCCTCAGTGGGATGTTGGAACATAGTGCTTCTAACAGCTTATGTGGTTGTCTTTGAAATTGGCTAGCATGATGAAGGTCTTCTAGCTTCTAGCTTTGCTGCAAAACTCAGAAATAATCTACCATTTCAATATCTGTTGCAGACATTTTCTTCAGCGTGGAAATTGCCAACTGTAGTGTTGCTGGGGGATTGATGGTATAGGTACCCAAATACCTCTAGGTATGGCCAGTTGAGAGAGACGGAAGGTGAGAGGGTGGTAGGGAGGCGAGACAGGGAGGTAGGTGTCACTCTTGGTGGCTACCCCAAATCTCTGACTTCACACACTGTGGATAATTCTGTCAGTTTATGGCCAGTATGAAATCCAAATTGTCTGGAGTACTGCAAGTACTTCAGATGAGAATGCCACCATTTTGGAATCCTTGATAAGAAACAGATCAGTCAGACTAGAAATTCACGTTTGCATAAGAAATTTTAATGTTACATTTGTCAGTGAAAGAAAAGGAAGAGCTATTCAATTCCTGAAATATAATAACTGTTGCAAAGATTTGAATGGTTGTCAAATGTTAAAAATATTTTTAGCACCTACTGTGACAGTGAAGTTTCCTGTTGATGTTTACTACCCAGTGAAAAAATTATGATGATAAAGTCTTGACAAGAAATTGTGAATAGCCATTTCAAGAATAAAAAGATTAAAAAATATTTGGGAATTTCAAACAAATTTAACATTTAAAAACTTTTCTAGTTCTTTCTATTTTATTTTTCCTACCATAAATAATACAATATAAAATGAAGGTAATTCCTTTTTCTTTTAACCCGGCACCCTTTAGATATCACCAAGGAGTGTCCAGTTTATCCCTGAATGTTATATAAATAGTTTCATTATCTATGTACACTACAAAGTAAAAAAGATTGGGAGCCACTGACCTGGGGAACACCAACATTTAAGGGGTGAGTAGAAAGAGAGTAGTCCTTGAAGGAAATTGGAAAAGATCAGCCAGAGAGAAGGTATCAAGTAAGGATAGAGCAACATCAAGGAAGCCAAGAGAGGTAAAGGGAGGGAAAGGTTAACAGAGTCATAAGGCATGGAGAGGCTGAGGAAGATGACTGAGAAAAGCCTTCTGTGCTTAGCACCTGGAAGATGATTGATGATCTCACTGAGGGCAGTGTCAGTGGGGTTCTGGGGATAGGATATGGTTTGCTATAGGCTAAGGGGTGAAAAGGAGTTAGGATATGGAAGCAATAAAGTGTAAATCTATTCTTTCAAGAAGCTCTATTTCAAGGGATAAAATGGATGACATCTAGAGGGAGAATCATATACAATTAATAAGAATTGCGTGGTTCCTCCACAGAATTGGAGAATAGAATATATTCATGGGTTGGCATAAAAGAGCCAGTTGAGAGGGAATGGCCATAGCTATAGGAGAAAGGGGAGAATATACATAATGAAGCCACCTCTTAGGAGATAGAAGGGAAGATCAGAGTACAGGGAAACAGGTTAGTCTAGAGCAAAAAGGATACCCTTTTGGAGGTGAATGTGAGGTTCTGATACCAACATACTACAATGCAGCTACAAGTAATTGAGGGCATATAAATCTTATAGCCTGGATTTTTCTTAGTGTACTAGAAGGTCAGATTAACCTAAAAGGAAGCTTGAAAGAGGAAGAAGAAAAAAAGGGAAAAAGGGAGCTTGAGAAAATGGTCAAGTTTGACACTTGGAGAGACTTGATATCGTAATGGTGCTCGCCTGAACAGGTGGATGACTTTTCTGCAACCATATTCAGTAAATGTAAGAGTAGAGAAGACAAGTAGGTGGGTTGATCCAAGACTGGGACTTTACAGAGTCACCATCGTGGAGAAGCTAGGTGGCTGGAACGATGAAAGTGCTGGAAGAATGGCTGATGAAATGCCATAGAGTTTGGGCAACATGGTGAGGGAAGTGAAGTTGCTTAATGTCTCCCAGGATATAGTGGGTCTAGGAATAAATCAGATGTTGGGGGAGAAGACCACATTTTGTGCCATGTTTGGGAGGGTGTTGGGAATTTTGTTTACAATGAAAGATGGTTTTGCAGACTCACAGGGGGAAAACTTAGGAAAGATAAAAGGCAATGAAGAGAAAATTCAGGAGAGAGGGAGCACATAGCAGTAAGGAAAGAGAAGAGAGAATCACAAAGGCTGGCATTTTGATTAGTTTTAGGCATGTTAAGATTGCCGGAATGGGAGGCATTAGCGGGGTCATAGAACTTGATGTCCTGGGGGGAATGCAGGCTCAATGCCACATGGTAAAAGGACCCTCATGAGGTTGGTGGGGGCCTTCCGCAAAGTCATAAACAGGATGTGGTGAGGAAACATTCACTGTCCTCCGAAAGCTGGAACTGCTTCAAGCCTCAGTTCCAACTGTGACTCCTCCAGGATGCTCTGTCTCACATGTCCCGGCAGTAAGCAAACATTTGGTTCATAAGGAGGCTGTGCAAAGCAATGTGATGTGGTAATATGCTTGACTGGCAAGTAGTTCCACTTTTGTGTCTCAGTTTCACATTTAAGGAAGTGTTCTGGGCAGGAGACCCCTGAACCAGTCAGCAGGTCCGGCTGGAGTTCCACACAATACCAGGAATGGTGCCCTGTGCAAACCCAGTGCCTCTGTAAGAGTCCAACCCTTTGCCTCTGGGTCAGTCCAACTAAAACGACAATTTTGGCTCAAAACAAAAAAGCATGTTACCACCTAACTTTGCTAGTTGAAATGAAACTAGAAAAACAGCCTCAAAACACAGGTAATTCTTGATTCATCTTTTTGTTTCTCCTGAGGGAATTAGGGTTTCAATAACTATATTATTTCTGTCCTTCTAAATGGGATATAATAAAGTTATATGATTTTTTGATTATTTAAGGTTCTGATGCTGTATGTATCCTTCATTTTGCCACAGTTATCTGAGGTGCTTTGATGAGGTACTATCTGTCAGGGAGTGCTATTTGAATCATCTTTGTTCAGGAATAGGTAAAACTGTAATGACATTATAAAACTTTTTTTTTAAAAAGCCACCAGGCATAAGAAAATGTTAATGCTTTTAATTATATGCTCTTAAAAATATTTTGTATGTAAAAATAAAATTTTGTTTATGTTAGATGTTTTTCTTAAAGTTTTTTTAACAGCTGACAACAGTAAAAAATAATGGGGAAGCAGAAGGGGTATATTTAATATTAATTGTGATACTAAGTATCTAAATGATAGCTCCACCATAAACTTCCTTCCATCTCTTTGACTCTGCCCCATCTGCTCATCACTATATAAGGCTTTCTGCCTTATATTCCACAGGACAGGGAACATATCTGGTGTTTTGTGGTATGCGTTTCCTATACACCACGAAAGACATTGCCCACCCCACAAAAATGTTCATCACACACGCACACACACACACACACACACACACACACACACACACATACACACATATTCAGGAGATTCATGCCTTGTGTCATCATCCTGTCTGCTCAAATCCCATCCTTAGGCTTCCACATTAAGTGCCCCTATTCTATAAGCAGGCATTCACTATAGAACACCAATCAATGCGAGGGACTGCTTTCATTATCTTTGCATCCCTGCAATGCTTAATGCCCAGCCTGGGATGGAGAAGGCATTCAATCATATTTGATGAGCTACACTGCCTGAAAGATGTGTGGCTTTAATTAAGGGTGTGTAGGGAAGAAGGTAGGAGTCTTAGGCAGTGGGTTGGTGGGAGAATGGTGGTTGAGGTGAGAACTGTTTAAGTAAAGGCCGGATGATTATACACAGAAGTTTAGAAGTTGTTTTCTCGAAGATCTCAGTCAACTGGAAAGACTAAAAAAGAAGCTTTTTTGTTGTTGTTGTTGTTGAAGAAAGAAATTCTAAATTTCTGAAGCTCAACCCTGCTTGTGATGTCTCATTTTATGTGAAAATTTGACTGGGCTAAGGGATGTCCAGATAGCTGGTAAAATATTATTTCTCAGTGTGTCTGTGAGGGTGTTCGTGGAAGAGATTAGCATTTGAGTCAGTAGACTAAGTAAAGAAGATCCACCCACCCTCATCAATGTGGTTGTGTACCTTCCAATCCCTTGAAGGTCAAAATTGAGCAAAAAGGTGGAGGAAGCATGAATTTTCACTTTCTCCTCTAGAGTTGAGACATCAATCCCCCTGCCCTCAAACATCAGACTCCAGACTTAAGCCAGTGACCCCTCCACTGCTGGTTCTCAGGCCTTTGGACTTGGACTGAATTATACCACTAGCTTTCCTGGTTCTGCAGCTTGCAGATGGCATATCATAGGACTTCTTGTGTGAGACAATTTTTATAATAAATTTCCTCATCTCTCTCTCTCTCTGTATATATATACTTATATATATATATATCAAGTACATATATCAAGTATATATATATATATACTTGATCTCTATCTATCTATCTATCTATCTATCTATCTATCTATCTATCTATCTATGTATCTATCTATCTATCTATCTCCTATGCTTTTGTTTCTTTGGAGAGCCTTAACTAATACACTGCTGATCATAGGAAAATATTGTATAAGCTCAGAAACCAAAGGCATGTCTAAAGAGTGATGTGAGTGAAAGAAATACTTCAAGGAGTGTTGAGACATAGAGTAAACCACAGAAGTGTCAGGACAATGACTACTGCCTTAAACAGTTTGCATGCGAAGCTGGGTCCCCTCATTGTTCTATAGAGCAAGGCAAGGCTTTCAAGGTAGTGGGTCCAGAATGCAGGTAATGCAGGGATCATTTCTTCCTAGGCAATGGCACCAGGTGACTCACTCCATAGCCCTCTCTGGTATTCCCTGGAGGAACAAAAACATGCTGCATCTGTGTAGAATTTCCATCCACAGTATTTCAGTTGAACCACTGTCAAGGTTAGAGGGAGCGCTGGCCTGCTTTCTCTGTAGCTCGTCTCAATAGGAGCTAGTGTGCTCAACTGGTGCCAAAAAATGAATTCGTGATGTAGATGACTAAAATAAAGCTGCTTGTGAAAAGCTAGTTTATACGCTGAGACAGAAACATAGTCTTAGCTGCAATTGTATTGACAGGGAAAAAATAAACAACAGAATAAATCATCAAATAACACTTGCTCCTTCTTTCTTCTCTACCCAGCTTTCCTTCTCTTTCATGCTCAACCCATGAACTCTTTGTGAGTAGTTTATTTTACCAAAGAAGTTGTTTGATCAACTTGGAGTAGATCAGCTGAAAATAAATGGATTTGATCGGGAGATGAGTGTCAAGAACTCTTTAATTTGAAAAAAGGAGGTTGGGGTGGTATTCACCATGGGGAGGGAGGAAAGACGTCATAATTTTGAGATATTCACTTGGCTTCCATTTCAAATAAAGTTAGTCCGTCATTCTCACACCAGTTGAAGGTTAAAAATCACTCCAGATTTTTTGCTGCTTACCAAATATAGCCTAGATATGTCAGCTGAAGGCAAAATAGGGTCAGATCTTCTTACAGGTTCTTTCCCTCTAGGAGATTATGAAGGAGAAATCTATTTTGTAACTCTCTAAGTAAGGCAAAGGACACATGATACCGATCTACTAAAACAGGCAATTTTAAATCTGAAAGGAAAATAGCTATAAGTTCTCCACCCTAATGTGTGGGATTATTTCATCCTTTGTCATGATACAAATATCTATGATATTAGAGAGGGAAGCTTGGTCTGAGATGTTATTCTCTTATCAAAATATGGCTCATCATCATTGAATCATAAGTTGATAAAATGCGATCTAAATAGTTGTTAGTAATCAGAATTTGGTTTTCCTTTGGCTTAGTTTTTCCTATCTGGTTTTGGTTTTATGGTCACCTTTCCAGCTATGAGCAAATGCTTAAAAAAAAAGATTAAGAAAATAAAAACACTATTGTGAAATATTGTTCAGTCTTCTAAATATACAGATTGTTCAGGAAATTGAGACTGAAGTTTGATATTATGCTAGAGACATATGCATTAAATACCAAAGCAGCACACAGACATAAAATGAACACATTTCATTCCTGAATGCCTGTTAAAGAAAAAAAAAATGATGATTCCCTCCCACACTGATACTCTGCAACAGTATGAGAGAGAAAGATAGAGAGAGAGAGACAGAAACAGAGAGAAGTGAGAAAGAGAAACAGAGAGAGACAGAGAGAGAGAGAGAGAGAGAGAGAGACAGAATGAGAAAGAATACACAAATTTACTGGTTAGAATGGCGAAGAGATTGGAGCCAAGTTCTTGTGGGTAACCATCAATCCCTTTATTTCCAAAGGATCATCATATTCTCCTTCATCAGATCTCATCTACCATGAAACAATAAAAGTAACTGATCTCTGTGTCCACCTTGGTTGCCTCCAACTTGGGACCATGGAGTGTATTCCAGGTCTGTTGGTCATTACATGAAAGTGATAATAGTAATAATGATAGTGAACATGTATTAAGTGCCAGCTGTTGCATTAAGTGCATTGTAGGCATTATCTTTGGTCTGCACAGCAATCCTCTGTGGTAGCCTGTATTATCATTGCTGCTTCATTTAGAGGAAATCAAAGTTGGGGAGCTAAAAGACTTGCTTTAGGTCACAGAGTTAGTAAAAGGGTGGAACAGGATTTGAAACCACGTTTGTATGTCAGCATTTATTCTTTAGCCTCTATCTTTATAGTCTGAGGCAGGCACATACCAGGGAAAAGAAAACTACCTGGAAGGGCTGCAGCATTTCCTCTATGTTCTGATTCCCCCCTCTTGCTGTGCACACCCCATCACTGCACTGTTTATTATGGCCCATTTCCTCATCTGTCTGTCTACTTGTCTCTCCCTTCTACTAGGCTGAGCTCCTTGAAGGTGAATCCAGAACACTGATGTATCCTGACACACAGTAGGCACTTAATACATCATTGTTGGGTGACATATGCTAAAAAAATGACAGACTGGGTATTTATAATAATTAAGACCATAGCCTTGCCCAGCTAATTCTGTATTCATTCTCAGATGTTCAGTAGTTTGCAACTGCATACCGACTTTTAAAATATAGACAGGTGCAGCTGAAAATACAATTTGATGCATAATTGCCACTACTATACTTTGCATTTGTAAATTTAATTATAATTACAGAATTAGCTATTGCATTGTATCGAAAAGGAGTGTTTTAATTTAACATTCTAATAGGAAGCGTATGCATATTTACTAAGTTCATTATAAAACTATCATCAAGTAATTTTTGAATATCTGTGCCACAAACACTATTAGCTCTTTTGATGGAAGATGTTGTAGTGTTATTTTAATAGAGGCTTGTTTTACTCACAGTAACACATTGTACTTAGCCCAGTCCTCAGATGCCCTCTAGTGTTGATGCATAGTAAGTAAGCAATAAAGTAAGTGAAAATAAAATAGATGTATCCGGCAGCGGCCCTTTTGTAATCGATGATCACATCTCTTCTGACTTAGCAGACACATCAAATATAAGGAAAATAGTTTGAATGTTTGCTTTGTCATCCTGAGTTAATATAACCTTTTAGAATGTTTCATAGTATTAAAAATAACAGTAAAATAACACATATGTGAATGCATATAGAATCATTATATTATAGATAACAATGCAACAAACATCTATGTACTAAAGTTCTGGCTTAAGAAATACAAAAGAAAATAGAACAATAGAAGTAGAAAAGAAAAGCACTCAGTTTTTGTTTCACTTACAAGGTCATTAAAAAGATGATGTCATATTACCTGCAAAGAAATAGAATAAGAAAACTCATCCCCACATGAATAAAATCAGTCCTCAGCCTTGTTAACAAATATGTTCTAGCCAGTTTATCAAACCAGTAAATCTTACTAAGAAAAAAGATTAAAGACTTTCATAATTCTTTGTACATAGTGAGCACTCAATAGATATTTATTTTGTACTCGGTAAACAATCTTATGCTAATAAGTCTTGACTGAGACTTTTAAAAGATATCCTGGGGGGAATAAGAGTTTCCATAATGTTGAAAAACTAACATCATCTGTTTGTTTTGAAATTAAATTATTCCAAGGTCATCTGTGGAGGAAATTATTTCATTCACATTCTAAAAACAGAAACAACTATTTTAAAAATTCACTGATTTAAAAGTCTTTCATTCTTGCTATCATGACTGTTTCTCATAACTTCATCAATTTAGACTACTTATATTTCAGAAATATTTTATTATTTTATTGAAAATTGATATTAAAAACCCATTACCCTGAATTTGTATAAGACTATATTTTAATGGCCAACATCTCAAATTCACAGTCAGATGACAGTTTCCTCTTTGTCAATAGAAAATGTAGTTCTGAAATACTCAAAAACACACAGAAACAACTCAACATGCTTTTCCCACAAGATGTCACTGTGGTACCTATGAAATACAGTCATAGATGTATTTATCTTTCCATGACCTTATTTTTTAAGAAATGATCAATTAAAAAAGATTCACATATGGATAGATGATCCTGAAATTAAATACACACAAAATAAGTAAATTTATAGATGTTCAATATCTACTACTTATGCATGACAGCAAACATATTTATTTGGATATATATTGAAATCTTAACTATATGCATCCAAAGGGAATATAAAACTGGCAATCTAAGAATATATGCAAGGTTGTAGTCAAGATTATTCATTCTTAGACAAATACCATAAAATATGACATGTCACTCACAGTGAGACTCACCTCACCAAGTATGTGATACACTTATGGGTGGTTACAGATTGTCTAGATATTTAATATGCATGATTTTTGATTGACTAACAACTGGCAAATTTGCCTGTGCTTGCTTTCTGTTTTAAGTGAGCCTGAAGTTAAGAGCCAAGCAGTCAGATAGACCAGAGTTCAAAATCCAGCTCAGCCACCTGTATAACCTCTGGCAAGTTAATTAAACTCCCTGAGTCTGCTTTCTAATTTATAAAATGGGGATGGTAATATCTATCTCATTGCAGTTGCTGGGAGAGTAAATCGAGACAATGCATGTAAGGCACCCAGCACAGAAGAGATACTCAATAAATAATTGTTGTCATTATTAATTCCAAGAGGGAAGTGTTAATTAGAATCAGATTTTAATGTTTGATCACAGGCCTTAGCATATGAAATGCCTGAGTTTGGTTTACAGATATGGAATTCCTGTGTAATATAATTCAAGCATATACAAACATTTAAACACTTGCAATAACTGATATTATATAATTACCTCTAATCAAGGTTTTTTTCTTTTCTTTTTTCTTTTTTTTTGAGAGAGAGTCTCGCTCTGTCACCCAGGCTGGAGTGCAATGGCACGATCTCAGCTCACTGCAACCTCTGTCTCCCAGGCTCAAGCAATTCTCCTGCCTCAGCCTCCCGAGTAGCTGGGATTACAGACGTGTGCCACCATACTTGGCTAATTTTTGTATTTTTAGTAGAGACGGGGTTTCACCATGGTGGCCAGGCTGGTCTCAAACTCCTGACCTCAGGTGATTTGCCTGCCTTGGCCTTCCAAAGTGTTGGGATTACAGGCATGAGCCACCATGCCCAGCTTTTTTTTTTCTTTTCTTTTCTTTTTTGTAAAATCAATTATTTGTTTGAAGAGTAAACACAAGTCTGGCCTTGCTTTTTGGAATGATTCTCTTCTGCTGGTTACCGTAAGTGAAATTTGACTTAAGTTTGGCAGCTGCGCATAGTTAAATATCATTTGGCCAATTGTTGGCCAAACTGGGGGATTTCCTCTCATCCTCTTGTGTTAATCCCTTCATGTTGTATTGTATTGTTCTCCTATTTTTAAGCCTTCAGTAGCTCCCCAAGGCTCTGAGGATAAAGTACAAATATGGCAGACATCTGCAGCTTGCCCAGTCAGTGTAATCAGCCTCAGATGTTACAGCCGGAATGTTCTTGCTACCAGCTCATGAGCTACTCTTAAAAAATGAGGAGTCTGAGAGCCAGGAGCCTATAATAACTTGCCCAAAGTCGTGCTGCTCCTAAATGACAGTGCTAAGACTAGAATCCAAGTGTTCTCACTCACTGGCTCTAGTCCTAAATGAGGAGGACACCTTAATCCCAGAAGAAAGGGTTGTTTTCTTCAACTCAACTGCTGTTAAAGACCTAAACCAGATTGGGCCAATGAGGAACTGCAGAGTAGTACTTGCTCATCCTAAGCAGTTGGCTTATGCCAAACAGTAAGATGTTTCAAAGGTCATAAGAAATCCTTTTTGTTTGATATGTCCCATCTATTAAAATTAAAATTTTATTTTTTTCTCACAAGTTTTGAATGGGACAACTAAGTAAAATAAAATAGTATAACATTGCTAATCATTTCTACAGCGTGAGTTGGTTTGTGGACCACTCTGAGGTCTACAGTCCTTTCATGCTGATGGGGACTCTGTGCTACACTAGAAGCAGCAGAGACGTGTTGCGGTAGACCTTTGCTTCTCAAAAGTGTGATCTGCAGGCCAACAGCATTCGTTTCACCTGCCAGCTCATTTGAAATGCAGAATCCCAGGCTTCACCCAGACTTCTTCTTTTTTTTTTTTTTCTTTTTGAGGTGGAGTCTTTCTCTGTCGCCCAGGCTGGGGTGCAGTGGCGCCATCTCAGTTCACTGCAATCTACGCCTCCCAGGTTCGAGTGATTCTCCTGCCTCAGCCTCCCGAGCAGCTGAGATTACAGCCATGTGCCACCACACCTGGCTGATTTTTGTATTTTTAGTAGAGACGGGGTTTCACTACATTAGCCAGGTTGGTCTCGAACTCCTGACCTCAGGTAATCAACCCGCATCAGACTCTCAAAGTGCTCGGATTACAGGCGTGAGCCACCGTGCCTGGCCCTCACCCAGACTTCTTAAATTAGAAGCTGCATTTTAACAAGATTCCCAAGGGATTTGTGTGAACACTAAAGTTTAAGGAGCACCGTCTTAGGCACTACATGAAAGAGCCCCATGAAAGCAGAATGCTGTTTGGATCCTGTCTTGATGCTCTGGCGGATTTTGCCCCAGGAAGCATGCAAACTCCTTGGCACAGCTATTTACATTAATTTGGGACTCTAGAAATGATAGTTTTCTGTTCCTTTCTTGGAAAATTATTGATTATAGCTTGTTTAACAAGGCAATAGTTAAAAAATAGCTGGACAAAAATATTTCATTGCATTTTTAAAAATGATAAAAGAAACTTACATCCATTGAGGACAATTTAGCTGGTACATGTAGAAAGAAGAAAAACCATTTGTCAATACAGACTGACAGCCACTATTCTTACATCTTTGTGTATTACCTTTCTGTTACACATGCACACACACATGCATTTACTTAATATTTTCTTTTCTTTTTCCTTTCTTTTTTTAAGACACGGTCTCACTCTGTCGCCCATGTTGGAGTGCAGTGATACAATCACGGCTCACTGTAGCAGCTTCGACCTCCTGGGCTCAGGGGATCCTCCCACCTTAGCTTCCCTGGTAGCTGGGACTACAGGTGTTCACCACCACACCCAGCTAATTATTTTGTATTTTTTATAGAGACAAGGTTTCGCCATGTTGCTCAGGCCGGACTTGAACACCTGGGCTCAAGTTCTCGGCTTGCTTTAGTCTCTCAAAGTGCTAAGATTATAGGTGTCAGCCACTGTGCCCGGCCTTATTTAATATTAATATCAATAAGTAATACATTCACATGGTTCAAAAAAAATAACAAGGTATAAAGTTTTTTTGTAAATTTCTGTACCCCACTGCTCAGTTTTACCTTCAACTCCAATAGACAACTACTTATTTTTTGTGTATCATTCTGAAGATATTTTTATGCATAATGAAGTACGAATATTTATACTTTCCCCATTTTAACACAAGTGCTAGCTTTATTCTAAACAGTTTCTCACCACACATATATCTTTTTACAACTATTAAAAGGTCTACAACTATATGTTATGTAAATTGCTTTTTCACTTTTTATTTTACCATAAGCATTTCTCATGTTTTTACAGAGTTTTCATAAATGTCATTTGAAATGACCAGATAGCATTATATTGTGCATATTTACAATAATGTACTTAAACAGTAGAAGTTGCTTTTGTACTCTGTAACTCTTTCACTCATCTCCTTACACTGCTGGACTGGAGGTATGACCTTTTAATAGTTGTAAAAAGATATATGTGTGGTGAGAAACTCTATAGAAACTGCAGTGTAAGGAGATGAGAAAGGATTAGGTTCAGTTAGAGTTGCAGAACTACATAGAGAAGAACATGATTCTGGAAGAGCTGGAGAATGCCCATTCTTGAGGAGCGGTGGGTGAGGATAGCAAGAGTCAATGATTTTCCTCTCACCGTCTTCCAATCCAGTCCAATACTAAATTCAGTGATGGAAAGCCAATTAAGAGGGGGTTAAAGGGAAATTGAAGCTCAGATTATAATGTGATAGATTCTAACTGGAAGAGAGCCTCAGAAAGGACCTCAGAAAGGGGATGGGAGGGGTATATATGTATATCTATCAAATATCAAGCTAAAATAAAAAAACTTGGAGGGTGCAGTTACAAAGAAATATAATTGCGCTCTCTCACTCTCTCGAATGGTCCATAGCAAATCTGCAACTCTGACCCATTGTAAGTGGGAGTTGACTTACTCTGAAAATATTTCCAGAGGCTCTACTGCTGTAGGTAATCCAATCAGTATCTCACTCTTTAGATTTCTCTGTTATTAGTAAGATACCAACATGCAATGGCCACCAAACTCAAGAAGACAACGTAGTTAGCCCAGAAGCCATTCTTTACAGGGCTTCAGGGAAAAAAGGAGCATCTTATCCCCACCATGGGTAGATGAAAGTTTTCTCAAAATCTTTTCTCACCCCTTACTCCAACTCTTGGCCACTCCCAACTCCTTTATAGACTGGAGGTATATGGTTAGCTACAGGATATAAAACTAATTCTTGGCCACTTGTTTTACAGTTCACAGTTTGATGGTCTTGCACCAATACTTTCATATGCAGATGTGATCAAAATAAAGTTAAATTCAGTCATTTTTGATAATTGCCAGGTACATGCATGTATAACTAGTACACATTCAAATTTGTAGCAGTTTTAATATAGTTGCTTTTTAGAACCTCAAATACTGAGAAACTTATATGATATGTTATTCTAGGAACAGTACTAGCCTGGAAGGGTCTTGAATTTACTTGAATTTTATTTTTATGGCAAAGGATTTGCATGTTCTTGGAGATTTAAAATTTCAGCTTGGAGGTGTATTTTTTTTCCCCCCAGAGAAAACCATCCATATTGTTTTCTAGAGAAATAAGGAAATGAAATGCCACCAGTGAGAAAACCATTTAGGTTGGAGATTTTGTATGTATGTGTACATTGTCGTCTATGAGATAATTCTATGTGGAAAATGTCATTTTGGAATTACCTTTTTATGTTATGAAAGAGTGAGAAGGAGAAAGATAAATAATTGACCATTGCCATTTTCAGTTTCTACTGCTTTTTCTTGCAAGCAGATACAATGCATAAATACTAAATGTTTATACTAAAGCTGCTTCTTGGCAGATGTGGATTATATTCTAATGGGGTACATTCAAAGAACATCACCCAAATCACTCATTTATTCTGCATGTCCTAAGCATGTCTCGGTGCAGCTCCACTGCACTGTCATGTGCAGGTTTACACAGCTCTCTGTAATTGCTAGTTTGCTCTTTTAGCCCGGGATGAACTACACATTGAGCAAATCTCCTATACAATTCAGCTTGAATGAATTTATAAATGAAGCTTGGAGTATTTGTTGTCTAATATAAAATAACCCTTTGGTTTACAAACGGTTATCATGAATGTCCTTTACTATTAAATCGTCCTTTATGTAGTTTTAAAAATTAAATGCACACAAGATTGGTCCAAACACACGTTTTCAGTAGTGGGTTTTCCTCAGAGCATGCCAGTGGTGGATACAGAGTTAAGTTACCTCAAGTAACTTACAGGAAGTGGAGGAGTCCAGAAGTGGGGAACATTAGCAGTCCTATTCCTGAACAAATGTGAGTCTAGACTTGTCTTTGAGGATTTGCAGAAGTAGACAGGAGGAGCTTTTGGGGTCCCACAGGAGCAGATAAGAGACATGAATAGACAATGTTTGAATTAGTTCAGCCCTTGTGAAAAGCAGTTTGGAGATTTCTCAGAGAACTAAAAGTAGAACTAGCATTTGACCCAGTAATCCTATTACTAGGTATATATCCAATGGAAAATAAATTGTTCTACCAAAAAGACACTTGAACTCACATGTTTATTGCAGCTCTAGTCACAATAGCAAAGACAGGGCATCAACCCAGGTGTCCATCAACCCCAGGTGGATTGGATAAAGAAAATATGACATGTATACACCATGGAATGCTACATAGCCATAAAACAGGATGAAATCGTGTCCTTTGCAGCAACATGCATGCAGATGAAGGCCATTACCCTAAGTAAATTAATGCAGAAACAGAAAACCAAACACTGCATATTCTTACTAATAAGTGGGAGTTGAACACTGCGTCACACAGATACAAAAATGGGAACAATAAACTCTGGGGATTCCAAAAAGGGGAGGGAGGCAAGGGGGCAAGGGTTGAAAAACTACCTATTGGGTACTATGTTTAATATTTGGGTAACAGGATTATTACATGCTTAAACTTCAGCATCAGATAATATACCCATCTAACAAACCTGCACGTGTACTTCCTGAATCTGAAATAAAATGAAAATAAAGTCAGAAATAAAAAAATAAAATATCTGAACAAGTAAAAAAATTAAAACAAAAATATTTGCTACTTAATGTTATTATTCTCTCACTTTTCCACATGTGTGAGTGAGGAGGAGGAGGAACTGGGGATATTTAGGACATGTGTCTTAAAGATTTTCTTTCCCTTTCATTCTTATTTCTCCACCAGAATAAGTTGCTCTTTAAAACATGTCCAGATCTTGCAGCTTGGTTAGGCTCTATAGAAAAGAGTTATAGAGAAAAAATGCCATCACATAAAGCACATGGAGAAGAACAAGCCATGTCTTGATCTTGTATGAAAAGTGAGGGAAAGAATTAATGCTCCTTTAGGCTTCTTAAAGGCAGTGACAATATCCTATTTGAATTTTTATCCTCACAGGTGGCCCTTCAGTAAATGTTGCTTAATAAAGAATGACTAGAATAAAAGGGCACACAGCAGACAGTCTGTTACTATTCTAGGTCTCTGATGTATAGCATCGGTTTCTCAGACTATGATATCCTGTAGGGCCGAGAGCACCTTCATTCCTTTCTAGCCCATATTTCTCCTCCCTGCCTCTGGTGCCTCCTTCCTACCCTCAGGTACCTAGGAAGGATTGTATGCCCACTCAGAGGTTGATAAATGATTGTCTAGGATGATCAGTTTAGAGTTACTTATTTATAACTATTATAAATGTTGTTGGTACCATTTTACTTTTGAATGTTAAAAATTGCATAAGACTTGTATGTTCAATTTAGCAGTGTAGAAAATAGATAAAAAGAAAATCATTCACTGTGGCACTAATTAGAGATAGCAAGGTAGATATCTCTACAAAAATGGGATCACACTGTACATACATATTGTTTTGTGTCCTGTTTTCTCTCTTTGTGACAAACTACAAACATCTTTCTTTGTGGTGTGATTTTAGTAGTGGTCTATTAATGTAATGTCTTTCTCATACGCTCCACTCTAACCAAGATTAATCAGCTACACATTTAATTAAAAAAAATAAAATGGATGCTTCTAATGAATCACTACCATTTATTATGCCTCCAGGATTCATCAAACAGTGTCAGTTCTGCACGTGATATAGGAAAGGAATGGGTTCACCTCAAGAGGGAAATTAAGTTTTAAAATCCAGCTAAAAGTAAGTGAAAAAGTAGCAAAACCTCGAGGGAAAGCTGAGCATTAGCAGTAAGAAAGTGACACATGGAGAAAGAGGGCAGGTACAGCTCTCATTCTACCCTGCCCCTGAGAACCTGGGGAAGGTGCAGAGAGGCCCTAGTTTTGTTCCCTTCCTGTGTAGAGAAGGATCAGGAGCAGGAAAGAAGCAGCTCCTCCCAAAACTCATTCAGGGAGATTATTTGGGTTTCAAGAAATTAGTGGCTATTGCCCTCACGGCACTCAAAATCAGAACCAGTCTGATATAAGTTTATTCACCCAGAGAAGGTGGTGCCCTGCAGAGAGCTGGCTTTTCAGGGCATCGTAGAGCTGAAGCAGAGAGGCTCCTCAGGGACAGCCTGCTATGGACTTTGTTTTTTCCCTCCAATCCCCATGATGATGTGGCTTCATTGGTGGGATTTTGATTTAATAAAGAGAGAGGCTTTTTTTTTTTTTTTTTTTTTTTGAGACGGACTCTCCCTCTGTCGCCCAGGCTGGAGTGCAGTGGCGCAATCTCGGCTCACTGCAAGCTCCACTTCCTGGGTTCACGCCGTTCTCCTGCCTCAGCCTCCCGAGTAGCTGGGACTACAGGCGCCTGCCACTACGCCTGGCTAATTTTTTGTACTTTTAATAGAGACGGGGTTTCACCTCGTTAGCCAGTATGGTCTCGATCTCCTGACCTCGTGATTTGCCCGCCTCGGCCTCCCAAAGTGCTGGGATTACAGGCGAGAGGCATTTTTAAGTGTGTATTTTGGTATATTTGCAACTACCGTCACTATCTAATTTCAGAACATTTTCATCACCCCCAAAAGAAGCCCTGCACCTAGTAGCAGTCACTCCTTATTCCTCTCTCTCTGCAACACTGGCAACAACTAATCTATAGATTTGTCTATTCTGGGTATTTCATATAAGTGGCATCATATAACATGTGGCCTTCCGTGAGAGGCATCGTTCACTCGGCATAATGTTTTTAAGGGTCTTCCATGTTATAGCATGTAACAGTACTTCATTCCTTTTTATGGCTGAACAATGTGTGGATATATCCCATTTTGTTTATTCATCAGTTGATGGGCATTTGAGTTGATTCTACCTGCTGGCTATTACGGATGATGCTACTTTGCACATTCGTGTACACATTTCCATATGAATATATATTTTCAATTCTCTTGGAGAATCTGATGTGTTTGAATATTTCTTTAAACAAAAATGCATGAATTTGGGAGCTTCATATTTTCTGCTCAGTTTTTCTGTGAACCTAAGACTACTCTAAAAGTCAAACCTATTAATTAATTATTTTAAGTGCACAGATTATTAGCTTTTAGTGAGATGGTGATTTAAGCATGCTTGTGAAAGGACAATAGCACACCAATAATTTGGCTTTCTCAATGCCAGTCAGAGTGACCAGCAGCCCCATAGTGAAGGCAGGCATGAAAAAAAAAAGCCGGGACAGGAAATAGTGCATTTCCTTTTGGTCTATGTGGCACCTGGCCTCCATTAAGTTCTTATCCTTGGCTAAATAAAATGGAGCATTCAGTGAGCATAGGAAGGGGTATGATCTCTTGCCCCATATGGTAACCTGGAATGCTGCAGGTAACATTCTTTCCTTTAAAATAATATAAATGATAAAATAATACAGGTTGATTTGATGAAATTAGGAAACATAGATGAGCATAAAGGAGAAATTAAATTATTTTCATGTAAATTACAGATAACATTGTTAATTTTTTTCAAAACATAAAATCAGACAGTATAGTTTGTGTTCTGTTTTTTCTCTCACTAATGAACTGTGAATATATTTCAGAGGCATCTATTTAGAAATATCTATTAATGAGATATTGTTCCTTTTTTATGTTCTGCTGTAACCAAGTTTAATCATATTAAGATTTTTTTTTTCTTAAAAAAGTATGAAGAGCAATTTGCTTTCTGGTCCAAAGTAGGCACTTCCATTTATCTTATCCTAGGCTCAAACAGTGCTAACCATACGTGAAGCACAGAGAATTGGACTTAACCGAGAGGGACACGCTGACACTTAAAAATAATGGTAGGCCTGCCTGGAAGTGGTAGGGAAAACTCATGAAGAAATGGAAAACCTGGAAGGGAGAGTTTGGTTTTGTTACAGAATGAAGAGATAGAAAAAGGGTGTCTAGGGTTTTACTGTGGTGAGAGGTTACTGGAAGCCTGGACATTTTGAAAGATGAAAAAAGGAAAGTCCAGAGGAGGGGCTTATGGTAAGGGATTCCGAGGTCCCACTGCGGAGAACACCAGGCACCCAGGCTGTGCCAGTGACCAGAGGTTCATGGACGCCTGCTGGCATCAACAGAGAATTTATTTGTGATCACAATTATTACCAGATTTGATGTGCTGTTTCAGAGGTAATATTTTACCATCAAAATTTGAAAATTATCCATAGCATATGTTGATTTGAGAGTAATTAATAAAGATAGATAATCAAAATGATAATAAATACCATTTATTTTGTATCTTAAGGAAGTGTAAAGATATCTCTTTTTATAAAAATGAGATGATAAATTCTTACATTGGTGTACTGGCTTTTCTCCTACAAATAATCTATAAATGTCTTTTTGGTAGCATGGATTTTGGGATGTGGACTACCAATTTGGTAATATCTCTGTTTACTTTCAATTCCAACCATAGGTAATCAAATCAGGATGTTGTCTGGATAGGCTAAGGAGACACACTTCCTCTTCATGCCTCTGGTAACTCACTACCACTCAATGTGCCCTCAGGATCCAGTAAAGCATTGGTTCTCCGTAGTCAGAGAAAGAATGGAACCACCTAAAGGAGCATGCAGAAACTAGGAAAAAACAGCTGTAAATGTAGGGAACTGTAGAAGAATATTCTAGAATTGGAATGCTGAAAGGGAGGTGGGAATTAGAACTTGCTGTGCTAGGAAGGAGAAATAACAAGGAAAGAGGGGCTTTCTGTTCAATAGTAACAGCTACGGAAGCCCAGGAATTTAAAAAAATAAGGCAAAGCACAATATTTCAGATGAGTACATGGGAAAAGATCATTGTATCATTTTTTTCTTCCTGTCCCTGCAGCACCCAGTGTAGGAAGCACTGCTCATTTCCTGAGGTAGGGGTACATTCCAAGCACCATGAAGATAGCCTTATATTTAATGAGTTTATTTATAAATAACGAGTGTCAGTTAATAGCAGAGTTTATATCAAATTCACTTTCAAAGGTATGATTTTGTCTTAGGCTACTCTTACTTTCTTTTACCTTTCTTCCCCGAGCAGGTCACAATACCTGGGATGATCAGCCTCTGATCTCCCTTCTTGCTGTGGTTTGGGTATGGTTTGTTTGTCCCCACTAAATCTCATGTTGAAATTTGACCTCCAGTGAAGTGTGGGGCCTAGTGGAGGGTGTTTGGGTCATGAGAGTGGACATCTCATGAGTGAGTTGGTGCCCTTCTTGGTAGTGAGTTCTCAATCCTGCAAGACTGGATTGGTACTCAGGAACATGGGTTTGTTCCTGAGAGACTGGTTTGTTACAAAGCCTGGACACCTCTTGGGTTTGTGCTCTCTTCACGTGTGCTGCTTCCCCTTTGACCCTCTCTGCTGTTAGATACAGCACAAATGACCTCACCAGAAGCTGCACAGATGCTGGTGCCACGCTTCTTGTACAGCCTGAAGAACTTTGAGCCAAATAAACCTCTTTTCTTTAGAAATTACCCAGCCTCATGTATTCCTGTACAGCAACACAAAACAGACTAAAATGCTTCCTTCCTCCTCCCCCGAAGACCTCCATGTGACAGGTGTCCTACCTTATACCCTGAAGGAAGGAATGCCTCAGGGATGCCAAGAAGAATCTGAATAAACAGGCCTTGCTAAATTTATTTTATCCCAGTTTATTGCCATTAGATTATATAATTTACCCCAGTTTATTGCCATTAGATTATACCATAGTTTACTGCCATATAGATTATTTATTTTAGCCCAACTTATTGCCATTAGATATAAAACTTATCCCGCTTTATTGCCATTAGATTATACCCTTTTGTCCTTTAATCACACTCCTGCGTGACTGTCCATAAAAACACACAGATTTCCCCATTTCTTTGGGCCGTCATTTCTGACATCTGTCACATAAAAATTAGATTAAACAAATTTGCATGCTTTTCTCTTGTTAATCTATCTTTTGTTATAGGAGTCTTAGACGTGAACCTTGTAATGAATAAGAAAAAGACATTACTTTTTCTCCTCTGCAATCATAAAAGCATAGGTATTTGTTTTCACATATGAGGAGAAGCTGTAAGCACGCTGTTGGTGACATCAGTCTGGAGGAGTGCTGTTCCCGTGGCAGTGTTTCTTTAACCACTAGTAATTAGCTCAAGGCATTTTTCATGAATTGGTCAGGAAGCCATACTTTTGCTTCTCAACTGCAGACAATCAGTACCATTCCACCTATCCTCAGGCGAAAGCAGAGCACTGTCAGCTCTGTATGTGGTGAGGAAAGGACTGTTCTGTCTTCAAGGGGCATGCTGAATTTTAAAACCCAGCTGGAGTGTCCTAAAAAAGTGGAAGAACACTAAAGGGAACGGAACACTAGAAAGAAGAGTCAGGTCAGGAAACAGGATAGATAAAGAAAATCCTGGGCTTCCACTGTGGATAGCGAAGGTTACCCACAATCTAAAGCCCTCCAAAAGCTAAGGCAAGAGCCGGTTTTACGGAGGGGCACATGCCACAGTTATTAGGCCCCATCCTTGTCTAGTACAGTATTACTTGTCTAGTATAGTAGAGTAGTGCCTACTCTGAGAGTAATGGAACGCATAGATTGAGCAGGATAATGGTAAGTTTAACAATATTATATGTATTTATAAATGGCCACAATGAACTCTAGTGGGCGGCTGGATCTCAGTTTCAGTGCTACCGTGGGAAAAGGATTTCTGAACCATATCCTACAACCAACATAATTATGAGAGTCAAACCAAGTATGGCAGTGGTGCAGCAAACATTTACCTTTTAAATTTTTTTTCCCCAGCTCTGTCAGGATTCTCTCTGGCCAGTGAGTGTTGCAGGCAGCTGCATACCCTGTAGGGGAGTCAGGGGTGAGGAAAAAGCCAGGCCGAGGTGGGCTGCATTTGCTCCAGCTCTGTGCAGCTACCTCACTTCCACCGTTTCTGAAATCTTGGCCGGCCAATTGGGAAGATGCAGCGGGGTGTTCATGTGTATGTAGTCTCTTCCTGACAATATGTAACCCACCTGCAGTTATAATTTTACCTTTTTAATGTTTAAAATAAGTCACACAGGTTTATTTAAGGGGAAAAAACAACAACTAGGGAACACTGATGAGCAAAAAGAAAAATTTATTTGTGGTGATCCAAGTTAAAGATAGTAATATAGGCATATTTTTACAAATGGAATCTTCTTATATATATGTTTATATTCTGCTTTTTCTGGTAGTATGGATTGAGACTCTCTTATGTCTCACATTATATTTGAATTACACTGAAAACATGGTGTTGTTTCTTCTTTATGCTGTTCTGTAACCAATATTACCCACTGCAAAATTTTATTTTCCTGTGGAGGCAGTCATAATTCCCTTTCCTGTCCCATGAAAGGCAATAACACCCACAGTCTTCAAGATCCAACAAAATGATGTTAGACAAAGAATGAGATCTTCTAGAACTGAGTTCCAGAGGGAACTGCATGAAAAGGGTAGCAGAATCACAGAAGGAAATAGAGAGCTGGAAGAGCCAGTTCTTCTTGCAACAGTTTAGAGAGGCAGAGAGAAAAGACTGGACCTTCTCTGGGGTATTGAAGTTTATTCAAATCCCACACAATGCAAAAACTGCGGAGAGCCAACACATTGCAGAGGAATGTGTTGGGCCACCAGCCAGAAGTTAATAAACACTAATGGATGGTTCTGATGAATGATGTGTTCACAGAGGTCATTTATTTATAACTCCACAACAGAGAGATATTTTACTTTCAAACTTCAAAAATCACACGAGTAATACATGTTAATTTGAGAATAGACAAATACAATGAAGAAAATCATTATTCTAATATGTGATCCATTATGATAATACTATACCTTATTTCTTTTTCAAAACTGGGATTATATTGTACATTGTATCTATAGTCTGTTTTCTCTATCTTTGTATCTATTTATTTTTCAGTTGCATTATAACTCATTTTTCTATTTGCTCTGAAAAGATGATCATTGAAATTCCATAAACTCCAGGTGCTTCAATATCCCCAGCTGCCTTCGTTCCTTAACTTACAGAGTCTTGACTGCTTAATCATTCCCTCAATTCTATGAGATACCCCAAACTTTTAAATATAATCTTCCTTCTATTTAAAGTCTGCAGAGTCACTTTGTGGTGTTTGATACCAAATTTTAAGCAACATATACAAGAATTACGGGAAAGATGAAGAAAAACAGGAAGGCACTCAGGCCTAGTGAAAACTGTTGCTCTTCATGGGGCAAGTTGAAGTCAAAAAGCAAATAAACCTTCATCTGAAACTGCATAAAAAGGAAAGATAAACTTACAGAAAAACAGAACACCATTAAAAGGAGAAGCAGATCTGCCTGCAGTTGGAAAAGAAATTAGAAAATGGAGAGTCAGCAATTTCATTAACTTAGTGAATTAACTTAGAGCTTAAAAACTTCAGAGCTTAAAAGTTTTTTTTAAAAAGGCAAGATTTTGAGAGGAGTATAAAGTCTAGGACTCACTAAGGATATTAGTGTGGGAAGAACCAAACAACAGTAACCTTAGATCAGAAAATCTCTGAATATTTTCCAGCTGGAAAAACTTCCCTTGCAAGAGAACATTTACTGGATAAAATACCAGGGAAGAGGCAGAGCATTGGTCAATGTAGCAACAGAGATAAGAATAAGAATCATTTCCCCAAGAAGATTTCAAAAAAATATACTGTATTTTGCAGATATTCTAAATTAAGCATAAAGAGAGCAGGAGGCTCTATTTCCCTTAAAATAAAGTACAAGTTTTTATTAAAGTATAAAAGTTCACTAAAAAATTAACTTAAAATTGCCACTTCAGAAGGAAGATCTTGTAAACTTATTAGCCCTTTTTACATGACTTGTCATATTTCTCATTTAGTTTTATTAAAGGGACGGGGAGACCACTTTGAATTAAACTAATATGTATATGCAGATAAAATTGGATGCAGTCTCTAGGGTGATTCCATCTTCTCCTAAGAAAAAAAATTTGTAGGGGAAAAGACCATATTTGGATCTTTTACACTGTGTGTGCCAGGCTGGGAACCTAAATTTGTCCCTTGTCTCTTATACTGCCCTCAGATTAGGTTTTGTATGTCTGCCTGTGGTTGGCCTGTGTCCCATTCTATCAAGTTTCATGCTTGCTACTGTATTTACTGCCAATCAATGTTCAGAGTGTACTAGGGCGCTAATGGATCTTGATCAGCGATCTCAATTTCTCAACCTTCTCAGCCATTATATGCTGTACTTTTAGAAACAGGTATTTATATTTCCAAGCTGGCATACAGGAAGGCACATTCATTGATAATAAGGAGTCAAGGAGAAGTTAAAATAGACTTCTGACTGTCTTTTGCTTTTCAGAAGCAATTACTATCATTGGACTCAATTCTGCCAGTAGACAGAGTTAAGTTAGTTTTAGAATAGAAGTTGAGTAGGCAGTTAAATGCCTGGACTTTGCCTTTACTTTTTTTTCCCCCTCTAAGATACAGCAGGGACAAAAATGAGAGTAATCAGTCTACTGGATTCCTTTGAACACATTAACTTTCAGATGGGAGGAAGAGAGGTGAACGGTCACTGGAGCCTCTTTGAAGCTTCATGCTAGAGCAAAGATAGGAGGTGGAAAAAGAAGTGGGAAAAGGGGAAAGATAAGGTTGAAGAAAAGGTGATTGATTTTATTTTTTCCAGGCACGGTTCCCCAGTTATACATGAGGAAAAGAAAAAAAAATACTTTAATTTCCTTGAGCAGAATCCCCCAATGATATGGAAGGATTCTTAATGAGCTTAAGTTAATTAAAGCCACACCAGAAATTGACTATGCTTTCTAAATATTCTTTGATATGATATTGTGGATTTTCTTTTACTTTATAGTGTATGTTTCACTGAAAAGTTCCAACCTTGTTTCCGCCAAGGTAAAAGGAAAAGATGATTTTCTATTCATTCAAGTGTCATGATTTTAAGCTGTTCATGACAAACCTGCCAACAGATCCAAGGTGCTCAGTTAAGAATTCCAGGTTAGGTAAAAAACTTGGAGACAGTTAAATACAAGAACAGATTTTGAGGCAAGAAGCAAGATAGAAATGGAATGAAAAGACCATTTTTTCCTGAGAATAGGATTGGGATGCCCAGAACTCCTTTATATCAGGTGCTAGTGTCCAACTGTCTGTGTTCCATTGTAAACAAAGTTACTTTTGGAGTAAATTTATAGCCTTGCCTGAGGTTACTTCTGTGGGTCATCTCTGGGATGAGGTGGCATGATATTCTGTTTATGCTCACTTTTTTTCTTTGCTTCTTAGCTTTTATAAAAGGAGGCCAACTCTACCCCCAGCATGGTCAATTATTAGTATACTTTGCTCCATACTTAATTGGCCCCAAAAACTAAGGACTTCAAGTGCTGGTCAAGGAATATAACTTTAAATACATAGTTGCCAGATAGCTACTAGGCAACTACCCCAAGAGAGTATTTCTCTAGAGAAATGAAACTTTGATATACTATTTACTATTGATTAGGGCTTGAATTCTGCATAGTAAGCAGACTGATAAATTATAAATGATTTTTATCAATAGAGATGTAAATTTATTCTCTCAGTAGAAAAACCTAAACCCCAAGCTTGTGGTTTTATTGCCCTATAGGTCATAAACCAGTTTTTATAATAAAAGCCAAATTTATCAAACCTGTTTCATCACTACCTTCCTTTTTTTTTTTTTTTTTTTTTTTGAGACAGAGTCTCGTTCCATTGCCCAGGCTGGAGTGCAGTGGTGCGATCTCAGCTCACTGCAGCCTCTGCCTCTTGGGCTCAATGAATTCTCCTGCCTCAGCCTCCCAAGTAGTTGAGACTACAGGTATGCACCATGTCCGGCTAATTGTTTTTTTTTTTTTTTTTTTTTTTTTTTTGGGAATTTTAGGAAAGGGGGGGTTTGCCATATTGGCCAGGCTGCTCTCAAACTCCTGACCTCAAGTGATCTGCCCACCTCGGCCTACCAAAGTGCTGGGATTACAGGTGTGAGCCACCGCACCCAGCCCATCATTGCCTTCCTGAATGCCTATATAAACCTCTGTTCTGCAAATGCTCTTTGAACCAGCTTTACTATCCTGCTGGTCCTGTCTCTGATGCATTAAACAAATCTTTGACACATTTACCAAATATTTGAATGAGAGTTAACATTTTGAAAGGTGTACTTTGACAACGTCTTTCCCTACCTGCTCTGTGAAGGCTCATCTTACACTGTTTAAGGGTTTTCTTTGTGTCTCTTCTAAAGCTCTCTGTTCTTGGATCTCTATAAACCATATTCTTGCTTCTGAGGAATTTTATGAAAGGCAGGATGGTGTCACGGGAGATAATCAAATTTTAGAGTCAGACAGATACGAACTGATGTTGTGGTTTCCTGATCCATTAGATTTTCAATCCTGAACAGATCACTTCTCTGGCCATATTTTTCTCTAAGATAGAATTAATCACATCTACTTGGCAAAGGAATTGCTCAGGTGACTCATTTGTGAAGTGAGGAAGTCAAATTGGTTAACCTCCAAGGTCCTCTTCAGTTCTAAGATTCTGATTCCAACATTTAAGAACTTCTTATTCCCAGTTAACTTTTAAGAGTCAAAAATTTAAATGTGCAAAGTTCATTTATCTTGGTTCGATACTTGGTTATAGAGCAGCCACGGCAGATAGGGCAGGGAAAACTCGAATACCCTCCACAGATCAGGCTCATAAATTCCCAGGATGCCTGGTCACCTTAGGAGCTCCAGATCACTTTCGGTTCCACTCATAAAAGCACCAGTTGCTTTGTTATAGTTTAAATCTAAGTATCTAACAAGTCAGCAGTTTGTCACCCAACATTAAAATGAAGATAACTTATAAGTAAAATTAATTTTTACAACTTGTGCCAAAGTCCACGTGGCAGGGGCGGTGGTTGGGAACAAACAAACCAACCAACCCAGATGAGGCTAGTTTATTCCTGGGGCCATGATATCATCTTCAAATATACCTTGGCAGATGGTAATGTTTTAGAAAACTACACAAAAATGAGATTCTAATAAGAAATTTTCTCTATTCCTTTGGATTCATAAAAATAATTTAAGATTCTCATATATAAAATCCTAAAAATAAGAAATATTTCATCATGTTTGTGGGCTTAAAGTCTGTCCCTATTTTAATTTTTACATTAACACCAAAATATATTTTAATAATGCTATTTGATATTGGCATGGTGTTATTCCAATAATATTTCTCACTTTGGTTAACCTGTTTCCATTTATTAAGTAGTTTTAAACATATACAGTAAAGTAGAATAATAATTGTAATAACCTAAATATTTTCAAAGACTTAGTTATGTTTTTACAGTAGCTGGCCGGGTGCAGTGGCTCATGGATGTAATCCCAGCACTTTGGGAGGCTGAGGTGGGCAGATATCTTCAGGCCAGGAGATCTAGATCAGCCTGGCCAACATGTTGAAACCCCTTTCCTACTAAAAATACAAAAATTAGCTAGGCATGTTGGTGTACGCTTGTAATCCCAGCTACTTGGGAGGCTGAGACATGAGAATCACTTGAACCTGGGAGGTGACAGTTATAGTGAGCTGAGATTGTACCACTGCACTCCAGCCTGGGTGACAGAGTGAGGCTCTGTCTCAAAAAAACCCAATAGCTAATAATTTCCTGCATGTAAGTCATATGTGAATGATGCATCTATTTTCATGTTTTAATAGTTTGCTTGAACTAAACAGATGTGAGAATCATCTTATGTAATGAAATTATGAAATGATATTCCATTATTTTTGCCACATCCTATTGGTTAGAAAGAAGTCATAGGTCCCACTTACATTCAAGGGGAGGAAATTGTCCAGGCACATGAGACAGGATCACTGGCCTCTTGTGTCTCTTCACCACATTTTAGAGTCTCTTCACCACAATTCATAAACAAAAAGTGTCACAAAGCAGAGGCTGTGATTAAATTGCAGAGGTACAGATAACATGCATAATAGTTGTTCAGAAGCCAGAGAAAGCACTGTACCCAAACAGATGAAAAACTATTTGCATGACAGCCCAAATTGCTTTACCTCCCTGTACTCGTTTCTGTATATGTAGAAACAGATAACTGGACTAGAGGACATCTAAGGTCCTAAATGTCTGTGGTTGCAAAACTATTTAACTGCTGAGCCTCAGTCTTCATAGCTATAAAGTTTTATTTAGTATTATTATCTTTCAGGGTGAATTCAAAGTCAGATAACCTGCAAATTCTATTTTCCTTCTGGGAGCTCATCAGCTTTAAGATAGTCTCATTCCCCACAGGCGTTAAAAATATTCACATTGTGACTAACAAATAATGTTTTGTTTGTGACATGTAGGATATTGACTTAAAGTTGTCTTTTATGAAGTGTCTCCTACTCTTTCTAAAATACAAACGCAGATCTCTGATCAATGGAAAGCCACTTTAATGCAGGCTATTGACCTGAGTTTATGAATACCGAATTCTGTGCCAGAGAATGGAGGAAAAATTTTAGGTAAATTATTTTTCTATCTGTTTCACCCAGAAAACAAAACAAAACAAAACAAAGAAAACCCCACTCCTTGAGTATAGGTACCTGGATATTTGCAAACTGAGGGTATAGAAAATGGGTCCCAGTGAGATTTAAGGGTCCATACATAGGCAGAATCATAATCAGGAGATTCATTAGCAACCAGTGTAAAGCAACAACATTTGAATTAGAAAGGCAGCAAAGACAAAAAGCATGCTTTGCCTTGGCACATCCTGAAGAGAGAGGAACATTGGATTCTATCAGAACAACAGAAGAAATTGCTCACACAATGCCTGAATAAGCAAGTGGAACAAAATCTGCCTAAAAAGGGAGCAAAAACAAGTTGAAATCATCCTAGTAGGGTATTTTAACACATACTTTTTGGATGAATTCTTAAACTTGGGGCTGTTGGGAAAGAATGCATAAAAATAATTCTAAGAAACAAATTCCACTTTCAAAATCATCACTCTTTTACAAATTGCCTGTTTTCCTGCATGTCATTTTCTGGGAAGTCATGTTGACCTTCCCATTATGTCAATCAAAGTAATTATATTCTGAATTTTAGGTTTGCTTGCATTCTCCCTGTTAATGTTTCCTTATTTGAACTCCAGAGGGGGAAAGACTTTTCTTATGTCCTCATAGTTCAACAGCTGGGTCTATAAAATAAATGAACAACAGGCAGATTAACAGGGGATAAAGTATGCAATTTTATTAATTTTTAATATTACATACATGGGGCGTCATAGAAAAAAAGCGAGTATCAAAAAATATGAGGAGACATGAGAGCTGCAGGAGAGAAAAAGTAGTACCTTCTCTCACTTATTGCAAGGTTCATGGCAGAGACACCTATAACAAAAGAAAGATTAATAAGAGAAAAGCATACACATTTATTTAATGTAAGTTTTACAGAACAAGCGAGCCTTCAGAAATGAAGATCCAAAGAAACAGGGAAACCTGTGTATTTTCATGCTAAATCTGATGAAGATGTGGATGGTTGTGGAGAAGTACTGTTGGACAAAGGGGACACAACCTAATAGTGATAAATGAGAGGGAGCTTAGTAAGTCCTGTTTGTTCAGATTCTTCTGTATGTCCCTGTGTCTTCAGAGATGAGGCTATTTCTTTCCTCTGGGTATACGGAGGGCATCTCTGGAATGAGGGTCTTATGATCTGCTTCAGGGGGAAGGGGTGAGGGGAAGGTGAGAGTGACCTTCCTTCTGCTGTTTTCTCAAATGCAAAGTTATCATAAGTTGTGACTAGTATGTTCTGAACCCCATTGGCTTATATTTTGTCTTAACAGAAGAAGGGGAAGGAGTGTAGACCACTTGGGGGAGAGTAAATGATTTTTTTTTTTTTTTTTTTTTTTTTTGAGACTGAGTCCTGCTCTGTCGCCCAGGCTGGAGTGCAGTGGCGTGATCTTGGCTCACTGCAAGCTCTGCCACCTGGGTTCACGTCATTCTCCTGTCTCAGTCTCCCGAGTAGCTGGGACTACAGGTGCCCGCCACCACGCCCAGCTAATTGTTTGTATTTTTAGTGGAGATGGGCTTTCACCGTGTTAGCTAGGATGGTCTGGATCCCCTGATCTCATGATCCGCCGGCCTCAGCCTCCGAAAGTGCTGGGATTACAGGAGTGAGCCACCGTGCCCGGCCAGTAAATGATTTTTAGGAAAGATGAATGAGCCCTGAGAAAAGTACATGGGAGATACGATAGTTTATGACAAGGTTTGTCTGGGTGTAGTGCCAAATTTAGTCTCCTCTACTATGATAAGGGTCAATTTTTTTTTTTTTTTTTGAGACGGAGTCTTGCTCTGTCGCCCAGGCTGGAGTGCAGTGGCACCATGTCGGCTCACTGCAAGCTCCACCTCCCGGGTTCACGCCATTCTCCTGCTTCAGCATCTGGAGTAGCTGGGACCACAGGCACCCACCACCATGCCCGGCTAATTTTTTTTTGTATTTTTAGTAGAGATGGCGTTTCACCGTGTTAGCCAGGAAGGTCTCGATCTCCTGACCTGGTGATCCGCCCGCCTTGGCCTCCCAAAGTGCTGGGATTACAGGTGTGAGCCACCGCGCCCTGCCATAAGGGTCAATTTTACCTGGTTGATGAAACTCCTGGGGAGGAGATTGACTACAATTGTGTTCCTTTTGAAGTATCTGACCTTGGGCAAATAAGGGGAATTCAGAGAAAGCCTCTCTCTGCATTTGCTGTTTTGCAAATGCCTTCAGCTCAAAATAATATACCTGTCATTCAAGAGACCACCTGGATGGTGAAATAGTAGGAAGCTGAACTTTATTGGTAATTTCAATTCGCAAGCTGACAAGAGACAGTCTCAGGTGTGTGCTAAAGGTGCTCCGTCTCCAAAGAGGGGAAGAGCCGGTTGGATTTTATGCCTCACAGGTTCCGCATTACACAGCAGAATCATACATATTCAGCAGGTTTTGGGGAAAAGCTATACATATTTATGAGGGGAGCTGAGTGTGTGCACAAGGATACACATACATGTAACATACATCCCGTGTTCATTTTTTTGCAGGGTTTTAGCATTAAATTGGGGTGAAATTTGGCTCTTTATGTTAAAAGGTGAACTACAGGAAACAAAGACAGTTTGTGCACAGCCTCTACAAGCTGGCTGAAACTGGCTTACGGTCTGCAGTAAGAGAATATTTAGGCCGGGCACGGTGGCTTACCCCTGTAATCCAACACTTTGGGAGGCTGAGGCAGGTGGATCACGAGATCAGGAGTTCAAGACCAGCCTGGCCAACATGGTGAAACACCATCTCTACTAAAAGTACAAAAATTAGTCGGGTGCGCTGGCAGGCACCTGTAATCCCAGCTACTTGGGAGGCTGCGGCAGAGAATTGCTTGAACCTGGGAAGCAGAGGTTGCAGTGAGCTGAGATCGTGCCATTGCACTCCAGCCTGGGCAACCTAGTGATACTCAGCCTCAAAAAAAAGAAAAAAAAAAAAAAAGTTTAGAAGGCCAGTCCTCTGTCCAATCAGAGCTGTAGTGGTCTGGGTTGTATTAAGAGCGTGGTTTTTCTTGTAGCCCTAGGAATTCAAAAATTTGCCAGGCCACCTGGGCCCTTTGCCTTTGATCTGTTAAGTAACTTTGTTTAACCTTAGGGACCATCTTAGTTGATAAAGGCGCATCTATTTTGTTCTCTCAGATCACGTATGTGCCAAAACAACATATCCTGGGGTGGTATGTCCTGAAGTCCTTCAATACCTCTGGATAATAAATCTGCAATCTCTTCCTGTGTGTGAGGTTTTAAACTCCCTTTCTCCTCTTTCCCCTGAGTTTTGCCATCTTAATTTATTGAAAGGTATTTGACATGACATCTTGAACTCTTGTACTTTACAAATGATTTCGTGTGAACTTCTCTGTGTGTCAGGGGAAGCTCATTCTTCCCGGGGGGCTGAACAGGTAGCAAGAGAGCAGAAGGGAACTTCCTGTGCTGGGTGCCCAGAGCTCTGCCTGGACTGACCCTGCGAAGGGGAATCGCTGTCTTCAAGTCAGAGACTGTGCAGACAACAGCTTTGATGCCATCTTCATGTCTCCAAATTGAAGGCAGCACAATTGGATTGAGAAACTGTTATGAAGCAGTATTTCCTTGAGAAGTTTCCTGAATCTGAACAGCCCCAGACAAGCCCCTCCCACGCAGCAGGTGGCCTTCAATCTAAGTCCACACAGGCTCATTAGAATCAGATTTTGTCATTTCTCAAATCACCTGTGGATCTTGTTACCACACAAAGTCTGATACAGTGGGTCGGGTTGAGGTCGCATTTCTGCATTTCTAACAGGATCCAGGCTGACCACACTTGAAGCAGCAAGGTCCTAGCTTAACCCCTTACTTTACAGGTAGGTGGTACCTGTACAATTAGCTGGCTTAGCAAATTACCTGGAGTCAGGCAGATATTTAGCAGCAGGGCCAGGACTAGAAGCCAGATTTCCTGATTTTCAGTGAAACACTCTTAGCCAAATATTTTATAACACTTCTTCTCCCATAACATCCCCAATATTTAGCATTTTTGGGTCTTAATATATGCAGATTTTAATGATATCCAATTTACTGCTTACTGTTGAGGGTATAAATTTTACTTTTTGGATAATTTTACTTCAATACTGTGTGTGTGTGTATATATATATATAAAATTTTTCTTAAAAGGTTGAATTGAGTTTTAATTTTTTTTCTTAACCAAAAGGTGCTTGATTGTCTTGGAATCAATTAATTAGTTGATTAATATGAAGCTTGGGAAAAAAGTTTGAGAAAAGATACATCACATTTCCATAACTGAGATCTTTAGCAAAACCATAAAGCTGGGAAGAACCTCGTATTTTATTGACATTGAGGCCTCCTTCTTCTACACTAACCTTGATACATAAGCAAAAGAAACAATAGTGAAGTGAGACTAATCAGAAAGAGAGGACTGGAAAGAAACAGGCAAGGTTGTGAGCTAGAACTGCTCTGTCTCAACAAATGAACACACAGAGGTGAAAGGCTTTGTAAAACATACATTCAAATGCCAGATATAAAGCATAAAAAAAGATAAAACAGTAGTCATATCTGGGTGTGGAATCACATATCAATTTTTAAAAACAACAGAGTTGATCTGAATTATTTGGCTTAAGTGCACTGGCTATCGAAAAATTCAGTGATTTAACTATTTGCATATCGAGCATTGCCCTGAAGCAAGACTGAAAGTTATTTTCAGAAAGGGATGGCTCGCTTTCTCCCACATGGTGACCAGTACAGTTCCTCTAAAGGAGCTCACATTGATAAAGTATTGGAAGTAATTTTCTGGGTCAAGCTCTGCATTACAACAAATAGGGAATCAACCAGCAAAGTAAGCCTTGCTTACTCTTTTTTGAAACTGCAGTTCCTTTTGCTGCAGCCTAGATTGTTACACAAGCAAATAAATCCTTTTAATTGGCCCACCCTCGGGGGCAAACAGCTCACCCTAGTAAGTAATCATACAGAAGAGTGGAGGCTGGTAAGGTGGGGTGTATCCTGCTGAACAATTTTTGCTTTTATTTTACCAACCGATTTTAAAAGGCAGCATTGTAACTTGGCATTAAATATTTAAGAATGATATTAAGGTAAGATTGATTCATTTAGCAGGCATAATGGAGTGGGGAAGCCTCATGGAGTGACTAAAGGGCTTCACAGTGGGAAATCTATGCTAGCAGGCATCAATCCGCACCTGGTAATGGCCATGAATAAACTCGCCTTCTTGCTATTTAAATAAATTGATGTGCAATTCATCTGCTGTTTAGAGCCATTGGAAATGCACTGCACTAACTCTGTTCCTTGGCAAGCATCCCGATTAAGTGCCTGGGCCATTTATCAGAGTGCCAAGTGTAGTTCAAGTTGTTACCAAGCTTCTACCATTTACCAAAATGGCAATTTGTTCTAAAAGGGGCTATAGGATATGGGAAAAGTGGCAGAGTGTGGTAGAAAAGATACTGGACTCAAGACAACTGCAGTTCAAGGTCTGACTTCCTACTAGAGCAGGCATCATTGAAACTCCCCAAAATTGTTTCTTTACCTCTGTAATGGAAAGAATAATGTACCTGCTTTACTTACTTGTGAGGCAAAAACAGAGTAATAAAAGTGAAAGCACATTTCACTTTAAAAAGTACTATTCAAATTATGAGTTATCACTAAGAGCATAATTCGTGCAGAGACACAGTAATGCCCACCATTTATTTCCGCTAGTGTTTTACACTGTTCCCTCTCTTCCCCTTTTTTGTCTTGATCAGACAATCTCAGGGCAGGGTGGAGAATGAAAGTGTCAACCTTTTAAAAGGCTCACACCTTATGAGATACATAGGTTTGTATTTCTTGGCGCTGAAATGTTCAGACTAGTCTTTTAGTTTTATTAGCCACTTCTTGGTGATATATAAATCAATAAGAGAGCACTTTAAAAGCACTTAAAATAGGTATGATCATAAAGAGCAGCTAGCTAATTTGAGAATTTTATTTATTTTATGATAAGAATTTTCATAGATTCCTGTTGATTCCAGTCATTCTAAAACATGCCATTTACCCTTCAGTCTTTCCTAGTTGGATGTGTTTGGCAGATTGGTTGTGGAATGTAGAAATATGATTTATGCCTTTTAATTTTAGAGAAATGTAACTCAGAACAAATTACATCCATGCTTTGCATTGAAATGGGAGTTCAGGAAAACAAACTGCTTACCTTTCAATAATGAATTATCTCCCACTGAAAAGTCAGAAACAAGCAATAAGATGGGTTATAACAATCTGTGGTCCATGTGTCTCTACTGATTCAATTAAATGAAGTACACAGTAGCCCACTAAAAATGCATTGATAGAGTGTGTGTATTAGGAATTGTGTTGACTTAAGTTGTTTACCATTCTGATCCCTTTGTTGTTTGCTTTTCTCATTATCTTCTACACATTATTAAATACAATCGTTAATAAGATGGCTGACTATAGTTTGCTGATCTTATTTAATCATTAATATCTAATATACTTCAATATCCTGTATGATTAAACCTGATGGCTGACTTAGTCAAATGAAGATATTTCCATTAAGGGCAAACAGTGCAACCATAATTCAACTACATCCCATAAGATCCTATGCAGGGTCTCTTTTTATATAGCAAGGTGATATTTTCCAACCCCTCTCACTATACTCTGGCAATTGCCATTATATAGGCTATAACTCATTCGTCTACTCAGCTTTCTTCTATTGATTTTTATCTTTCCTGGCTAACTGTTATGAGAATAATGTTTCCAACAAGAATCTAGTTGGTATCAAGTTGTTTTTCATGGGAACCAGCATTTGCAAAGAACTTTACTATAACCAGTGTGTGCAAAAAAGAACCCTACTATACTGGTAAAGTTTAGAGAAAAAACTTCTGGCCACTCTCTTCCCAGATTTGCTTGAAACAGAATTTCCAGTAGTTTTTCTTTCTTTCTTTTTCTTTTTCTTTTTTTTTTTGAGACAAGGTCTCACTCTGTCGCCCAGATTGGAGTGCAGTGGCGTGATCTCAGCTCATTGCAACCTCTGCTTCCTGGGCTCAAGTGATTCTCCCACCTCAGCATCCCAAGTAGCTGGGATCACTTGAGGGCCACCACTACACCTGGCTAATTCTTGTATTTTTCTGTAGAGATGGGGTTTGCTATGTTGCCCAGTCTTGTCTTCAACTCCTGAGCTCAAGCGATCTGCCCGCCTTGGCCTCCCAAAGTGCTGGGATTACAGGTGTGAGTCACCACTCCTGTCCTATTTTTTTAATGGAACATTCTTCACAGGATATTAAGAAAGAAATAGTGGTAGTAGATTGTTATGAACTGCCTGTTTGTGCCCCTCCAACTGCCTGTTTGTGCCCCTAGATTCATATGTAAAAGCCCTAACTTCCAATGGGATGATATTAGTAGGTGAGAGGCCTTTGGAAGTTAATTAGTGTTCTTCTAAAAGGAGGAGACTAGAGCTTTTCCCCTTTTCCCTCCGTGTGGGGATACAGCCAGAAGATGGCTGTCTGTAAACAAGGAAGGGGGCCTTCATCAGATACTGATTTTGCTGGCACCTTAATCTTGGACTTCACAGCTTCCAGAACTGTAAGAAATAAATTTCTGTTTTTCAAGCCCCCCAGTCTGTGGTGTTTTTGTTAAAGCAGTCCAAACTGACTCAGGCACATGCAGAACACATTTTCTTGAACCACAAAGCAATGAAATGGATAATAACTTAAAAAATATGAGGAAAAATAAATCCTTCTAATCAGGTAAACATGGTGCCTGCAGGAATCAACACTGCAATCTTACAAAATAATTGGTACCAATACAGTGACTTCAAGGGTGCACTCCTCTGTTCAGGGCAGAAATACTTCAAGAATTGCCTTGCTTTGCCATTTAAGTTTCAAAAATAGGTTAATAAAGTTAAGTTTTGGCAGGGCATGGTGGCTCACACCTGTAATCCCAGCACTTTGGGAGGCCAAGGTGGGCGGATCACGAGGTCAGGAGATCAAGACCATCCTGGCTAACATGGTGAAACCCTGTCTCTACTAAAAATACAAAAAATTAGCCGGGCATGGTGGTGGGCACCTGTAGTCCCAGCTACTCGGGAGGCTGAGGCAGGAGAACGGCGTGAACCCGGGAGGCAGAGCTTGCAGTGAGCTGAAATCACGCCACTGCACTCCAGCCTGGGCAACAGTACAAGACTCCATCTCAAAAAAAAAAAAAAAAAAAAAAAAAAAAGGTTAAGTTTTAAAAATAGTTTAAAATTTACCAAAATCTTTCTTAGTTCACTAAAAAAGTAAAACTTAACTCTGTGCTGAGTAGTCTATGTTAGTGGAATTATCCAATTTTTACTGTAGGGCTATTATAAGAAGTTTAGATTGAGGCAATCTGTGATTTATAACACTAAATACTGAGATTAAAAAATCAATTTTCACAATTTTTGGGTGAATTCATAAGATGTATAAAGAAAATAATTTTTGGTGAAAAATGATTGTTTTGAAATGCCATCTAAAATTATAATAACAGAAAATTAATCTGTAGTCTGCTCATATAAGCTTGTTAAAATAGGTATTTTCAGCTCTTAATATGATGAATGTTGGTAAAGGTATAATATGAAAAAATTATAAATGAGTTCTATTATTTCCATTATCCGTTTTCTACAAATAATAGATAGAGTAGATGTGGCTAAGTAGTTCTTTCTTTATTTCTAATTGTGTGTACACAATATAAAACTTTTGGAGCGAGTGATACTTTCTTTATAGTCCTACTTATTTGAACGCTCTGTGTGCCTTAGTTTCCTCATTCCTAAATTAAAAAAAATCATTGACACTTTTCTCATTGGGCTGCTGTGAGGATCAAATAAATGAAGACACACAAAGTTTAGATCCTGGAACACAGTAAGTGCTCAATAAATAACTATGTTATTATCACTATTAATATTACTGGCTGCTCTATTGAAATCCATTTGTGCACCAGCCTCACCTAGATCGTGCCTATTCCTCCCAATTTTCCTTCTTTCCCTCTGTCTATGCAAAAGTTAGCCTCATACTGCTATAAAGTAATACCTGAGACTGGGTAATTTATAAAGAAAAGAGGCTTAATTGGCTCATGGTTCTGCGGGCTATATAGGAAGCATGGCAGCATCTGCTTCTGGGGAGGCCTCAGGGAGTTTTACTCATGGTGGAAGGCAAGGCAGGAGCAGGCATCTTCACATGGCCAGAGCCACCTTCACAGAAGGTGAGAGAGCAGAGAGGTGCTACACACTTTTAAACAACCGGATCTTATGATATCTTACTCTCACAACAACAGCACCCAGGGGATCGTGCTAACCCATTCACAAGAACTCCGCCCACATGATCCAATCACCTCTCACCAGGCCCCACCTATAACACTGGGATTACAATTCAACAGGAGACTTGGTGGGGACATAGATCCAAACCATGTTAGCCTCCTTTCAAGATTCTTTCCTCAGAGTTGTGAAACCTTTCCTGAGCCAAGGCTTTCCTTTTATGGTTCTGCAGGTTGTATTTGGCAAAATGCCAGGGAGCATGCTTTGCATTGTAGTCATCATATTTGAAGGGTTATTAGGATTGTGTTCTGGTAGATATCCTCAAAGTGTCTCTATCAATGGTGTTAATACCAATTTGTAGCAGGTCAACTTTGGGGCTAGGGAGGGGCAATTATTATTCACCACTGAGCTTTTATTAATTTCCAAGCATAGTGTAGTAGACAGAAAGAGAGACTTGGTATATGTGCTCCTTGAAAAAAGGAAAAGTAGGTAGCCAAGAAATATTTGTTAAATAATTAAAATCAAGTGGACTTTAATCCAATAAACAAATTGTATCAAATTTTGGTATGAATTTTTGGGTAGAAGATCTTAAATCCCATTGGTTGTGCTTGCTCAAAGCTGTGCGTGAGATCTTGGTCTGCAGCCACAGGAATTAAATGGTCTCCACAAAACAATGAGACCTTATCGTACCTCTTAGTTATCAGCTTTCTCATTTTAAAATTAGGCTAAGAGGACTCGCCTAATTCTGAAAATTAAAAAAATAAAAAAAAGATCATGTCTGGGAAAGTGATCCATAAATGTAAGATTAATATATTTTGTTCCACATATCTTGGCAGACATTTCTTTTTCTTAAGATAATCAGTTTTTCATCTGCCTTTTTTCTACTTCCTTCTTGAAGGTTGATATGGGCCATGAGTTGAGCAGGTGATGGTTCTTGTTTGCAGTTCAAGGTACAAAAGCAGCTGTAAACAGAAGCTGCATCTCAGGAAAGGGCTTGATCTGATTTCATTTCATTTGAGCCCACTGAAAGGGAATTTGGGCTCAATGAGACATGCATACAAATGAAACACAGAAGGCTGATTAGTGGCATTGCAGAATACTGAAAGCGGGTTTGCAGAGGACAGTGGGAAGTGGCCCCTAGAGTAATCTCTGAGCCAAAGAGTCACTCTTCAGAGGGAGTCACTTCTGTTATGTGGTTATTCCTATGACTGTAGACTTGAATGGCTAAGAGCTCTTAGAGGCACACTCTAAGTGGACACAGTCCATGAGATTTAAGATCATGCACACTAAAATTAAAACTGACACTTGAGGAATCTTTACATTTGGCTCTTAGATTAAAAGAAACAGCTTGCTCCTTTTCATGAACACATGGTATCTTAGATGAAAAACTGAGCAACCCTGAATTTAGTAAGCAAGACCTAAGTGGAACATAAGCTGAGGCTTTAATAGAATGAGAACGGATGCTCCTGGTTCCCATAAACATTCATTTTTTCCAGCTCATGCGTATCTTTTCTCAGGGCTGAAATCAATCTTTTTGAAATGAGGAAATGAACTGTGTCACTAGCCCTCAGAGTTATGAGTGAAAAATATGGTGGATGTTCAGCCTCACATAGGTGCAGCAAATAATTCAGCATATTGAAAATGTCGTGTTGATTCCTCAGATGATTTTAGCCAACATTTCCTAAAAATCTTACTAAATTTGAATTCTTTAAATTTTCAACTTATCCCATCCGTATTTAAAATTCTCTTTTTTTTTAAATGTAGGAATAATTAATGGTATGCGTGCCTTTTTTTTTAAAAAAATACAGATCTTTATAGCCAGAAGGTACTTCAAACACCATGTAGTCAAATCCTTTCAATTTAAAGGTAAGATGCAGAGGCTTAAAGAGGAGAAATGCTTGCCCAAGAGTGGAAAGTTATAGAGATGGGGCTCAAATCAAGGTCTCCTCCTTCTCTTCCTTCTACACTAAACTATATTTCAAAAAAAGAATAAATAAGGCAGTTTCTATTCATCAGGGCAATATAAATATTTGGTTACAAGCTTTCTGTGACTCTCAGCTACATATAGCATAATAGTTAAGAGCATGGGCTTGATATCTGACTTAGTCTCCTTTCCAGCTCTTTCATTCTGTGGCTTTGGGCAAATGACGGAAACTTTCTGTTTCATTTTCCTTATTCATAAAAAATTTGAAAATGTATATAAAATTTATTCCATATTTGGCTTAGTGCTATATACTTGACATGAATTATTTTATAAGTGAAATATTACATAAAATAATTCATGTCAAGTGTATAGCACCAAGCCAAATATAGAATAAATGCTTAATAAATATTAGATACTATTTTTTATGTCTACATCTGAAAAACAATTTTTTTAAGGAAACTTTTTGTGGCTAGACCCTTCTGCAGTTAAAAAATGTTACAAACAATGGTCTTTGGGCTCTGAGTGATTCTGAAATCTTGATGAGCAAATTGAGGTGTTTAAAAGTCAAATGCTATTGACATATCTTTCAATTTCCTTTAGAAAGATCTGCCCTCTCAGGAGTTTCCACATCAATCAATTTCAGTTATTTTCCATTTGGATAGCGAGTATAAGAGCTTTACCAACAAGGAGAAAATTGTCAAACCAGCTTCTCTGCCTTTCCTAGGGTGCCCCTCAGCTTGCAATGTCATTCTCTCTTTACGTAAGTCCAGATTCTACTCATCCTTTTGTCATATTGGCTCAAATGCAGCAGGGATCCTGCATGAGCCCCCCATACCTACCTTTCAAAAAGTATTTTTCTCTGTGTCATTAACAAGTGTCAACGTGGATGTCATTCTTTCAGGTAAAAGGATAATCATGATACTGTGAGATAATAATAATAGCTAGCCAGCATTTATGTGCTTAAATTAATTTGGCACCCCTTCCACTTCTAGATTAGTTCTCATGTCTGAGCACCACAGACCCCATCACAGAACTTGGATTGGTGATATCATTTTGGCTAGAGCACAGGTCCTGGCACCAGATTTCCTGGGTTCAAATTTTAGCTTTGCATTTTCTTGGATATTTAATTTTGGATCGGGTACATACTCTTTCTGTAACTGTTTTCCGCTTTCTAAAATGGAGCTTTAAATAGTGCCTTTCTCAGCTGGTCATTATGAGAATTAAGTGGGTTAATTTATTTAAACATATAAATGTTGGTTGATTATCTCACAGTATCATGACTGTCCTTTTACCTGTCAATGGAGCCTTCCAGATTATAAACTCCATGAAGTCTGTACTTCTGATTGGTCATTATATTCTCTAAGGCCAAGCAAAATATTCACTGAGAGAATGCAAGGAACGACTGTGAGATCTTGAAGGGCAAGAGCTATATTTTATACATCTCTGTATATAGTCAGTGCCTAATATAGGCCTGGCTCATTATTTATGCTCAATAAATGTTTAATGAATGAGCAAATGAATGCACATTCTTCCAAAAGCCTTCTTTCTGCCAACCTTGGAAATTTAATTGCTAATTCCTTTGTGCTCCTGGATTCCCACAGCACTTAGCTGGTTCCTTCCCTATAGCACTCATGCATGACTTCTTTGCATTATACTTGCTTGCACTTCTACTTCCCTGACCAGTTTTTGAACTTCCTGAAGATGAGATCTGGTGTTCATTCTGTATCCCTTTAGCACTTAGCACAGTATAAGTGCCCAACTCATGTTTGCTGGAAAATAAAACCAAAAAACAATGCCTTTAGTCAAGTGTGATATGGAGGATGTTGAAAATCTTATTGATCACTGAATCCCTGGTTCCATTATGAGTTTACTTCAAAACTTTAAAAAAAAATGAGCTTCCTGAGAAGAAATAAGAAACTTATTTTTAAAAAGTTTCAAGTAGCCAGTCTCATAAAAAATTCCAGAAGATGTGTTCTATTTACTCCAAACTCCATATTCTATTATTTAAAACTAAATGTTTTATTTGTTTTTCTTTTTTGTTCCGTTCATGCTATGTTAAGCTTTAGCTCTTATTTAAAAGAAAAAAAGTACTTTATCTTAATTTAAGGCACTGAACGTTCACACTGCACTCTGGAGGCACCAGACTAGCTTGTTATAATATGGATGTTGAGATCAAGTTGAATCAGCAACATCTAGGAAATGCACGTTGTAGTTGAACACAGCATCCAGTGTTGTGTGTGTTTTTGTTTCCATAACACTAATGTCGGGGTAGAGCACACATTCTTTTCCTGGTTTGTTAATTCTGCCAAAATGTCATTCTTGTCAAAATGTCTTCAGAGGTTCCACAGTAGATGTTAAAAATGTAGACTTGTGGAAAATTGCTGTTAATATGATTTAGCTTTTGCGGTCAAGATCCCTTCCTTATAAGCATTTTGGTTTTTGTCATACCTCAGCATGAATACTTCTAAGTGTGTTTGCATTTCATACAGGAACTAATTTGTTGAAATATCATCACACAACCGGTAATTAGGCATTAAAATTATCCCCAAATTCTGCTAGAGCACTAAGGGTCACACAGGTTTATATACGCCTAGCTAATGAGTCAGGCTCATTTAAAAAATTCATTTGTCATGCTTATTAGAATGAACCTGTATTCCTTTATTACCCAGTACAAATCCTTTGCACATCAAGTCTAGAGCAGAAAATTAAAATTGCATGAAACTTTGATCTCCTTCTTCATTAATCGTGCTAGATAATTATACACAGGTGTCATCTTCTGTCTAATGGCAGATGCTTTCTGACCCCCAATGCTGAATATTTGCTGTGTACACTTAAAAGGGGACTGTGATGTGTACGATACAAGCCATATCCTTTTTATTATACCATGAGTTGAAAAATTCTACCTGTACTATACTTAGAGATTACTTTAATTAGGAGTATCTGACAGCTAATCCAATGATAATGAATTTAAGGGCCTAAATGAACAAAAGAATAAGAAAGTATAAAAATAGGTCAAATTAATTTTTACAAAATTAAACACTGTATTCATTTAGATAATGTCAAGATCTTAATTTAAATTTCTTTGTTTAAGCTTAATATGCTACCTGAAATAAGTAGCCAAATATTGGTTATTCTGTAATTGCGTAAACACAGAGTATTGCATCTAGTAAAATACACAGTATGCAATGGCCTGTTGAAAAGTGTTATATAGTGACCACTAACAAAATACTGTGCAATCAAGAATAGATTGATACAAAAGTAAGTCTGCAATCCATTGACATCCCTTTGGTGTAATTTAAATGTCTATTCCCATTTAATTTTCAATCAGCTTACCCAAGGGTATAAGATTGTAGTAAGGTATAGTGTAACATATGAGTTATGCCAATATGTGCTTCATTTACTGTTTTGTTTTTCTATGAATGCCAAAATATAGAACCTTGTTACTGACATCAAAGATAAATCACAGCCTCCAGATATTTAGGCTGATACGAGAGTAGTGTTCTCAGGGGAAAAAAATCAAAATGTTAACCTAGTCAGTGAGTTTAGAATTGATCAGCAAAACTTATTACCTTGATTTGAATTTGCTTGACACAAATATCCCATGTGCTAGGTATGGAATATAGAAATTGACTTCATCTTAGGTAGCATAAATTATATGATTATGCATTAACTCAAGAATTGTTTGCTGAACATTTGCGATTTGTAGATTACTGTACTAGGTCCTGAGGATGCAGAGATGAAAGAGAATTCCTGATATCAAGGTGCTGACAGACTTTTGGGGAAGAGAGATTAGCAAACCAATAATTTTAACAGTGAGGGTTGTGTGGAGTGCTATAGATACTCAGAAAAGAGATTCCCAATCACAGATGAGAGGAAGTAAAGAAGAATTTCTTGGAAAAGTGATCCCAGAGGAAAGTCTAAAAGAGCAAGTCAGTTCAATATAAGAAGATTGGAAGGAAAGGAGTTCCAGATAGAGGGAACGGCATAAATTAAGGCAGGAAGACTTGGAATACTGCATCATATTCTTGTCTGGTTATGGCTTTGGGGTAGAGTATATGCTGAGGAATAGTAAGAGATGAGGCTGGAGAAGGCAAGGTCCAATTCCCAGAGTCTCATGTGCCATGCTAGGGAGTTTGAATTAATTCCTGAAAGCAGCCAAGATGTTCCAAACCATTTCAGCCAGTCCAGTGACATGGTATCATTTGATTTTTTGTTGTTGTTAGGAAACCCACTCTGATAGTAGTGGGGAAGGAGGCTGGGCTCAGTGGTTTTTGTAGTAAGAAATGATAGTCCTGAACTAATACAGTGGCAGTGGAATGAAGAGGAGTGAAGAGAACGGAGACGATAAGAATCAACAGAACTCAGTTACATGTACCTATATTAAGTCAGATTGGGTCAATATGTGATATGTTTTTATCCCTGTATGGATTTTCCTTTCCCTTGTTTCCTGTGAAGCAGGTTTCCTTGTATCTTAGTTGCCTCAGGGAGGCATGGGGTAAAGAGTGAGTAGAAGGAGCCAATATACTTTTTGGTCATTTTTTTTTTTTTCAAAGGACTAAGGGTTAGGAGAATTTGGTAAAGTCTGCAGAGCTGGTAAAAAGCAGTCAAATGCATGTGAAAAATGGCTGGATATTAAAAAAAATTGAAGATTTTCCCCCTGGATTAAAAAGAGATTCCCCTTCAACTGAAAGGAAGAGCTAAGACAGCACTTAGCTGAGTGTTCTGGCTCTAGGTCCTTCATGAAATTGTAGTCAAGATGTCATCCAGGGCTGCAGTCATATGTTAGCTTGACTGAGAAGGAGCATCCACTTTTGGGTTCTCTGCATGACCAGAGAGAGAAATGATTACAGAATGCCTTCTGGCAGATGGGACTAAGAGCAGTTTTGAGACAGGATGTCTATATCCAAGTGTGGTCCAGAAGTAACAGAGATCTACAGGATCTAATGAGATCACATGGACAGGAATGCAAATATTCTAGGGGAAACTCAGATACATTGATGTCCCAATCACCAGAGAGTGTCCGTCACTCCATTTTGACAATACGTAAGGCTTTGGGAACCTTGAGATGACATTGAAAGGGAAACCCTGAAAATGAATAAGGTTAAGTTGACCACTAGCTCTGTGAAAGGGGAATGGGAGATAGAAATATGAGTTGGATCACTTTATAAAAAAGGAAAAAGTTATATTTCCTCCCCATCTGTATTTGTAAACTAGGCTTTTAATTTACTATGTGTGTTTTTGAGGTTTAAAAAAATTATATTCCCCATATGCTTCCTTTTGGGTTTTGGGGAAAAGAGAGTTGCAAGAAGTGTAAGAATAAATGGAGAAAAGACTAAAGCCAAAATTAGGCAGAAATTAAGAAAAATGAGAAGAAAATAAGGATATTAGGAAGATTCTTTAGAAAAGACCAAGAGTATTACAAGAAAGTTTTTCTCATCTGACAAATGTTTTTATGTTTCTCTAAATAATCCACCAGACCTATGTAAAATGTTTTGTATTTTAGCCTCTTCAGAGACTTTGGAAATAATGGTACTTTTTTTTTGTTTTTGTATCAGTCTCTGACTGGAACCTTTATAAGTGAATAATTCATGATAAAAATAATATTTGCATTTTCCATAGGTCTTTCTTCTGAGTGATGCTCTCTGCTCTGGGGTGGTCATGTTCCATCAGGAAGACACAGGGAAGCAGGCGGCATTTTCTCTATTCAGCAGTGATGAGGGCTCCTAGGATTGCTGAAGTTGTAGGGTCACAGTTATATACACCACAAGAAGGGCTTTGGGGATCCTATTACACGTTCTTTAGTGTCATTATTGCCCTCTCATAGTGTGACTTTCTGTAAATGATAATACCAATTTTGCACAAACTCTTCAAAATATGGGGTAAATTCTTTTGTTTTGCTTCTGTCATCTCTTTCTCTACTTTTCCTTCAAATGTAAGTTCTTTATCAACAAAATAATTTCTGAAAGTTTTATTTTGTCTGTGATACTCCTAAAGACATTGGTGAAGGCATCTGCCTACTTCCAGAATGTCTGTAAGCTTGTGGCTTTGGTGGAACTCATTATAGGGGAGGCCTAGAAGACAGCCAGGCTGATTGGCTCCCACAGGTATTGAGCATCTTATCTGAAAGGACTGGAAGCATGTGGGCTGCTTCTTCAACCAACAGCAGGAAAGTTCGCATGCCAAAGGGCAGTTCTGCAGTCTATTCTTGTCAGGTGACCCTGGTTTCTCATTGGATTCTTCATTACCTTTGTGTGAAAACCCTCCTTATACCCATAAATGAGCATATGATAAACAACAATAAAACATTTTCCAATTAGTTTTAAGTGTAAATGTACTATTGATTTATATCTTATAGCTGATGGAATACTCTTAACATTTTTACAGACTTTTAAAAAATTTAATTTATACCCTACTAGTGTTTTCAGCTCAGTTGGTGGTTTTCTATTTATTTTTATTTTTGTAGAGATGAGGCCTCGCTATGTTGTGCAGGTTGGTCTCAAACTCCTGGCCTCAAATGATCCTCTCACTTCGGCCAAAGTGCTGGGATTATAGGTGTGAGCCACTGCATCTGGCTAGTTTAAAAAATTTCTCTGCAGAATTCTGGAGTTTCATCTGAAGGCCTTGTGTATCAAGCTCAAGTAGGAGGTGATCATTGATTGATTAGTTCATTCATCCACAAATATTTATTGAGCACCTCCTATATCCAGGTGCTTTTGTAGGAACCTAGGATACACTGCTGAGCGAGGTAGGCTAGGTCTTTTCCCTCTTGGACCTTACACTGCCATATGAGAGATAGACAATATACAATGGGATTAAGCGACATGCCTGTAAAGCACTTACCACAGGGCCTAGCACATGAGTGCTCAATAAACATTATTATTTATCATGGATGCTGTTGTTATCAGATGGGTGCAGTTAGCCTGTCCCTTTGGACATTCACTATGTTGCCTTGGGATTTGGGCTTCCTGTAATTGTACTTTTAGATCAGGTCACTATGTTCATCACCTCAGAAATTGTCTGGGTGTCTGGCAACAGGTGAACTTGTTTTGGAGAAGTCCTGTCCTGCTTGTGTGCCCTCAATCTGAAGTAAAGGAGGCATTGCCAATAATCACTTCCCACTGCCCTGCAGCCATATTGTCATCTTCTAGAATGAATGCATCATTAAAACTTTTTCTTCACTCTTTCTCTCCATCATTAGTGTGATATGTCAACACAGGATGCAGCATATCAATCATTTCTTGAAGGATTTCAATAGCAGTTTTTGTGGGTAATGAAAGTGATTACCAGGTTGGTAGTGAATTTACTATTGACAATCTGATATGACAGTTCTCTCACACACTATAGGAAGTGTTAAATGAACCTAAAAGAAAAACTGAGATGCCGGGATAAGTAACAATGAAGGGCTAGAGTTTACTCGTAAATCTGGGTGTCTGATAAAACATTTTTCACCCTCAGAAGTATCTAAGGAACGAGATGGGAAAATGTCAACCCACACTTTCTGGAATAGACTGGAACCCAGAGCCTTATCTCTTAGTCATGAATGTTAATTTGAAGGAAAAGAGACCCTGTAGAGTTTACTTGATTTCTCAACTTTTATGTCAGTTTTACTTTAATTTTATTAATTTATTTGTTTATTCAATGAATAAGACATATGTATGACCTTTATTATGTTCCATAATGAACAACTGTTTCTGGAATTTAGATTTCACGGAACTGTGAGTTAGAAAAAGTATGGGAATCATTGTAGGATTGTTATTTTTTATATAGTCAAGAAAGGACAGTTAAAAAGTGTTTTTATTTATTATTATTATTATTTAATAGAAGAAAGGGCATGTTAAATGCCAAAGGGTAGAAAGGCCATCATCTCAGAATAAAGGACAGCTGTACAAATAAAGTTAATTTTAGACAAAACTTTCTATTCGTTTTTCTCGTTTCCTAGGCACCCTGGGGCAAGCCGTCACAGGTTGGTACTAGTCAGCTATTACTCTTCAGTGATTTCATAATGAAGGTATTGTACCTTTTGAGCATGCTATGCGAGGGCCTTTACCATAGCAAATCCTTCTAAATCTCCCTGGCAGTCCCCATCTGCACGGAACTCAGAGGAAAGGCTTGATCAGCTCTTTTTACCACTAAGATAAAGTTGTAAAGGCATTCAGGGAACTATAGACACTGGAGTTAGAAGAATAGTCTGGTTCCCTATTTCTAAACTTCATTCATTCTACAGCAATTTTTGTCATATCTGCATACTATCTGTACTCTGATTTATTTAATATTTTCTCAAAATTTGCTTTAATTTTTTTATTTAAAAATTATGTTAAAAGGAAAACTTACTAAGATTGTGGTAGGTTATAGTCCACTCTAAGAATATTCTATTAATGTTACGTGTGTCAACCTGGAGAGGATTATGTGTCTGTCATTAAGTTGTATGTCACTAGAGTTCTTCAAGCAGAGGCTGAGTGACTTGTTAGGGAGGGTTGTAAAGGGCATTTTTCTTAATCTGAATTTTTCTAGAGAATAGCCCCCAAGGCAAGGGTTAATGTGCTAATGCTTTTTGTGGGAGATGCCAAACCTAGGGCAGAAAGAGTAAGGAAATAGGCAAGTGAAGCAAGGAAGACTGTGAGACAATGTTAAATTATGTAATACTTCATAACAGACCACAAAGAGACACAGTAGGGCATTTATCACATGAGTTCTTTTTGCACAAGAAACTTTGCAGAATGGGCTGTAAGGAGAAACTGTGCCAGGATTAGTTTGTGGGAGCAAAAAGTAGAGAAATTATAGATCAGTATTTGCTCCATGGATTGTTCACTTCCTGCAATTCTGAGTTTTATCATCTAGCACCTTCAAAGGCTGCCCTATATAAGATCCTCTGCTCTGCATGTGGTGTTTTATCTAAGTCTGAAAATGGTGGGAGGAACTAGGAAGTCTCTGTGTAAGATAAGTCAGCCATGTTGTTTTGAGGTGGCCAGAATGGGAAGGAGCTAGGAAATCCAGGGAAAGTGGCTTGTTGGTCCCAGGTGGAGGAACCCTGTGGGCACAAGGAGTGATGGCTGAGGTAGACAGAGCAGCTGAGAGCCTAGGGACAGGTGGCTCCAAGGGAATCCAGGGATGCAAATAAAATTTGGGTTCAAATAATATTCATTTACAGAGAGTTTAGCTAGACCAATGTTTTCCAAAGTCTATTACAAGTACCACTTGTGGTATACAAGATAATTTTAGGTGACTATGAATGAATAGTTTTTAAATGTTTGCTGTTTGTTTTAAGGTGTCTTAGGGCAAAATAACTAGCATATAACAATGTTATATGTCATATTCGACACAATGTAAGTTTTCTATTGGATGTAATTTTTTAAGTAAAAGAATTAGAGTCAATTTTAAGAAAATATTAAATAAATCAGAGTACAGATTTTATGCAGCTATGATAAAAATTGCTGTGGGATGACTGAAGTTTACAAATAGGGAACCAGATGATTCTTCTAACTCCAGTAGCCATGGTTTGCCGAATGCCTCTATAAGTTTATCCTAGCGGCGAAAAGAGCTACAAAGATGTAGAAACACAGGACCCCTGTTCTCTAGTGTGTGAATTTCTTTGTCTCAGATTTGATTTTAGAATCCTATACTTTTTCTCAGTAAAGCTCTGCTAGCCTCCCCATTTGATTTTATAGTGCCCCATTTTTCTTTCCTTAAATATTTATTTTCTCCAGTCCCTTAAAGTGAGAAAAAAAGGAAAACCTAACAGTCATTTGTAGGGGTACTTATTCTCTCTCTCCATGCTGAAGCATTTCCATTAACCAAGACGATTCATCTTCATCCTTCATTAGAGTGTGTTATTCACTGAAGTGGTTTATGGCCAAATAGAGTTGCTGGCTTTGCAGATTCTGTTTGGGGTGGTACTGAATCAAATGTGTTCTTCATGTCTAGATAAACCATTCCTTAGATTTTCTTGCTTGAATCTGTGTTAATTTTCAAAACTGTCAAAGAGATGACAACCTTACTAGCAAAGCCTGTTAGAGTGTGGCCACTTTAATTCCGATGGTCCTATTAAATACACTGTACCTTATACACATACATTAAATTAATAATTAAAATATTTTATTCTTTTCAACAAAGCTAAAAACCAAAACATATAAAAAGATGAAGGCATAGTTTTGATAACAGTACCTTACAAACTCTTTACAGGAAGGTAAGCTGATACAGAACAATACTACCAGGATGAGCAGTTAAACAATCAACAAGAATTGGATCTGGGACATTTTTGCCAGGCTGTATTCCTCCAAACAGACTATAGCAGATGCTTCTTTCTTTTTCCAGCTTTTTTGAGAAAGAATTGACAAATACAATTTATGTATATTTAAGGTATGCAACATGATGTTTTGATATGCATATACATGTGAAATAACACAATCAAGCTAAGATTATATTCATCACCTCACATAGCTACTGTACCCTCTCCCTCTTTTTGGTGGTGAGAACACTAAAGATCTACTCTCTTAGCAAGTTTTGAGTACATTGATATGCTATATAACAAAGTTTTGGTCAATTGCAGGCTATATACACAACGATGGTCCCATAATACTGTATTTTTATTGTATCTTTTCTGTGTTTAGATATGCAAATACCATTGTGCTGCAATTGCCTACAGTATTCAGTACAGTAATATGCTGTAATAGATTTGTAGCCTAGGAGAGGTAGGATATATTTATATAGCCTAGGTGTGTGTATATTATGCCATCTAGGTTTATGTAAGTATACTCTATGATGTTTGCACAATGATGAAATTGTCTAATGACGCATTTCTCAGAACATGTTTCCATCATTAAGAGATGCATGACTGTATACATTATTAACTGTAGTCACCATGTTGTAGATTAGATATCTAGAACTTATCAAGCATACCTGAAACATTGTACCCTGTCTTAAGTGCATGGGGCTGCAATGAAATTCTCCAATTTATATTTCCATCAACAGTGTAAAAGGATTCACTTTTTTCCACATCCTTGCCAGTTCTTGTTATCTTTTATCTTTTTTATGATAGCAGTTCTAACAGGTGTGGGATAATACCTGATTGTGATTTTGATTTGCATTTTCCTGGTGGTTAGTGATGTTGAACTCCTTTTCATATACCTGCTGGCCATTTTTGGTCAGCCTGTATATAAACTGTAGTCATTTTCAAATGTTTTCTTTGAAAAAATGTTTATTTGGGTTCTTCACCTGTTTTAAATTAGGTTATTTTTAAATTTCTTTCTTTCTTTTTTTTAAGAGACAAGATCTTGCTCTGTCACATGGGCTGGAGTGCAGTGGTGTGATCCTAGCTCACTGAAGCCTTGAACTTCTGGACTCAAGCGATCTTCCCACCTCAGCCTCCTAAGTAGTTAGGACTACAGGCATGTGCCACCATACCCAGATAATTTTTATTTTTATTTTTGTAGAGATGGGGTCTTGTTATGTTGCCTAGGCTGGTCTTGAACTCCTGGCCTCCAGTCATCCTCCTGCCTTGGCCTCCCAAAGTGCTGGGATTACAGGTGTGAGCCACCATGCCTGGCCTTATTTTTAAATTTCTGTCTTTTCTGTCTTTTTTTTTTTTTTTTGCTATTGCATAGTTTGAGTTTCTTATATATTTTGGTTAACTATCACTTATTAGATAGTTTGCAAATATTTTATTCAGTTCTTAGGCTGTCTCTGCACTTTGTTGATTGTTTCCCTTGCTGGGCAGAAGCTTTTAAGTTTAATGAAATCCTACTGTATATTTTTGCTTTTGTTGCCTGTGCTTTTGTTGTAATATCCAAGTAGTAATTGCTAAGACCAATGGCAAGAGGATTTTCCCCTGTGTTTTCTTCTAGTAATATAGTTTCAAGTCTTATGTCCAAGTCTTTCTTCCATTTTGAGTATATGATGTGAGACAGAGTCCAATGTCATTTTTTTTAACATTTAAGTTCAGGGGTACATGTGCAGGTTGGTTATATAGGTAAACTTACGTCATGGGGGTTTGTTGTACGGATTATTTCCTCACCCAGATATTAGGCCTAGTACCCAATAGTCATTTTTTCCTGATGCTTTCCTTTCTCCCACCCTCCACCCTCCAATAGGCCCCAGTGTGTGTTCTTCCCCTCTATGTGTCTATGTGTTCTCGTCATTTAGCTCCCACTTATCAGTGAGAAGATACAGTATTTGGTTTTCTGTTCCTGTGTTAATTTGCTAAAGATGATGGCCTCCAGCTCCAAACATGTTCCTGCAAAGAACACGATCTCATTCTTTTTTATGGCTGCATAGTATTTCTTGTTGTATATGTACCACATTTTCTTTATCCAGTCTATCATTGATGGGCATTTAGATTGATTATGTGAATTTGCTATTGTGAATAGTGTTGCAGTGAACATACATGTGCATGTGTGTTTATAATAGAATGATTTATATTTCTTAAGGTATATACCTAGAAATGAGATTGCTGGGTTGACTGGCATTTCTGTCTTTAGGTCTTGAATAATTGACACACTATCTTCCACAATGCTTGAACTAATTTACACTCTCACCAACAGTGTATAAGAATTTCTTTTTCTCCACAACCTCACCAGCATCTGTTATTTTTTGACATTTTAATAATAGCAAATCTGACTAATGTGAGATGATATCTCATTGTGGTTTTGATTTTCATTTTTCTAATGATCAGCGATGCTGAGCTTTTTTCATATGATTGTTGGCTGCATGTATGACTTCTGTTGAGAAGTGTCTGTTCATGTCCTTTGGCCACTTTTTAATGTTTTCTTTTTAAAATAAACTTGTTTATGTTCCTTATAGATGTTGGATATTGCACCTCTGTCAAATGCATAGTTAGCCAATATTTTCTCCCATTCTGTAGGTTGTCTGTTCACTCTATTGATGGTTTCCTTTGCTGTGCAGAGGTTAAGTTTAATTAAATCCTATTTGTCAATTTTTGCTTTTGTTGCAATTGCTTATGGCATCTTTGTCATGAAATCTTTGCCCGTTCCTATATCCAGGATGGTATTGCCTAGGTTGTCTTCCATGGTTTTTACAGTTTTGAGTTTTACATTTAAGTTTTTAATCCATCTTGAGTTAATTTTTGTATACGGTGCAAGGAAGGGGTCCAGTTTCAATCTTCTGCATATGGCTAGTCAGTTATCTCAGCACCATTTATTGAATAGGGAATTCTTGCTTCATTTCTTGTTTTTGTCAGATTTGTTGAAGATTAGGTAGTTGCAGGTGTGCAGGCTTATTTCTAGGTTCTCTATTCTGTTCCATTGGTCCATGTGCCTGTTTTTGTACTTAGTACCATACTAGTTTGGTTACTGTAGCCCTGTAGTATAGTTTGAAGTGGGGTAGCTTGATTCTTCCAGCTTTGTTCTTTTTGCTTAGGATTACCTTGGCAACTGGGGCTCCGTTTTGGTTCCACATGAATTTTAAAATAGTTTTGTTCTCTCTAATTCTATGAAGGATGTCAATGGTAGTTTAATAGGAATACCACTGAATCTATAAATTTCTTTTGCGCAGTATGGTCATCTTAATGATATGGATTCTTCCTATTCATGATAATGGAATGTTTTTCCATTTGTGTCATCTCTGATTTCTTTGAGCAGTGTTTTGCAGTTCTTGTAGAGATCTTTCACCTCCCTGGTTTGCTGTAATCCTAGACACTGTATTCTTTTTTGTGGCAAGTGAATGGGATTGGATTCCTGATTTGGCTCTTGGCCAAATTGTTGGTGTGTATGCATGTTAGTGATTTTTGCACTTTGATTTTGTATCCTGAGACTTTGCTGATTTTTAAAAATCAGCATAAGGAGCTTTGGAGCTGAGACTATGGGGTTTTCTAGATATAGAATCATGTCATCTGCAAACAGGGATAGTTTGACTTCCTCTCTTCCTATTTGGATGCCCCTTATTTCTTTCTCTTGACTGATTGTCCTGGCTAGGACTTCTAATACTATGTTGAATAGGAGTAGTGAGAGAGGGCATCCTTGTCTTATGCCTGGTTTCAAGGTGAATGCTTCTAGCCTTTGCCCATTCATTATAATGTTGGCTGTGGGTTTGTCATACATGGCTCTTATTATTTTGAGGTATGTTCCTTCAATAGCTAGTTTATTGAGAGGTTTTAACATGAAGTGGTGTTGAATTTTATTGAAAGCTTTTTCTGCATCTATTGAGATGATCATGTGTTTTTTGTCTTTAGTTCTGTTTATGTGATAAATCAAATTTATTGATTTGCATATGTTGAGCCATCCTTCCATCCCAGGGGTAAAGCCTACTTGATCATGGTGGATAAGCTTTTTGATGTGGTGTTGGATTTGGCTTGCTGTATTTTGTTTAGGATTTTTGCATTGATGTTCATCAAGGGTATTGGCCTGAAGTTTTCTTTTGTGTGTGTGTCTCTGTCAGGTTTTGATATCAGGATGATGCTGGCCTCATAGAATGACTTGGGGAGGAGTTACTCTGTCTTAATTTTTTGTAATAGTTTCAGCTCTTCTTTGCATATCTGGTAGAATTCAGCTATGAATCTGTCTGGTCCTGAGCTTTTTTTGGTTGTTAGTCTGTTACTGACTCAATTTCAGAGTTTGTTATTGGTCTGTTCAATGACAGACCTGGTCTGTGTATTTCAGTGTGTTTCTATACTAGCTGATAATGGGCTTTATTTTCCATATTTAGTGCTCCCTTCAAGAGCTCCTGTAAGGCAGGTCTGGTGATAACAAATTCCCTCAGCATTTGCTTGTCTGAAAAGGATCTTGTTTCTCCTTTGCTTATGAAGCTTAGTATGGTCAGATATGAAATTTTGGGTTGGAATTTGTTTTCTTTAAGAATATTCAGTATTGCCTGCCAATCTCTTCTGACTTGTAGGGTTTCTACTGAGAGGTCCATTGGGCTGATGGGGTGTCCTTTGCCGGTGACCTGACCTTTATCTCTAGCTGCCTTTAACATTTTTCTTTCATTTCAACCTTGGAAAATCTGATGATTATGTGTTGTGGGGATGATCTTCTTGTGAAGCATCTTGCTGGAGTTCTCTGCATTTCTGAAATTGAATGTTGGCCTTCCTAGCTAAGGTTGGTGAAGTTCTCATATTCTGAAATATGTTTTCGCAGTTGGGTTTATTCTCCCCATCTCTTTCAGGGACATCAAGGAATCATAGATTTGGTCTCTTTACATAATCCCATATTTCTCAGGGTTTATTATTTCTTTTCATTCATTTTTCTGTATTCTTGTCTTCCTGTCTTATCTCAGAAAGAGTCTTCAAGCTCTGAAATTCTTTCTTCTGCTTGGTCTATTCTACTATTAATAATTGTGATTGCATTGTGAAGTTCTCGTAGTGTGTTTTTCAGTTCTATTAGTTTGGTTACAATCTTCTTTATACTGGCTATTTCATCTGTCAGCTCTTGCATTGTTTTATCATGATTTTTAGCTTCCTTGGATTGGGTTTCAACATATTCCTGTAGCTCAATAATCTTTATTTCTATTCATATTCTGAATTCTATTTCTGTCATTTTAGCTATCTCAGCCCAGTTCAGAACCCTTGCTGGAGAGGCATTGTGGTCATTTGGAGGAAAGAAGGCACTCTGGCATTTTGTGTTTTCAGGGTTCTTGCACCAATTCTTTCTCATCTTTGTGCGCTTATCTCCCTTCAGTCTTTGAGGTTGCTGACCTTTGGATGGGTTTCTTTTTTCTTTTATCCTATTTGATGACCTTGAGGGTTTTGTTGAGGTATAAGGTCGATTCAGCCAACTAGCTTTGTTTCTGGGAGATTTTATGGGGCCAACACTCAGCTTTTAACTCCTGGACCATGTTCTCTAACTCTGGGGGACCTCTATTGGGCCCCAACTTTGTCCTCTGGCTCCTTGACATCAGGAACCTACTGTGCTGGGGGAGCCGAGTTGTGTCAGCTGCCATAGTGGTGAAGGCACTGCAGCTGGGTGAGGTGGGGGGCCCCTGATGGCAACTCTGTGCAGTCAGGCTGGAGGTTGTTGGCTTGGGGGTGGGGTACTTGTGGGCACAGGCCTGGGTCCCTTCTCTGTGTCCTGCTAGCTGGAGTGTTTGCTCAGGGCAGGGGAGGATCTGCTGTTCTCTGCACAGTTTTAGCGCAAGGGCAGGGCACTGGCAGGGGCAGGGCTGGCTGGCTCTGTGCCCACCAAGACTTTGTCTGCGATGACAATTGCCAGTGGTGGGGAGTTGGGGGAGCGCACTGCACTCCTACATGCTGGCAGGGCAAGAAAAACAACAACTTGCCCTGCAGACAGTGCCAGCAAAGGGGGAGTTTCCGTGGGCCTGAAAAAAAGCTGCAATATGGGGAGGGAGCAGGTGGGCTGGTGGCTGCAGGGGCTGCCCCACTGGAGCTCTCTGCTAGTCAGAGGAGGCCAGCAGATCAAGGGGTGTTCAGGTCTGACCAAACCTGTCTGATGAGCAAGACACCCTGCAGATATCAGGTATGACAGTTCTCCTAGGCTAAAGTCTCCTATGGAAGCAAGTCGCATCTAGGGGTATGGCCATTGCTGGCTTTGCTCTGCTACAGACACTCCCATACCCAACCCTCTGGGCTCCACATCAGCTGGCTTGGTGCCCCTACCACTTCTCTAAGCAGCTCTCTCTGCCAACTCGAATGTTCATGGTGGTCAAGGAGTCTCCCCCTGCCAGAGTTCCAGAGGCATGTGGTGAGAACAGGGTGCTCCTTGCCAGTTCAACTCACCTATTCCCGGAGAGCTGTTGTGGGCCAGGAATGCTTCCTGGTGTGTGGTAGCCCTGTGCTGGGTTCCCAGCTTTTTTCCATTTCAGCTTCTGTATCTTCTTTCCAGCTTCTGTATCTTCCCTCCATCCACTCTCAGGACTTTCCCTCTGAAGATCTGTCAGGGACATGCCAGTCATCTTGGTCCCTCGATGGGTGGTGTTCCACCTGGCTGCATCTAGTTGGCCATCTTACCCTCCACTCCGATGTCACTCTTTTTACCGTGTAAATGTTCAGTTTTCTCAGAATCATTTATTGAGGATTATCCTTTCCCTATTTTGTATTCTTGGCAGCATTGTTGAAGATTAGTTGACCCTATATGTGTGTATATTTATGGCCTATCTATTCTGTTTTACTGGTATATGTGTCTTTTCTTATGCCAGTATCACACTGTTTTGATTTCTGTAGCTTTGTACCTAAAGACTTTTGTTGTTCTTTATGAGGTCCTGTAGTTCCACATTGTAATGTTTGAGGGCTAAATTTTCTCATTATTGTCCTATACCCTTCAAAGCTGGTCATTTATGCTCAATATGTCTTCTATTTGAATCAAGGCACTATGGTAGACACTGTGGAGGATATATGTGGTACCGAGGTCCCTTCAAATATTTTATTCTCTTTGATACTATTATAAATTGGATTGTTTTCTTAATTTCTTTTTGAATTATTGTCGTTTGTGTAGAGAAATGCAGCTGATTGTTGTATGTTGATTTTGTATCCTGCAATTTTACTACAGTTGTTTATTTGGACAGCTTTTATTTAGGTAAAATCTTCAGGGTTTTCTTTTTTTTTTTTGAGATGGGGTTTTGCTTTTGTTACCCAGGCTGGAGTGCAATGGCATGATCTTGGTCCACTGTAACCTCCACCTCTGGGTTCAAGCAGTTATCCTGCATCGGCCTCCTGAGTAGCTGGGATTACAGGCATTCGCCACCACACCTGGTTAATTTTTGTATTTTTAGTAGAGACGGGGCTTCACCATGTTGGCCAGGCTTGTCTCAAACTCCTGACCTCAGGTGATCCACCTGCCTTGTCCTCTCAATATTCTGGGATTACAGGCGTGAACCACCATGCCCAGTCAATCTTCAGGGTTTTCTATACATAAGATAATGTCATCAGAAAACAGACAACTTTTTTCTTCCTTTTTGTTTATTTTTTATAAGTTATTGGGGTACAGGTGGTATTTGGTTACATGAGTCAGTTCTTCAGTGGTGATTGGTGAGATATTGGTGCACCCATCACCTGAGCAGTAAACACTGCACCATATTTGTAGTCTTTTATCCCTTGCTTCCCTCCCACTCTTCCCCCCAAGTCCCCAAAGTCCACTGTATCATTCTTATGCCTTTGCATCCTCACAGCTTAGCTCCCACGTATCAGTGAGAACATATGATGTTTGGTTTTCCATTCCTGAGTTACTTCACTTAGAATAATAGTCTCCAACCTCATGCAGGTCACTGCAAATGCTGTTAATTCATTCCTTTTTTTGGCTGAGTAGTATCCCATCATATATATATATATATATCTCACAGTTTCTTTGTCCACTCATCGATTGATGGGCATTTGGATTGATTCCATGATTTTGCAATTATGAATTTTGCCGCTATATACATGCATATGCAAGTATCTTTTTTGTATAATGACTTTCTTCCTCTGGGTAGATATCCAGTAGAGGGATTGCTGGACCAAATGGTAGTTCTACTTTTAGTTCTTTAAGGAATCTTCACACTGTTTTCCATAGTGGCTGTACTAGTTTACGTTCCCACCAGCAGTGTAGAAGTGTTCCCTGATCACCACACCCATGTCAACGTCTACTATTTTTTGATTTTTTGATTATGGCCATTCTTGCAGGAGTAAGGTGGTATCATATTGTGGTTTTGATTTGCATTTCTCTGATCATTAGTGATGTTGAGCATTTTTTCATATGTTTTTTGGCCATTTGTATATATTTTTTTGAGAATTGTCTATTCATGTCTTTAGCCCACTTTTTGATGGGATTGTTTGTTTTTTGCTTACTGATATGTTTGAGTTCCGTTCACTTCTTGTATCGTTTTTTGGATTTCCTTGCACTGGGCTTTGCCTTTCTCTGGTGCCTCCCTGATTAGCTTAATAACTAACTTCCTGAATTCTTTTTCAGGGATTTCTTCTTGATTTGGATCCATTGCTGGTGAACTAGTGTGATTTTCTGTGGATGTTGAAGAGCCTTATTTTATCATATCATATCAACCAGAGTTGGTTTTCTGGTTCCTTCTCATTTGGTTAGGCTCTGTCAAAGGAAAGCTCCAGGGTTGAGGGCTGTTGTTCAGATTCTTTTGTCCCATGGGGTGTTCCTTTGATGTATTATTCTCCCTCTTTTCCTATGGATGTGGCTTCCTGCACAAGCTACACTGCACAAGCTGCAGTGATTGCTGTCTCTCTTCTGGGTCTAGCCACCCAGCAAGTGTACCTGGCTCTAGGCTGGTACTGGGAGTTGTCTGCACAGAGTCTTGTGATATGAACCATCTATGGGTCTCTCAGCCATGAATACCAGCACCTCTTTTGGTGGAGGTAGCAGGGATGTACAATGGACTCTGTGAGGGGTCATAGCTTTTGTGGTTTAATGTTCTATTTTTGTGCTGGTTGGCCTCTTACCAGGAGGTGGCGCTTTTCAGACAGCATCAACTGTGGTAGTATGGAGAGGAACCAGCGGTGGGTAGGGTCTTAGAACTCCCAAGATTATATGCCCTTTGTCTTCAGCTACCAAGGGGGTAGGGAAGGACCACCAGGTGGGAGCAGGACTGGGAGTGTCTTAGCTCTGATTTTCCTTGGGCAGATCTTGGTACAGCTGCTGTGGAGGATAGGGGTGGGGTTTCCAGTTCAATGGAGTTGTGTACCTAGGAGGATTATTGCTGCCTCTTTGGAGTCATGCAGGTTGTCAGGGAAGTGGGGGAAAGCCGGCTGTCAAAGGCCTCACACATTTCCCACACAAACCGAAGGGCTGGTCCCATTCTGACCATGCCCTACTATCAGCCTCGAGTCTTTTTCCAGGTGGTGTGCAATCCTGGCTGGAGAACTTGCGCAAGGCTACCTGCCTCCCAGTTGTGAAAGAAAAGGGCTTGGTGCCTCCCCTGCCTGTGGAGTCTGCACACTGGATTGGCACCCACCTCTGAGTTCTGGCCAGGAGGCTTCTTGCCCCATTCAAATTGTTACAAAGTTCAGCTGGAAATTACCTTCTCCCTGTGGTGTTTTCCCCCTACTCCTCTGGCTGCCCTCCTGATGGATCCTTGTGGTGCCAGGCAGGAATGGCCTGCCTGGGGACCCAGTGAGCTGCCAGGGCCTTTGTGATGCTTCCTCTACCCCTGTATTTCTCTTGGCTTTCTAAATGGACTCAGCTCCAGGTAAGGTTGGAAATTTCTCCCACAAACAGGCTTTCAGTTTCCCCAGTGGGAGTGTGTTTTCAGGAGGGAAGGCTCTCCCTTTCCCACTTCTGCAGGTGGGTCACTTACAGTATTTAGAGTGTCTCCCAGGTCCTAGAGGAGCAGTCTGCTTGCTTCAGAGGGACTGTGGATCTTCTCGAGATTGTCGGTTTGTTCTTGCAGTTGATTTGGAGCTACCATTCACAATGTGAGCCTCCGCACGCTGCTCTGTTCTTCTGAGTCGAAGCTGCAATCTAGTCCTGCCTCCTGTCAGCCATGATGATTCTTCCTTTTTAATTGGATGCCTTTTATTTGTTTTTTCTTGTCCCCATATTTTGTTATTGATGTTACAATTTTAATGTTTTTATATTGTGTATCCACTAATATATGATTGCAGCTATGGTTATTTTAATACTTTTGTCTTTGAACTTTTCTACTAGAGGTGAAAGTGCATCACCATAGAGTATTCTGAATTTGACTATATACTTACTTTTATCAGCAAGTTTTAATCAGCATCCTTTCATTTCAACTTGAACAATGTCCTTTAGCATGTCTTGCAAGGCAGGTCTAGTGATGATGAGCTTCCTCACCTATAGCTTGCCTGAGAAAATTTTTATTTCTTCTTCATTTTTGAGGTATAGCTTTGCCAGATATAGTATTCTTGGTTGGCAGGTTTTTTAGTTTTTCTTTTGGCAGTTTAAATATATCATCCCTCTCTCTCCTGGCCAGTAAGGTTTCTGCTGAGAAATCAGCGGATACTCTCATAGAAACTACCTTGTATGTGATTAGTCAATTTTCTCTTGCTGATTTCAAATTTCTCTTATTTTCTTTGACTTTTGATAATTTGATTATAATATTTCTCAATATGATCTTCTTTGGATTGTTCCTATTTGGAGACTTTTGAACTTCATGAATTAGGATGTTCATGTCCTTCCCAAGATTTGGGATGTTTTCTGCCATTATTTATTTTAATAATCATTTTGAGCCTTTGTTGTCTCTCTCTTCTCCTTCTGGACTTCCATAACACATAATTTGGTTCATTTTATGATGTGTCATAATTCTTGTAGGTTTCTTTATTCTTTGTCATTCCTTTTTTTCTTATCTGACTGGCTAATTTCAAATGATCTCTCTCAAATTAACAGCAGTTTAAATTTTAAAATTTCATTCATTGTATTTTTGAGCTCCAGAATTTCTGTGTTTTATAATTTCTGTTTCGCTGTTGAACTTCTCATTTTGTTCATTTCTGATTTTTCGGATTTTGTTTTATTGTCTATCTGTGTTCTCTTGTATCTCACTGAATTTACTTCCTTAGATTGATTATTTGGAATTCTTTGCAAGGCAATTCATGGATCTTTATTCATTTGAGTCCAATTACTGGAAAACTATTTTGTTCCTCTAGTGGTATCATGTTTTCTTGATTTTTCATGTTTCTTGAGGTTTGGGATTGCTGCTTTGCATTTGAAAAAGATCACCTCCTCCAGTCTGTACTGCATGGCTGAAGGAGAAAAATACATTCACCATTCAACCTGGCTAGTTACCCTGGGTATTCCATAGACCTTTTTATGGATGTTCCCATTCCATTCCTTTTGTTCCTTCTTGGGAGAGAAAAATCTTAGGATTGTATTACTTCTCTCAATCCTGTACAGCCAGGCTGAATGTTGAGAGCCTCCCATTTATTTGCCAAAGGGTACCCTAACATGTTAAAAGTTAAGAACCTTTTTTCAGTCTAACAGAGTTGAACCAGCTTTCTAAGATGTACTGCCTTGGGGGTAGGAGTGATGTGGGGCAAGTGAAACTGTTTTTCTTACTCTCTTAAATCCATTGATTCTCAGTTTGTTTGTTTTTTCTCCAAGGGAGTGCTGGCACCTGACTGCTGGACTCCTGGGCTCCTGCAAAGATACTCGTGTTCATGGATGCTTTTGGGGAGGGTTGGTATGAGGGCTAAAATATCTCTCTACCATCTTTCTGACATCACTCCAGCCAGAACTTCTTGATATGATCTTTAAAATGGTTTCAGAGCTCTCATCCAATTACTTTAAAAGTGATTAATATTTATTCCCTAAAGCAGTTTTGACAGAAAGTTCTCCTAATGACAATATTGTCAGTGTAATAATAATAGCAGGAAAAAGTACTTAAGGAATAATTAATAAATTATTTCTTAAATACTTACTCACTTTCTGTTTTAGTCAAGTGTGTCATGATGGAGAAGGAAGATATGTCCTTGAAGAAGCTCTGTTCTGTGGTTTGAATGCCTGACTCTCCTCCAAAATTTACATTCGAATTTAATCCCCAATGTAGTAGTATAAAGAGGTGGAGCCTTTAGGAAGGAACTAAATTTTGAGGGGAGAACCCTCATGAGTAAGAGTAGCAACTGATATGGTTTGGCTGTGTCCCCACCCAAGTCTCATCTTGAATTGAAGTTCCCATAATCTCTACATGTTGTGGGAGTGACCCAATGGGAGGTAATTGAATCATGGGGGTGGGTTTCTCCCATGCCATTCTCATGATGGTTTTGTAAATAGCAGTTCCCCTGAACTCTCTTGCCTGCCATCATGTAAGACATGCCTTTGCTCCTCCTTCGCCTTCTGCCATGATTGTGAGGCCTCCCCAGCCATGTGAAACTGTAAGTCCATTAAACCTCTTTTTCTTTATAAATTACCCATTCTCAGGTATTTCTTCATAGCAGTATGAGAACAGATTAATACAGCAACCTTATAAAAGGGATGGAGGAAACTTTTTAGCTCTCTTTTTATGTCCTTCTGCCTTTTGCCACCAGAGGATATGGCCTAGATTCCCCCTTTCTACCATGTGTGGATAGAATAAGAAAGCCCTCACCAGCTACTGAATGTCAGCACCTTGATCTTGAACTTTCTAGCCTCCAAAATCTGTGAGGAAAAAAAAAATTTTAATACCCTGACTTGAAACTCATGTGAAAAATAAATTACCCAGTCTAAAGTATTTGGTTATGGCAGCACTAGCAGATTAAGACATTTTGGGTCCAGAAGTTAAAGATGGACCCAATTTTTCTTCACTGATTTTCTTATGACTTTAAAAAAAACTTGATCTACTCAGCTTTTATGAGAAGTAGATATCATATCAATATTGAGAAAAAAGGTAGAATCAGAAGAGTCCTAGGAAGGATGGGTGGAAAGAATAGATCTTTCTGGGAACAAATCCTAAGGAAAGATACTAATATTAATAGGTCCAAATTCAGATTAGTAGACCCAGATATTTAAATACCTTTGTTGTAATAGTGGGAAAGGTAAATGGCAGTAATTACTGCAGTAATTCCTGCTCAGGCAGGAGTTGGAGAAACTTAACTGTTTTTGGAAAAGTGAATTGGAAAGATAAAAGGTTAGAATGTATAATCATCATTCTGTTTATATGCCTTGGGCTTAGTTGATTTACCTGAAGCTCTAATCACACTAGCTTGAGTGTAAATATAGGGAATATCAATAATAAATAATGTGATAACTTTCACACTGTGGAATTCCTTCATTAGAGAAGGTGGCTCTATTATTGGGGCAGCAGAAATAGGGTAACAGAAAGCATAGAAGGTATGAGATTAGTTTGATTCCTAGGTAGGCCAGGGTCTTTTCAGGGAAGTGATGGGGTTATTTTCAGCACCATAGTTAGGACTTCTTTTGTTGTTGTTGAGATGAAGTCTCGCTCTGTCACTCAGGCTGGAGTGAAATGGCGTGATCTCGTCTCACTGCAACCGTCGCCTCCTGGGTTCAAGCGATTCTCCTGCCTCAGCCTCTTGAGTAGCTGGGATTACTGGCACCCACCACCATGCCCAGCTAATTTTTGTATTTTTAGTAAAGATGGAGTTTTACCATGTTGGCTGGGCTGGTCTTGAACTCCTGACCTCAGGTGATCCTCCTCCCTAAGTCTCCCAAAGTTCTGGGATTACAGGCTTGAGCCACTGTGCCTGGGCATAGTTAGGACTTCTAATTGACCTTTAAATTTTATCCTGGAAGTTGAGTGTGAGGGTGTGGAGGAAGTCCTATGGATTCTGGCAACAAGATGCCAGATACTTTTCTTTCATGATACCAAGTTATAGCTCATCCATAGATTCAGGCTTGTTGAATGCACTGTTTCTCAAAGTATGGTCCTTGGTCCAACTGCACCAGAATCTCCTAAGGGTATTCATTACAATTATAGATTTCTTGATCTCACCTCTTGAGGCTCTTTACAGTTGTCTTGAACTGAGGCAAAAGGAACAGGTCTTTGTATTCTTGTATTGAGCAACTTTTGAATATGATTGAGGTGAGAGCGTGACCTTGGATTAGGCAGTTTTCTTTAGCTAAAGACAATTGTAATCATCCACATCAGTAGTTAACATACCCCATAGCTGGAGGAATGAGTGCTTCTGTCTGAAGCAACCACTATAGTCCATCCCTTGCACTAGTTGGGTATACTTGTTTCAATCAGCAAGTTCATCTCATTGGTAAAATCTGCCTAGGATTCTGAGTGGTCTGTGTTCTGGAGAAACTTTTGAGAGGAAGGTAGTAAGATAAATTATAGTCCCAGTTACTGAAACTACTCTTGAGATGCAATGAGTACTCATTTTCTCCCTCCTCTATCATCTACTCTAGATTCCTCTTATTTTGGCTAGTAGCTTTGCTGGTCTAGGAGGATTGCTTGTTTGAATAAACCAAACCCTCATCCCAAAGGGGTGTGAGTCTCTGTAAGTATGTTTTTCTTAGACTGTTGTTGTTGCACTTATTCATTTACCAACAGAATTGGGAAGGCAAATACCAACAGGGACCCTGATAGATCACCTGGGTGCCAGATGTATTCCTTCCTGTGGCCATTGTGTAATAGCATCCTTGCCTCTTCCTGAGGATCAGGGTTGATTGCACCTGCAGATATGGTCATTCTTTTCCTTGTAACCTGTTATCTGTGGTGAGGAAACTGAAATAATGACTGGGCATCAGCCATTCCTTAAAGTTCAATAGGACTTTTACTGTGTCATCTATTGGAAGCTTTCCTATTCTGGGAAACCATGTCCTCTAGAATTACAGAACTTAAAGTTGTAGGTCAAGAAGTGATGATACTTTGACTTCTATCCTTTGGTTCCTAGGTCTGTGTATTCTACTTAGTGAGGATGCAGTACCATACAATAGGGATTTATTTAGGATATATTTTGCCCTATAAAGAATGGTGCCTCTCAGCGTTGCATCTTCAAGCTGATATCTCAGTTTCATCTTAAAAAACTCCTTTACCACTCTCTCAGGCTGATAGCCATTGAGTAACATGGAAGTGCCAGTAGATCTCATCATTATGTGCCCACTGCTATATCTCCTCTGCTTCAAAGTGAGTTCAATAGTCTGAGGCAGTATTTTGCAGAAAATCATGCTGCTGGTTCTTAAACTCTATAAGCCAACATATAGTGGGTTTGGCTGAGGTATTGCTGGCATGATAGGCAAATTCATACCTAAGTATGGTCATTTCCATTTAAGATTGCCGTAGTTTGAATGTTTATTCCCCCAAAAATCTTGTGTTGAAATTTGGTCCCCAATGTTGGAGTTGGTGCCCAGTGGGAGGTGTTTTGGTTATAGGAGTGGACCCTTCATGAATAGACTAAATGCCCTCTCTGTAAAGGGTGAGTTCTCACTCTATTAGTTCCCACAAGAGCTGGTTGTTAAAAAGAACCTGGCATTTCCCCTTTCACTCTCTCTTGCTTCCTTTTTGCCATGTGATCTGTGCATACTTTGGCTCCCCTCACCTTCTGCCATGACAGGAGGCAGCCTGGTGCTGGCATTATGCTTCTGGCATTATGCTTCTTGTATAGCCTAGATAGCTATTAACAGAAATCCCCAACCACTTTAAACAAAAAATAAATTACCCTGCCTCAGGTATTCCCTTATAGCAATACTGAATGGACTAAGACAGAAAATTGGCACTGAGAAGTTGGGTGTTGCTATAAAGATACCTGAAAATATGAAAGATACATTGGAACTGGGTAATGGGCAGATGTTTTAAGAGTCTAGAGGACTCAGAAGAAGATGGGAATATGAAGGAAAGTTTGGAACTTTTTAGAAACTGGTTATGACCAGTCTGGTCACTGGTTAGAATCAAAATGTTGATAGAATATACGCAGTAAACTCCATGCCGAGGAAGTCTCAGATGAAAATGAGAAAATGATTGAGAACTAGAGCAAAGGTCACTCATGTTACCCCTTAATAAAGACCTTGATTGCCTTGTGTCTGTGACCTAGGGCTTTGTGGAAAGCTGAAATTAAGACTGATGACCAGGATTATCTGGTGGAAGAAATTTTTAAGCAGTAAAGCATTCAAGAGGTGGCATGGCTGCTTTTAAGAGCTTATAATCAGATACAGATGCTGCAGCAGAGGAATAATCTAAAGGTGGAATTTATAATTTAAAAGGAAGCAGAGTGTTAAGTATTTGGAAAATTCACAACCTGGATGTATTAGAGAAGGAGAGAGCATTTTCAAGAGAGAGGAATCTAAGAGTGTTATGGAGCAACCACTTGCGGAATAGATTAACATGACTAAAAGGAAGCAAGGTGCAAATAGTCAGAATAATGGGAAAAAAAGCCTTGAAAACATTTCAGAGATCTTTGAGGCAGCATCTCCCATCATAGGCCCAGAGGCACAGGAGAACAGAATCGTTTCAGGGGAACAGCCCACAGTACCACTGCCCTGAGCCACCTTGGGATGCTGCTTCCTGCATCCCAGCTGCTCCACGACCAGCCAAGGCTCAAATGGCCAAAAGTACTGCTCAGGTTACTGCTCTGAAGGGCCTAAGCCATAAGCCTTTGCAGCATCTGCATGATATTAAGACTGCAGGGGCCAAGGACGCAAAAGCCATGGAGGCTTGGCAGCTTCCACCTAGATTTCAGGAATATATTGAGTACCCAGGCAGAAGTCTGATGCAGGGGTGAAGACACTGCAGAGAGCCTCTATGATGCCAGTGCCTAGTGGAGTCATGGGAGTACAGGTGTCACCCTGCAGACCCTAGAATTATAGAGCCACTGGCTGTCTGCAGCCTCAGCCTGGAAAAGCTGCAGGCATTGGACTCCAAACCATTACAACAGTCACATGGGCTATACCCAGAAAAGCCATGGGGTTGGGGCTGCCCAAGGTCTTGGGAGCCCACTCTGGCACCAGTGTGCCTAGAATGTAGGACATGAAGTCAAGGGAGATTATTTTGCAGATTTAAGATTTAATGTCTATTCTGCTGTGTTTTGGGTTGCGTGAGGCAAGTCCCCCTTTCTTTAGGTCTATTTCTTCCTTTTGGAATGGGAAAGTTTACCCAATGCCTGAACCACAATTGTGCCTTGGAAGTAAATAACTTGACTTTGATTTTACAAACTCACAGCTTTAAGAAAGTTGCCTTGAGTCTCAGATGAGACTTTGGAATTTAAGTTTGTGCCAAAACAAATTAATATTCTTGGGACTATTGGGAGAGGACAATGGTATTTTGCAATGTGAGAAAGATATGAAATTTTGGGGACCAGGGGCAGAATGCTGTAAGTTTGAATGCTTGCATCCCCCATACCTTGTGTTAAAATTTGATCCCCAATGTTTGAAGTGGTGCCTAGTGGGAAGTGTTTGCATCATGGAGGCAAATTCCTCATAAATAGACTAATGTCCTCCCTGGTGGAGGGGAGGTGAGTGATTTCTCACTGTATTGGTTCCTGTGAAATCTGGTTGTTAAAAAGAGCCTGGAACCTTCCCTCTCACTCTCTATTGCTTCCTCTCTTGCCATGTGATCTCTGCATACCTCGGCTCCTCTTCACCTTCTGCCCAGAGTGGAAGCAGCCTAAGGCCCTCACCAGAAGCAGCTGCTCGTGTCATTTTTCTTGCAGAGCCGGAAGAACTGTAAGCCAAATAACCCTCTTTTCTTTATAAATTACCCAGCCTCAGATATTCCTTTATAGCAACATTAAACAGACTAAGACAAACATAAATTGCTGCTCCTTAGAGTATAAAGAGTCCGGTTTAATCAACTTGCAATCAAGAGGTTAGTCAGTCTCTGTAAGAGATGGTGCCATATCAGGGCCTCAATGTTGGGTTCTGTTTCTCACCGGAGAGACATTTAGCAATGCCTGTAGCTAGATCAAGCCTTGATGAAAGAGAAATAATGATACTGAGCTTGTGGTCTCCATTATCTCCATTCCTTTAACAATGGCCGTAGGGTAGCTGATGATAGAGTCTGGCTGATGTCAGCTGGTTGACTTATTTGGTCTACTTAATTGTTGTCTGTTTTCCATTGTTGTGTACTTGATTGGAGGCTCTCTGGTGGGCAGTTCTATGAAATACAATGATTATCACACTTTTGTGCCCACTTTTATAGGTTCTTCTAGACTTCTCTCTGATACTCAAATATTTTTCTTTCTAGGTCCCTGATCAACCAGTCAAGCCGTTCACCACCGCTCGTGAGTTCATTTATATTCTTTCCATGACCACATTTCTTTCAACAAAATGACTGACTAGGCACATTCCCAAAGTCTCCTTATTGAGAGATGATCCATCACTGCTATCTTTAAGGCCATCCCTGAGTGGGGTTATAATGCAGCAGCTTAGCTGTGCATCTGTGGCGTGCACACACATACTGACTTCTCAGAAGTCAGTATGTGAACCAAGTAGAAGAAGCAATTTGTGAACCAAGCTCAGTATTTTTCCTTCTCCATAAAGAAAAAGCTGATCATATAGGCTCCTTCTCCAACTTCACCCCAGCAACAGGTGTGAGCTGATGGAGAGGCACAAATAAAAGTGGGGATGACATGAAAGTCTGAATCCCTTGCTTGCACAGCTTACTTGCACCCTCTAATCTCATTCATGACAGTTCTAATGACGTGTTTTCTCTAAAGATGTATTGTTATTGCATTAACCTATAACTTGGTAAATCTAACTGTGTACAACTTACGACGGACAGTTCTAAGACCATGATCTCTTGATTTCTTAAGGTCATATACTACATATCCACTAGGTCCAGTAACATGCCAGATGTTGTTGAAAGGTGTATACTTCTTTGCTGCAGGTGGCATGGTCTTGTACCAGATCCCTAGAGGGTCTGTATTGTGATTCTTCTGCTGGATCTTGCCATAAGCTTCACATAGCATTTTTTTCTCATTATAGATACCTCTAGTGCCATAGGCTCTGAGATGAATTGTGTTCCATGTAGCAGGACTGTTTTTACCACAGCCTAGGCCTGATGCTTAACTATTTCTTGCTCTGAGTCCAATTCAAAGTTGTTTGCTTCTGTGTCAGAAGCACAAATCAGTCAGATGGGTCAGAACGGTATTCCCAAATGTCAAATATGCTGTCTTCAGAACATGCAGAGCCCTGAGAGATGATTAAACATTTGTGTATCACTTGCCTGATGATGAAAATTCTGAGGTGCAATAATTTTTCCTTTATTCTTGAAGCATGTCTCAGATCACTGGACCCCTGGAAACTTCATGGGTGTGGTGGGCCCCTAAATCTTTGTAGTTTATCTTCTTCATTCTGGAGTGAATATTTCTTATCAAGGGATCAATCATACATGCCACTTCTTGCTCATCTGATCCAATTACTATGATCTCATGAATATAATGCACCAATTAATGGTTCTGTGGAATGTTCATATGGTCCAGGTCTGTTTGAATTACACTGTGATGGAAGATGGGAGAGTTAACATAGCCCTTGGGCAGTAACTTAAAGTAAACTGTTATTCATCTCATGAGAATGCAGAGTGCCTCTGATACTCTATTTTGATAGGAATGGAAAAGATTTCATTTGCCAAATCAAAGGTGGCTATGCTAATATTCTGTAGCAGAAATACCACATTTGGCAAAGCAACTGCAATTGGGACTACTACTTGTTGAGTTTGCATTAGGTTGCAGTCATTTGCTAGCATCCAAGTTTGTAACCTTGGGTCAGGAAACTCCCTTTGGTGGAAGGAATGCCTGGCATTTTCAGCTGTGTGTTTTCAGCAGCCAGTACTACCAGCAGCTGGAAGAAAGAATGCATTGGTCTTGTAGGTGGGATCTGGGCAATATACCACAGCATATGCTACAAATCGGTTCTTTTAATAATTCTTATGCATAATTAAGTTTGAGTACTCTCTTTAGGGAGGATACCCTATATTCCTCAGCTGGGAATTTAAATATTTTTACTTTGGATCACAAGAAAACTTCTAGTTTTGGTTTACATTCCTCTTTCGGTTTATTTTAGCCATTACTTTGTGTCTCAGTGTTTTTGAAATGTATTAAATTGTCTTTTTAGAACTATTTTGTTTCAAACATCAGTCAGTTTTATTCACTAGAATTGTGCAGGGGTTAAAAGTGAGTACAATTGAAATAGACAAATTGTTTTTTTCTATTTTCAGAAGACATATTGTGATTCTTACCCTTCACACACACACACACACACACACACACACACACACACACACACCCATAAATAGAAATGCTTCATATACCTTCCTACTACATGTACATGTCATTGCTTTTCCAAACCACATGTAGTCTAGATAAAACAAAGTGAAAGGATTTAAAAGAGTTGCAAGACCTTTTCCAGGTTGTAGACAGCTATGATTACATGTAATAGTACGGATTTAGTTACTGTCATCCAGCTCTTGTGAAAGGGGCCACTCAGCATAGCACAGCGGTTACAAGCATGTCCATCAAATCCAGATTTCCTGGAGTATGACCACCAACTACAACTCTACCTTTTTCTCTCTATTATAGCCAAAAGAGCTTTTCTGAAGGCAAGTAAGCAAACAACAAGAAGAGATTATTTTGAATTAACTTTGAGTCATCTTTAAGTATAACAATAATCAACTATTTAAAAATATTAATTATTTCCAAATTTCTTAAATTATTAGTAGTAATCCATTAATTGTGACACCTGGTCTGAACATACCAAAGTGAGGAAATACTGAATTTGAAAAAGCAAACTAACACAGGAACAGATAACTAAACACTACGTGTTCTCACTCAAAAGTGGGAGTTGAGCAATGAGAACACATGGACACAGGGAGGGGATCAACACAGACCAGGGCCTTTCATGGGGTGGAGGGCAATGGGAGGGAGAGCATTAGGACAAATAACTAATGCACACGGGGCTTAATACCTAGATGATGGGTTGATGGGTGCAGCAAACTACCATGGCACAGGTATACCTATGGAACAAACCTGCATATTCTGCACATGTATACCAGAACTTAAAATAAAAAAAAAAAAAAGAAAATGACTGCTTTAGTTCACTAAACTCTTCAAATTTGGCTTTGTATCAGAATCATCTGGTGTACCAAAATAATCCTGAATCTATGCCCCTTTCTTTTTCATGAAATCAAGATGTAGAATAGGTCCATCACCTCCAAAATTTCCCCATGTCCCTCTGTGGTCAACTGCTCTCCACATGTCTAGATCCTGGCAAACACTGACTTCTTGTCTGTCCCTCTTTTTTGCCTGTTTTGCCTCTCCCTAGAATGTCATATAAAAGAAATCACGAATACGCAGATTTTCAAGCCTGGTTTCTCTCACTTAACAAAATATGTTTGAGATTCATCCATGTTATTGCACATATCAGTAGTTCATTTTTTTATTGCTGAGTAGAATTCCATTCCATGAATAGACCCCAGTTTGTTCACCAGTTGAAGGATAATTGAGTTGTTTCTAGTTTTTGGTGATTAGGAATAAAGGTAATATAAATATTTGTGTATGGAATTTTCATGAAAATATGTTTTAATTTACTTGGATAAGTGCCTAGGGATGGACTTGCTGGGTTATATGGTAAAGGTATACTTAATTTTATAAGAAACTGCCCAACTGCTTTCCAAAGTGGCTATACCATTTTGCACACTGCCCCTGGCTCCAGCAATGAGTGGGAGTTCTAGTTGTCATGTACTTTGCCATCACTTGGTAGTGTATTTTAATTGTACCAATTCTAATAGTTGTGTAGTGGTATCTCAGTATGGCTTTCACTTACATTCTTCTTACAGATAAGGATGTCTTACTGAACAATTTGGTTTGAGAACCTGACTCTAAATCCTTGTTCTGCCACTTTCTACTTGAATCGCGTTAAATGGGTTACTTAATCTCTCTGAGCTTTAGTTTTTTCAACTAGACAAAAATTCTGTCTAATGCTTCAATAGATATTGCCTGGGCCTTGGTGTCTGTACTGCCCCTGTACATCCCCATTTCTGTCTGATTCAAAGGACTGATATGCAGTTAAATGCAAGAAGGTGTGTATAAGGCTAAGTGTTCTGGCATAGAACATAAATGTGGGTACTCATGAGTCTTCTGAACCAAGTTGGTTGTTCCCAAAATTGCATGTTTAAAAAAATATCTTCAGATACTGTATCCGGATCCATGTAGACCCAATCAGCCATTTGGTCATGTCCTGACAAGTTTTCCAGGCCACCAGTTACACAGGCATATATTGCCCAATAGACTTCCAGTTTCAAGTGTAAGAGAAAGCACTGGCAGACAATATAAGTCAGTTTATGTCATACCTGGAGCATTACACATTCTGTTTTTGTCTTGCTGGATAATGAAAGATACATTAATGGTACCAATTACCAAGTGTGAATTTGATTTATAGCTCTTTGTTACTTTCTCTGGCAGTCACCATGCAATAGGAAAATCCACACACGGCAAACTAAAGACAATTTAGACTGAAATGGTTCTTTGTGATTTAGGCATTTAATTAGGGGTTTTAAAGCTTAATTAAAAAGTTAAATCATTTGTCTTTATTTCTGAAACAATGCTATCGTACATGGTTCAATTATGTAAAATAAAACATAATAAGATATATATTTCTTTTTCTGATGTTATACCATCATTCACACATAACAGCACAGCCTCATAAAATGTATTTGAGAGGACAGAACAAAATTGAAATGTAGAGCCATTAAACATGGTATTGAAGAACTTCTGGTCTGTGAAGTTGTTTTTCTCTCCTTTGTTTCGTGATCCTTGCAACACATGGATTTTTCCTCCAAAAAATGTAAATGATGAGAAAAAAGATTTTAAGTATAGTACCTGCAATTCTGTCCAAACTGGGCATAGATGCACAAACAAAAACTGGAATGAAACTTCTCATCAATCTTCAGTTATGTAGCACTAGGAAAGAAACTGCATTGCTTATTTCTGAATAATCAGAAACTTCCTTCAGGTGCACAAATGTACTTTCTAATTCTTAAGTAATGATATAAAAGATTTTCCATTTCCCTAAAGAGAGATTTATTATAAGGTATTGGTTCATGCAATGATGGAGGCTGAGAAGTTCCACAGTTTGCCGTCTGCAGCCTGGAGACCCAGGAAGGCCAGGGATGTAATTTCAAGACCTGAGAGCTGAAGAGAGTGTGGTATAGATTCCAGCCTGAGTTCAAAGACTTGACAACCGGGAGTGACCAGGGCAGAAAAGCATTGACAACTCAGCTGAGATAGACTGAGGGTGAATTCAATACTTCTCTGCCTTTTAGTTCCATTTAGGCACTCAGAGGATTAGATAATGTTCATCCACATCAGGTGGTTTTACTCAGTTCATCAATTCAAACGTAATCATTTCTGTAAACCTCCATACACACGTATTCAGAAATGGTGTTTAATCAGCCCTTTGTGCATCCTGTGACCTAGTGAAGTTGACACATAAAATTAACCATCACAGCCTCCCGCCAGCATAGCCCCTGTACCCCCCTGTCAGATTCAAAGTTCATCTCTCCTTTTCCACATGTTCTAGGGAGTTTGAACTGCCACCGTTTCTTCTCAAAGCTGCCTTGATTTTGTAAAGTGTCTTTTGCAAAAATAGACTGTCAAATATGTAAAAAAAAAAGTTCATAAGAATAAATAGCTGGGTTGTAAAAATCTTGCTATTTTATTAAACTGAGACATATTGGAAGATCTGTGGTATCAGAATGTTCTTGAATTTGGTGGGTTATATGATAAGAAATGATCACATTACATTAGACGTGTACAGGACTGAAGTAGCAGATACCAGATGACAGCTTACACTGGAAGAAAGCTGGACCCATTCAGGCGTGGGGGCTGTGTACTGAGATCATTTTGATTATATCAGTGTGGCCACACCTGAGCTCCTAGGATATCCACCTTCAACCCTGCTGATCTAGATATATCATGGGCTAATGGAGCATTAATATAAAGAAAATGCCTGTAAACATTTCTTATTGGATGATGTTGCTATTAGAATTTAGGAATGGTACAGAAAACATCTGTGAATTGTGGAAGTTGGATGCAATGGGAATAATAAACAGGAATACCAGAACTTGATGAGACTAATGCCATCTTAATGCTGTAGAAGAGGCCAGTTCCTACAAAGGAACCTTTCATTATCCTCAGATAGTGAAAGGGATCACAGCCTAAGGTTGTGCTGATTTATCTTCAATAGATATTGCCTGAGCCTTGGTATCTGTACTGCATGAAGTGCCTAGGGGAGAGCTGAAAGTAAAACATATTTTCTTTACCTTCTCACTTCTAAGGAACCCTGCAAATGGGCCCTTTGTGTGATAGTGGATCCTGTGGTGAGTCACTTAGAGTTCTTTTTCAGAACTGAACCCCTAACTCTCCCAGCTTCTGGGATTATTGGTGGCAGATATTTCTCATCTGGCTCCTCTCTGAGAACTGGCCTCAGTGTAATAGAGCATCTTCGTCCAAGATCACAGCCTCTCTGTGGGAACTATCTGTGCGCAAAGACTGATCAAAGAAAAAGTACAAAGTCCCATTGTCTTTTCTCCATTCAGGACAACTGTGAGGGATCATTCCAATGACAGAGTGCCCCATAGGATGGGTAGGTTATAAAATCTGAGGGTTAGTACATTTTGTTAAAGAATGGAGGTTTAAATAAGAATACCAACCCTAATAGATGTAATAAGGCCTTAAACTAGTGTCCATCTTTTGGACATAGAAAACTATTTCAGAATAACAATATGTAACTACTTTCCAGTACTTACAATTGCTTTATATGTATTAGCTCAATCTCATGAGATTCCTATAAGATGTGTACTTACAGTTGAGAATTAAGTGATTCCAGATTCATTGTGTTTATGTTCTTATCTTTGATTATATTTTTCCTTTGTTATCAAAAGCTTTTTAATGAGAAACTTAGAATGTGAGTTACTTTTTCTAGTAATAAAATAAGTGCCAATTTACACTGATGGTTTTGCAATCATTCATAGTTATAAAGCTAGAAAGTAATAGAATCATAATAAAATGATATCTGGGCAATTGAGGGAAAATTCCCATGACTTGGTTACTCTTTTGCTGGAGTCTGAAATGGATGTGTCGCTGCTGCTTCTCCCGGGCTGGCCTAGCTAAGTTCCCTGGGTTTAATCTTACTCACTCCAGTGAATTATGCCAGACAGTACTGTATGTATTCTCTGTTAAGAAAGACACTTGAAGTTTTTCTTGAGATATTCCTTCAAATGAAAATTTATTGAATTCAGAATTTTTTGGTTGTGGATGTTTGGTGAACAACCACCTTCTCTCATTTTTATTATTTTGCTTGTCTTCCTTCCTTTCCTCCCTATCCTCATGTTCCGTGTCCACCTCTTTCTCTCCGTGTTTTTAGTGGTATTTTCCTCATCTTGGACACCTGTTTATCTTTTCTGATTTTTTTCTACCTTTTTTTTAATCTGCTTTGATCCTCCATTCATTTATTCATTCACTTCATTAACAACATCACTGTCCTCTAAGTCAATCAGAAAAGAAGCTCCAGAATCATTGCTGACTCCTTTCTCTCCTTTATACTAGTAGAAAAGACTTTGGGATCAGATCTGGATTCAAATTCCAGTTCCAATCCTTCTACTGATCCTGATTGCAAGTGCTTTATTAAAGACAGAGTTGGAGAGGTAGATCCAATGTGGCCTGCTATTGTCTTAAATATCCAAGCAAAGACTCTACATTTTAGTTTGTAAATAGAACTAATTTTATGGCTATAAAAGCACAAACTTTTATTTTAAAATGTATCTTATTGTTATCAGACTCTGTGCTCGTTGAGTATATAGTCTGTGTCTTATTTATTTTGTATGATTGTATCTCTAGTGCATAAGATAGACCTTTAATAAATATTTACTGAATGAAAGTAGTAGGCTGGGCGCAGTGGCTCATGCCTGTAATTTCAGCACTCTGGGAGGCCGAGGTGAGTGGATCTCTTGAGGCCGGGAGTTTGAAACCAGCCTGGCCAACATGGCATAACCCCATCACTACTGAAAATACAAAAATCAGCTGGGTATGGTGGTGCATGCCTTTAATCCCGGCTACTCGGGAGGCTGAGGTATGTGAATCACTTGAACCTAGGAGGCGGAAGTTGCAGTGAGCCAAGATTGTGCCACCGCATTCCAGCCTGGGTGACAGTGTGAGATTCTGTTAAAAAAAAAAAAAAAAGGCAGGGAGAGAGGGAAGACAGTGGGCATAAATTATTTTATTAGAGAAGTTTGATTCTGAATGGAAGAATAAAATGTAATGCTGCTGTCATTGTGTTGATGGTGGTGGCAGAACTTTTATGAAATAGAGAAGTTTACATATGTTTGAAACCTGTAGGGAAATTGCTTAAATACACACAAAAATGAGACTGATGATAGAAAAGATAGTGAGAAAAAAGTACCAAGTGAGTTCCTAGAAAAGGTGAGCTGGAATGCAGTCAAGGACACAGGTGGAGTTAGTCTTGAAAATGAATAGGTGTATGTCTTCTGTGAAAAGAAGGAAGTGTTTTTTTTTTCCATGTTTTATCTATTTCATCTTTCTTTTTTTATCTATTTATCTATTTTATTCTTTTTTAAATTATACTTTAAGTTTTAGGGTACATGTGCACAATGTGCAGGTTTGTTACATATGTATACATGTGCCATGTTGGTGTGCTGCACCCATTAACTTGTCATTTACATTAGGTATATCCCCTAATGCTATCCCTCCCCCCTCCCCCCACCCCACAACAGGCCCTGGGGTGTGATGTTCCCCTTCCTCTGTCAATGTGTTCTCATTGTTCAATTCCCATCTATGAGTGAGAACATGTGGTGTTTGGTTTTTTGTCCTTGCGATAGTTTGCTGAGAATGATGGTTTCCATCTTCATCCATGTCCCTACAAAGGACACGAACTCATCTTTTTTATGGCTGCATAGTATTCCATGGTGTATATGTACCACATTTTCTTAATCCAGTCTATCATTGTTGGACATTTGGGTTGGTTCCAAGTCTTTGCTATTGTGAATAGTGTCGCAATAAACATACGTGTGCATGTGTCTTTATAGCAGCATGATTTATAATCCTAGTAATGGGATGACTGGGTCAAATGGTATTTCTAGTTCTAGATCCCTGAGGAATCGCCACACTGACTTCCACAATGGTTGAACTAGTTTACAGTCCCACCAACAGTGTAAAAGTGTTCCTATTTCTCCACATCCTCTCCAGCACCTGTTGTTTCCTGACTTTTTAATGATCACCATTCTAACTGGTGTGAGATGGTATCTCATTGTGGTTTTGATTTGCATTTCTCTGATGGCCAGTGATGATGAGCATTTTTTCATGTGTTTTTTGGCTGCATAAATGTCTTCTTTTGAGAAGTGTCTGTTCATATCCTTCACCCACTTATTGATGGGGTTGTTGTTTTTTTCATGTAACTTTGTTTGAGTGAAAAGAAGAAAGTTTAAGTTAAAGTAGAAAGAAATCATTAAAGTGTATGTGTGTGTATGTGGAGAAGGGGGTTAAAAGTTAGATAATTTGGTATCAAATGGCCTCAGCAAGTGTTTCTTAAGATCACTTGGGGATATTAAAAAAAATACAGCTATATAGATTCCGGGTCAGGCCAAATTAAACCAGAGTCTCTAGGAGTGTAGCCCACATCCTAGTATTTTTAAATGCTCCCAAGGTGGGTCTACTGTGCTGCCACAGTTGAAAGTGACTGGCCCTTATCTTCTTAGTAACAGGGCAGCAATGTTTCTTGCTTTGAGCAAAGGAAGTAGCATGAGAATAAAACAAAGTTCAGAAGACAGGTAATTTAAGTGGCTGGGGAAACTCTATGGAAAGTCATAAACTACACTAAAAACGTTCTGAGGAGTCCAGGGGGCCCAGGCGATATTAAGTAGTTTGACACAAAGAGGATGTGGCAATCTGGTGTTCTCTAGCCATGCTTGGCAGTAAAGGAGTGGGGAAAATGAACATTAGGGTCATTCAAGGTGGAGAACTGGCATTGTTAATAGTTCCTAAATCAGGCTGGGCATCAGAATCACCTGAGAAGCTTATGAAAAGTACAAATTCCAGGACCCCACCTCCAGTGAGCCTCTTTAATAGACGTGGGTTGACAATCTGTATTTTTCACAAGCACCCCGATTAGTGCGACAGCCAGTCCAAACTAGAGTTTGGGAACTGCTGACATGGAGGGCAGTCAGAATATCCAGGAAGCAGGAGCAGATTCTGTGATTCTAGTAAAGCCATGGCTGAAATAGCAGATGTTGAGATTTAACTGGATATGCAGACAAATAAAGCTAGAAGGATATAGAAGAATAAGAGGCTGAAGAGGAGGTGAAGGGGTAAGTTACTTTGGGTCACAGATAAAGACTCTTGGCAGAAGGGAGGGGAGGAGTTAGAGATAATGAGGTGTTATGGCAAAAACAGTTTGTCAAGGCTGTGATCAGAAAGAGAAAATGCAAAATATCTGATCTTGGATTGTCTCTCTCTTCCATTTCCTTGTTTCAGAACTGCTCCTGGCCTTCCTCTCCCTCTCTTTCCTCCAGCCCCCACCACAGCCTGAGAGAATGAAAAAAAAAAAAATAAACTCAAGAAAACAGAGGAGAGCACTTTATTAGTTTACTAGGACTGCTGTAATAAATACCACAGATTCAATAGTTTAAACAACAGAAATTTACTTCCTCACAGTTCTGAAAGCTGGAAGTCCAAGGTCAAGGTGTCAGCAGGGCTGGTTTCCTCTAAGACCTCTCTCCTTTTATTGTCAATGGCTGTGTTCTCCTTGCGTCTTCCTATGGTCTTCTCTCTGTGTATGTTGTCCTGTTCTAATCTCCTCTTCTTACAAGGATAACTGTCGTATTAGATTTGGGCCCATCCATATGACCTTACTTTGCCTTAATTACTTCTTTAATGGCCCTCTCTCCAAATATAGTCACATTTTGAGGTCCTGGAGGTTAGAGCTTCAACATATGAATTTTGGGGGGACACTGTCAGCCCATAATAGGTACCAAAGCTAGGCATATGGCACTGAAATTCTGTAACAAAAGAAAAGAAAAACATAAAAATGATTTTTCATCAGCTGTTTCGAGATCAAGACAAATTCCCCAAACTTCATATAATTTAAACCTAGCTTAGAGAGGTGGGAGCAGGTGCTAAATAAGCTTCTTTAAGCA